>NT_167249.2:4063073-4371266 GCF_000001405.40 Homo sapiens | reverse complement strand
GGCCAGCCGCAACGATGACGTCATAAACTTCATTTCCAAGGTGTCAGTCACCAGGCAGAAGAGTGCCGCAGAGACCCACAGGGAAGTGGCAACCCGCCACATCTCCAAGCCAATTGGCTGAGCTGTGGTCCGCCGACTCCAGGGAAAGAGGGTGGTTGGAAGAGGTGCGGAAGCCATCGCCCCAGAGCCTCCAGCACTCTCTCCCCGCCTCCCCTTCCAACAAAGTCTTCCCAAGCTTCCATGCACAGCCCAACTGGAGACTGCCAAGCTCGAGCAGGTCGTGCCATTCGTAGCTCCTCCATTGGCCAAAGCAGGGAAACGGGAGGGGTCGCGTGGGCGTAGCCTGCCTGAACCCGCCAGGGGTGTGGCCGCAAGACGCCTGGCGGGTGGTGGTTCTCGGCGGTAAGGCAGCAGCAGCGAAGAATCTGAAACGAGGAAAAAGACGCCATCTTAGAAGCCGCGGCCTGCTCCTCTATGGCGAACAGCTACGGGCTTCAGAACGGCGATGAGGGGATCTAACGTTCCCATGCCCCACAGTCTAAAACAGTGTTGCCAGAGTCTTATAATACTCCACTCCCTCCCTCAAGCCAAACGATGGAAAGACGAGCAAAACATTATTTACTACTGTTTAGTCCCAAAGACCACAAAAGCTAAAATACGTCTCCCAAATTTGCACGTCCAAGCACCTTTCTAATCCCTCCCCACTCACACCTACAGTTACCAATACATTTCTGCTCGTTCGAAAAATCCTCGGCAACCCTAAAAGTGGGATTAAAATCTCCAAACGCATCCATCTACCCTATACAATGCAACACACCTCACCTCTTCCTCAAACTCCATTCCGGCGTCCGGCTCAGAGCAGAAAAAGCAAGTCCTGGGAGGGATGACTTAAGGGAAAAACCCTCCCCCTCCAGGCGAGCTCGGACCTTTCCCCCCACACGCCACATCACCCCCAAAGGCACACCCGTATCCGCCTCTCAGGGGCCCTCCGCCACGGGGGCGAAAGAACCCCCCCGCCCCCCCACCAGGGTCCGGAGTCCTCCCCACGGAGCGGCTGGTCCATCGGTCAGCGCCAGGGAGGAGGGCGAGCGGAGGAGGCGGCGGCTGCGGCTCAGACTAGCCCTCCCCCTCCTCCCCTCCTCCCCTCCCCCCGGCCGTCCGCCTCCGAGGAGGGGCAGGAGCCATTTTGGGAGCTCAGTTTCGCCCCCTCCCCCCAACTTACTCTTAAGTCTTCCTCCTAACTTGGTTATCTAAATAAGGGTGCAGACTCTGTGAATCAACCAGAGCCCAGAGTCAGGATCTCCAGAGCATCTCTGGGGCCGTCCCCGCCCCCTTACAAGAGAGTGAAAGGATCTCCCCCACCCGAGAAAACCTGGGCTTTGGTGGGGCGTCCCCTCCCCCGTTTCCCCTTTCTTCGCTACCAGGGAGAAAACAAACTTGTGTACGTATCTGGGAAAAATAATCAACGTAGGTGAACAAATATACGGTAAGATTCCCCCTCGCCCGGGAAGGGCTCGTAAGGGCCTAGGTCCTTGAGCTGCAACCACGCCACCCTCCCTCCTCTGCAGTAGCCCTTCAACTCCAACCTCGGTTACTGCGTCTAAAATGGCCGCCAATCTCCTGTCTTCTGACCCCCCGAGTAGGGCAAACCCCGGGAGGGCGGGGGAAAATGAGCGTCAGGAGAGCAGAGTCCCCTTCCCCCAGCCAGGGATCAGGCCCTGGCCCCCAAAAGTACAAGCGGCCCCGTCTGGGTGGCTGCAGCATGGAGGGCAATGACACAGCAACTTTGCAGAGGCCTTTTCCCCTCCCCCTAGCGGCCCAACCTCCCAAATCTGCTTTTCTCCACCGGGGCTCTGCAGGCCAGGACAGAGGCCCATCAGGGGGCCGGCCATGGAATAAAAACTTAGGAGGCTGAGAAAATACTAGGCCTTAGGAAAAGGGCAGCCAGACATTGCTCTCGTTTATTCCCTGCATTCCGGAAAATCACTGCCTCCCGATCCTCTATCCTCCCTTCCCCCACATGAGTCACCAGGGAGGCTACTGCTACTCAGTAATTTGGGAAAGTAACTCTTTCCTCCTTTCCGTTCCCTCCCCCGCAGTACACAAGGAGAGAACTGTTCAGGACTGGGGGAGGGGATGAGGGAGGCGATGGAAGAGGCCACCCTGGAGAAACCCGAAACCTTGGGAGCTGTGAAATCATTCCAGGTCCCGAGCCTCCCTCGCATCTCAGACCATGCTGTCTAGACCCCCTACTGCCAGCACCCACCTTGGGCCTGGTTTCTGTTCCTAAGCAGACCTCAAGCTTTCAGCTTGTAAGCACCCCAGCCTGGAGTAGACACGTGCTCAGTAAAGACCCTACAGGGGCAAAAGGCCCCACAGGCCGTGTCCACGTGAATGCACACAAATTCGGTAAGCGACTCGAAGCGTAACCTCCAGCCTGCGGTGTGACGACTGGAGCTCCCCTACCGCGGACACAAAGGGCGCACAGCAATGCTCCCTCCAGAGGCTCTGGGGAGAAAGGAAGTTGGCGCCTGGGAACAACCTCAGTTCACAACATGGGTGGCCAACTCCTAAAGCATTCACATCCACGGGTAGGGGCCACAGCCACCACTCCTCAGCCCACCGCCAGGTCACCCCTCCCTCGGCCGCCGATGGATCCCTTCTCACCTGGCTCCCGGCTGCTGTACCCCCAGGGGACGAATGGAATAGGGGGGGCCACACCGCCCCCTAACCCCTTTGCCCTCCAATGGGTACGGAGGCATGAGGCTGGCCATTCCCCTCCCCCCCCATGGCCCTCTCCCGCTCGCCCCCCCTCCACGCTCCCATTGGCTGTAAAAGGTTTGAAGGACAAATCTTCCCACTCTCAGGATTCTTTCCTGAACCCCAAGAATCCCCCTCCCGGACTCCCCACCATTGGTTAAGCACTTGACTGACATCTCCGCCCCACAAGGGCCCCTTCTCACCTGGATCCTAAAGCCTTCCAGGGGGCCTCCAAAGTTGCCCTCGGCTTGGTACGGGGTATGTAATCCGGGGTGTCAACCCCCCCCCAGAAAACGAAGCCGTGCTGGGGGAGGGGGCGTAGCCCCCAGCCCCTCCCTTCCCGAACGGGCTGGGGGGGTGGGGAGAGCATCGGGGCCGCGCGGCCACGTCAGCAGCACCCAGATTGGCTGACCGGGGTCACGTGCCCGCTTCCCCCCCACCCCCCGCCTTTCCCCCAGCCACGAGGACCAGCTTTCCGAACGTTCCTGGGGGTCGCGCCAAGGGGCCAAGGGGGCCGCATGGCCCAGGCCTATGTCCCGAAACCCAGAGCGCTATAACGCTGCTGCTTGTCCATATCCCCAGCTTCCTATCCCGCGGTCCTGGACTCTGTCCCCCCCACTCGCCTCTCCATACGAGTTCAGCATGGCTGCCGCAGACCAGGAACACACACAGCGCAGGCGCAAGGGTGCGCCCTGACTGGGGGAGGGGGAAGGAGGGCCAGAGGCTGCGGGGAGAGCCGTAGTGCGCAGGCGTCCGGACCGGAACCGCATCTCCGGCGGCGGGGCTTGGAGCGCGCGCTTTTCGTGGGGCGGGAGCCCGCGCCCGGGTGCTGACCTCCTGCCTCAGCGCCCCCTCCCCCACTACCCGCGGCCTAGCGGGGTAGCCTCGGGTGGCCAGGCTTGTTTCCTCCTCGGTGGGTGTAAGGTGCGGCTTCGCTGGTCCTGGCCTGAATCCAGCGGAAGCGCACGCTGCTGAGCTGTCAGCGGAGGAAAATGGGGCCTGGACCTGGAGATATGAGGGTCTGGAGAGAGGGGCCCCTTCCCTGGTGTCGTGTGGTGCGACCACTGGAGAGGGAGTTTCTCGCCCTCGTCGCGCCTGCCGCGCGGAGAGATAAGGTGCGGACCGCAGATGTGGACTTCGTATTTGGCTTTAGTCTTAGGCAGCCTTAAAATCTCTCCGTGCCGTGAACCTACGCTAGACTTTTCTTTAGTGAGACCTGTGAGTCCCTGGACCGCTCTACCTTCTACGATATTTACCAGCTGATAACTTTTCCTTCTCTATTTATTTCGTAGTGGACCGTTTAAACCTCTTATACTCTTAAAGTTATGATCTCTCCTCTCCCAAGCTTGAGTGAATTCCCCCCAAAATTTTGGAACTGGTAACATAAAATGTTATGGTGATTCAGTTGCCAGCTAAAAAGTAAGCCTTTAATTTGTCATTAGCCGATAACCTCTCCCTTGATTACCCAGAGTATGGTCCAGATTTTCACGCTGCAGACCCTAATCTCTCCTCACCGACAGATGGCACTTCACAGAACAGAAAGGCCAATTTGCAGAACTGGCTTCCCATTTCCCACCTGCAAACTGGGTCAATTGTGTATTCCTTTCTCATTTCACTAGAGGTCCTCCCTTCGGTTTGAGGAAATCCTTTACTATTGACCTGGTCAACCTTCTCTGTTACCCGGAAGCTGTCTTCCCTTCTCCCCCTTTTGACCTTTTTAAACTTTTCTCTTGGTTTCCCCGCTGACAGAAAGATAACAACCCTCTCAATATCGTGCCCTCTTAGAGACTCATGTCTCTCGGCTTCCTTGCACAGCCAAGACCTGAAATTGAAATTATCCTTACTATCTCAATTCTTTGTCACATTCTCTTTCCCCATCCCCACTCTTCAAGCTACCTCTGTCAGGCTGCTACCACCAAAACTTTTCTGGCAGATGTCACCAAGAACCTCCTAACTGGCAAAGTCAGGAAGCACTTTACAGTTCTCACTTTATTTGACCTCTGAGGCATTCGACATTTGATCATGTTTCCTTCCTGACATTCTCTCTACCCTTGACTTCTATACCACTCTCACTTGTTTCTTTTCCTATTTGTGTAACTGTTCCTCTCCAGTCTCAGTAGATTTTTCTTCCTTAGCCCCTTTTTATGTGTTGATATTTGCTGTGATTCTTGTTTGCTTCTAATTTTGTTCAACTTCTCTAGGTAATCTGACTCCATGGCTCAAAGCCTCTGAAGTCTGAATCTTTAGTTCAGACAGCTCTCTAAGCTAAACTTTCTACTAAATATTCCCACTGGGATAACTCTCAGACACCAGTATGTTCAAAATTGATGAAATCACTATACACTCTAGACCTGCTCTTTCTCTTCTGTTGTCCTGAGTAATGGTGGCTGTTTAACCACAAAGTCTGTAATCTGGGAGCCTGTTCTTGATTTCCTTTTCTCACACCCTTACAGACTCATAATTTTGCCTCTTAACTATCCATCAACTCACCCTTCTGTCCTAATTCTATCACCTGAGCTATACCAACAGTCTCCTAAATTATTTGCTAGACACATGGCTATTTGGATTTAAATTAATACAATTTTAAATTTAGTGTCTCAATACACTAGCCACATTTTAAGTTCTCAGTAGCCACATGTGACTAGTGGCTGTCATATGGGAAAGCACAGATTATTGAACATTTGTGTCATTGCAAGAAGTTGTTTTTTTCTTTCCCTGATACGGAGTCTTGCTCTGTGGCCTAGGATGGAGTGCAGTGGCGCAGTCTTGGCTTACTGCAACCTCTGCCTCCCGGGTTCAAGCAATTCTGCCTCAGCCTCCCGAGTAGCTGGGATTACAGGCGCCTGCCACCACACCCGGCTAGTGTCTGTATTTTTAGTAGACACGGGGTTTCACCATGTTGGCCAAATTAGTCTCGAATTCCTGACCTCGTGATCCGCCCGCCTCAGCCTCCCAAAGTGCTGGGATTACAGGCGTGAGCCACTGCGCGCGGCCTCATTACAAGAAGTTCTGTTGGACAGTGCTGCTTTAGACTTTCCTCTCTGCCTCTGCCACAATACTGCCAGGAGAGAGCTTTCCAAAATATAGCCCTGGCCATAGCTCTTTTTAAAACTCTGTGTTATTCCTTATTGGCTATGTGATAAAGTCCAAATTCCTATGTTTGCCAAAACAGTCTGCCTAGCTTTCCAGCCTCATGTCTAACCACTTCCTCTTGGGCCCTATATTCCAGCTGTATTGAACTGTTTCCCAGACACATCATTTTGTTTCATGCCTCTGTGTTTTACACATGTGCACTTTCTATATGGAGTAGACTTTTCCCCAATCTATGTACGCCCAAATAACATCTCTGAAAAGCTTAATGTTACTGTTCAAGTTGAGCTAACTGCTCATTCTTTGGTGTCCCTTCCCCTTATGATTTTACTTTCCACAGTGAATGGCATTTATGTGATTACATGTTTCTCTCTAGTACTAGACCTTGATTTTGAGAGCAGGGCCATTATGCATTCTTTTTCTTGCTTTGCTTTTTTTTTTTTTTTTAATATCCCTAGGTCCTAGCACAGTATCTGGCCAATATTAGGTTCTCACAAATTGAGCAAATATGGAGGTGAATTGATGTGTAAGTAAGTATGTGACTTAGGTAAGATTGAAATGTGTATGTTTTATGGGGTGCCATGTATAGGGGAATAATCATAGACAAAATTATTGCCTTCAAACCTGAGACATTAGAATTATGTGAGGAAAGACAGACATAGAACAGCACAGGTTATTGTCACAGAGAGTAGTCTAGTCCAGTCTGGCCAGAACATAAGCTACAAGAAGTAGAGCAGGAGAAGAGAAAATGGGAGGTAAATTTATATTAGAGAACACATTATAGAAGGTTTCCAGTGCTGTTAAGTTTGGAATCAGTGGGGAACCACTGAAATTTTTTGACTAATGACTTGATCAGAATTATGTTGTTAGATAGAAACTCTGTCTTCCAGTGGCTGGCACCGTCCATGTTAATAAACATCAAATTAAAATGTCGGGGTTGGAAGGAGATGTGATTGGTGATACAAAACATTTATTGAGTAGTTAAAATGTGTCAGGTACTGCAATGAGTACATGTAGTAACTCTTTTAATCCTTATAACCCTATAAAGTCAATACTAATATTATCACCCTCAGTTTTCAAATGAAACAACAGAAGCAAAGGACGTCTTAGTCTGTTTTCTGATGCTATCACAGAATACCACAGACTGGGTAATTTATAAACAGTAGTTTATTTGGCTCAGTTCCAGTTGCTTGGAAGTCCAAGAGCATGGCATTGGCATCTGGTGAGAGCCTTGTGCTGCATCATCCCACGGCAGAAAGGCAAACAAGCACATGAGATGGAGAGAGAATAGAGGCCAGAATGTACCCTTTGTTTGTTTGTTTGTTTTGAGGCGGAGTCTCGCTCTGTCGCCCAGACTGGAGTGCAGTAGTGCAATCTTGGCTCACTGCAAGCTCCTCCTCCCGGGTTCACACCATTCTCCTGCCTCAGCCTCCCAAGTAGCTAGGACTACAGGTGCCCGCCACCAAGCCTGGCTAATTTTTTGTATTTTTAGTAGGGACGGGGTTTCACCGTGTTAGCCAGGATGGTCTCCATCTCCTGACCTCATGATCCACCTGCCTCGGCCTCCCAAAGTGCTGGGATTACAGGTGTGAGCCACTGTGCCCGGCCTCAGAATGTCCCCTTTTAAATGGGAACCCATACCTACATTAGTAGCATTAATCCATTCATGAGAGCAGAGCCCTCATGACCTAATTAACTCTTAAAGGTCCCACTTCTTAAAACTGTCAAAATGGCAATTATTTTCAACAAGAGTTTTGGAGGAGAGATTCAAACCATAGCAGGTAATATTTACCTAAGGTCACACCTTTAGTAAGTAGCAGAACTGGGATTTGAACCCAGCTGACTCTGGGTGGCATATTATTCTGTTTACTAGGCACAGCAGGGAGTTTAAGATCCAAGATTGAAGTTAGAGAAAAAAGATTAGGAAAAGCAGATTTGAGAGTCACCTTTGAGGTGATGTTTGAATCAGCCACGAAGGTAGCTGAGGTTTGTAAAAGAGGGGGTATAAAAACAATTTAGGGTGAAGGATTGAGCTTTGGGTTACATCTTCATACAGGAAGCAAGAATAGGAAGTGGAACCAATGGAAGATCTCAAGGAGAAGCAGAGCAACATAATGTGAGGAAGCTAGAACAGGAGATGGTTCCAGGAAGGATGTCATGTTCATTGAATGACTGATTAAATCAGGACTCCTTAAGCTTTTTATGTGCCATTAGCTTTTTTGGCAGTTTGGTGAAGCCTTTGGATCTTGTCTGATAATATTTGTAAATGCATAAAATAAAATATAAACTATAGTTATCAAAATACAGTGGTCCCCCCTTAACTGCAGTTTCAATTTCTGTGATTTCAGTTACCCAAGGTCAACCTGGTCTGAAAATAAGTACAATAAGATACTTTGTGTATGAGACAGAAAGACCATATTCACATAACTTTTATTACAATATAATTGTCCTATTTTGTTGTTAATCTCTTCCTGTGCAAATTTATAAATTAAACTTTATCATAGGTATATCTATGGATAGGAATAAACTGTATAATCACATTTGGTGCTGTGTGGGGGACACTACTATATTCAAAGAAACGTGTGATGATCTAGTAGTATGTGTTTCTGTATTAATACAATACAGTGTTTCTTTACTAATACATTAAAAAGCATGATTTTTTGGCAAGTTTAACAGCTCCCATAATTGTAAGTGATATTTTAAGATGTCTGTAACAACTATAATGTGATATGAAAATATTAATTGATGGTGTTTTCTATTGATGACAGTGTTACAGCTGCTGGCTGGTACTACAAAGATTTATTTTCTACATTCATAAAATTAGATTTCAGTGAGAGTTTTTTGAAAATAAAGTTGACTTTTTTTTATTCCATCCAAGTTTATGGACTTCTGAATTGTTTTTTTTTATTTTTTATTGATACATAATAATTGTACATATTTATGGGGTACATATGATATTTTGATACATGCATACGATGTGTAATGATCAAATCAGGATAATTAGGATATCCATCACCTCAAACATTTATTATTTCCTTCTGTTGGGAGCACTTCAAATCTACTAGCTATTTTGGAATATACAGTAAATTAATGTTAACTGTAGTCACCCAGCTGTGCTATCAAACACTATAGAATTTATTCCTTCAATTTAACTATATTTTTGTAACCATTAATGAATCTCTCTTCATCCCCCCTCCACCCCCTCCCTTTCCCAGTCTCTGGTAACCATCATTCTACCCTCTACCTCCATAAGATCAACTTTTTTAGCTCCCACTTATGAGAACGTGATATTTTTTTTTCTGTGTCTGACTTATTTCATTAACATAATGACTTCCAGTTCCATCCATGTTGCTGGAAATGACAGGATTTCATTCTTTTTTATGGCTGACTAGTATCCATTGTATATATATACACCACATTTTCTTTATCCAGTCACTTGATAGACACTTAGATTGATTCCATGTCTTGGCTACTGTGGGTAGTGCTGAAATAAACATGGGCATGTACACATCTCTTTGATACACTGATTTCCTTTCTTTTGGATATATACCCAGCAGTGGGATTGCTGAATCATCTAGTAGATCTATTTTTAGTTGTTTGAGGAACCTTTATGCTGTTTTCCATAGTGGCTATGTTAATTTACATTTCTACCATCAGTATATGAGCATTCCCCTTTCTTTGCATCCTCACCAGTATCTCTTATCTGTGTCTTTTTGATAATAGCCATTTTAATTAGATTCAGATGATATCTCATTGTGGTTTTGATTTGCATATCCCTGATGGTTAGTAACGTTGAGAATTTTTTCATATGCCTGTTGGCCATTTGTATGTCTTTTGAGAAATGTCTATTCAGATCATTTGCCCATTTTCAAATGGGATTATTTGGAGGATTTTTGCTGTTGAGTTTGAGTTCCTTATATATTCTGGTTATTAATCCCTTATCAGATGGATAGTTTGCACATATTTTTTCCCATTCTGAAGGTTGTCTCTTCACTCTGTTGATTGTTTCCTTTGCTGTGGCAGAAGCCTTTTAGCTTGATGTAATCCCATTTGTGTATTTTTGCTTTCATTGCCTCTCCTTTTGAAGTCTTAAACCAAAAAATGTTTGCTCAAAGTCTTGAGCATTTCCCCAGTATTTTCTTACAGTAACTTTTATAGTTTCAGGTCTTACATTTAAGTTTTTAATCCATTTTGATTTAATTTTTGTATTTGATGAGAGATGGGGGTGTAGTTGTATTTTTCTGCATATTGTTATTCAGTGTTCCCAGCACCATTTAATGAAGAGTGTGTCCTTTTCCCATTGAATATCTTGGTACCTTTGTTGAAAATCAGTTGGCTGTTAAGATGTGGATCTATTATTTCTGGGTCCTTTATTCGGTTCTATTGGTCTGTGTATCTGTTTTTATGCCAGTACCGTGCTCTTTTAGTTACTGTAGCTTTGTAGTATATTTTGAAGTTGGGTGGTATGATGTCTACAGCTTTGTTCTTTTTGTTCAGAATTACCTTGACTATTTGTGTTTTCTGTGGTTCCATATTAATTTTAGGTTTGTTTTTTCTGTTTCTGCAAGGAATATCTTTGTATTTTGATAGGAATTGCAACAAATCTGTAGATTGCTTTTGGTAGTACAGTCATTTTCACGATACGAATTCTTCCGAAGACATAGGATGTCTTTCTATTTTTTTGTGACCTCTTCAGTTTTTTTCCTCAGTGTCTCATAGTTTTCCTTGTAGAGATCTTTCACCTCCTTGGTTTATTCTAGGTATTCTATTTTGTTTTTTTGGTGGGGGGAGGGGTTGTAGCTATTGTAAATGGGATTACTTTCTTTGATTTCTTTTCCCACTAGTTTACTGTTTGTATCCAGAAGCACCATTAATTTTTATATGATAATTTTGTATCCTGCAACTGTACTGAATTTATCAATTCTAAGAGATTTTGTGTGTGTGTGTGTGTGGACCTTTTAGTTTATAAATTTGTATGTTTTCTTGTTTAATGTCTCTTTATTTTCATTAGACTTTAAGTGTGATGATGGCAGGTATCTGATACAGAGCATACTGCTAGACACAGAAGGTGGCCAATAAATATTTGCTAAATAAATGAACCTTTCTGAGTCCCAGTTTTCTTGTTTATATAATGGGGATAATAAATTATAACCTTGTAGAGTAGTTGTAAGGATTGCTGCATCATAGTAATGTCACTAAAAGGGAGGATGAATATGGGTATGGAGAAATGTACTGAGGTAGAAATAAGAGTAAATGTGGGAGCTGGATGGCTAGGTTTGCTCTCTGAAACAGGAGGTGGCAGGGAGTAGGAAGAAAATGGTAGTTGGCAAGGAGCTTGGGAAGGGCCTAGAATGGAATTGGAAGGGTAGTAGAGTATATAGGGAAGGCTGTGGAGGTGTAAAATGGCTCATAGAGACTGGGTGTGGTTGCTCATGCCTGTAATCAAAGCACTTAGGGAGGCCGAGCCAGGTGGATCACGAGGTCAGGAGATCAAGATTATCCTGGCTAACACAGTGAAACCCCATCTCTACTAAAAATACAAAAAAAAAAAAAAAAATTAGCCGGGTATGGTGGCACGTGCCCGTAGTCCCAGATACTCCAGAGGCTGAGGCAGGAGAATCACTTGAACCTGGGAGGCGGAGGTTGCAGTGAGCGGACACCGTACCACTGCACTCCAGCCTTGGCAACAGAGTGAAACTCCATCTCAAAAAAAAAAAAAAAAGAATGGCTTATAGATAAACCTGATAAGATTTACCTTTGAAACATCTGTTAGAAGGGACAATCCATCATCATCTAATACCTGAAGGCTCTTCCATTCTCAGTTCAGCACCTTCAGAGACTGGTAGCCCATTTGTTCATCGAGTGAAAGGTCACTTAGTGGGCCTCTTGGTGGAGATATATATATATATAGTACACCCTCCCCTAAGGACCTTGCAGTAGAGATGAGGTGACTATGAAACAGACATATAAATGGAAGAGAATAATACAATTAAAACAGTGATAATGGCCAACACAGGGTGCTTTGGAAACGTACTGAAGAGGCTATTAATCTCAACTCTGGGTTCAAGGAAGGCTTCCTGAGAGGAGTGAGATTTCACCTGAAAAGACATATAGAAGTAGGTAAGTAGACTTCAGGTCATTATGGGTCATGACAAGGAAAGTAGATCATTAACAATCATGGAAGGTTTTCATGCAGAAGTATAATATGATCAACTAAGCATAATAAAAATATCCTTCTGGCAGCACTGTGGAAAATAATAAGATTGGAGAGAGAGAGACCAATTATAAAGAAAGTTGCAATAATCAGTGAAAACCAACCATTGAAGGCCTGGACCAGTAGGAATGGAAGGAAAAGAAAGGAAGATTCAAGAGCTATTAGAAAGGTAGAATTGTTAGGACAATTGAATGGGAAGGTTTGAGGAAGATGGGGTCATCAACGATGACCCACATTTGTAGCTCGGGTGGACATCTTGTTATTCACTGAAGTCTTAAATATAAGAGAGGAGTTGGAATATATTGGGAAGGGAAAGTGATGAGTGTACTCTTGTAATCTTGAGATGGAGATACATTCAGAGTAACAATTGCTAACTTTATTTGCCTATGGAATACCTAATTAGAATTCATTATTGAACCATCAATAGCTTATGAAACATAAAATAGAAAACTCACCAATTTTTTTAAACTAATGGCACGGTTTGAAAATTATAAGACACTGCTTTTCATTTAAAACTTCATTCTCTTACACATTTTTGAGATAACTAGGAGAAATGAACAGATTGGGTCAAATGAAGTTAAGTAATTTTTAATTTTGTTGGTTGTGGTGATGGCATTATAGTTATGTTAAGGGAAAGGTTATTATCTATTATAGATATGCCTAAAAGTATTTACTGGTGAAATGTAATGACAGAATTTGTTTAAAATACTCCAAAAAATGCAGAACAATAGATGAAACAAGAATGGAAGAATGTTAAATGTTGAAAATTGTTGACATTCATGAGAGTACATTGGAGTTTATTAGATTCTTCTCTTCTGTGTGTGCTTGGAGCTTTTCAAAGTAAAATTAAAAAAACCTTTTTAGTCAGAGATTCAAAGGAAATTCGTGGAATATATAATTTTAAATTAATAAATCAATATTGAATCACATGATAAATGTAATTTGAATATGTGATAAGACAAGTGACCGACCAGAGATCATCAAGCAGATGACATATGTCACCTGAGTAGTTAGGAAATGCTGTTTGAGCATTAATACACAGATTTAACCTTATGTTTATGCCTCAGATGATCTCATACAATTGTCTGAGATGCCATATGTTGAAAATAGCTGTATTGAGGTGGTTACTTTTCATATGATTCTCCCTTCTCTAGGAATAGCTCTAATCCATAGAGGTAATACTGTACCTGGCCACAACCAATGAATCCAGTGGTACACACCTAATACAAGCTGAGCCAGTGAGAGAGGCTCTCCCAGCAAAGCAAAACTTGAAAGATAAAGAGGCAGGAGGCCTTTGCAGGTGAGCATATTAATGGCAACTCAACCCCTGCTTCTAAGGTCCCTGTGGCTATTCTACCTGAGGCTAGCTTATTCAACTATTACTTTCATTTCATGAGTTAGATCAGTATCTTTCCAATAAATCCTCATTTTTAAAATGTAAGTTAGCCAGAATTGGTTTCTATTGCTTGCAATAAATAGACTTATTAAATATAATAAATTGTTACATAATAAAAAATATTATATAAATGTGTTTGATGTTGCATTATGTCTATGTGGAAATAAATTCAAAAATAAATGATTGCTATCATCAAACTTACTTTTTTTATTTCTTGAGGAACGCTATTGTGAAGAATACAGTTTAAGAACATGCAAATTCATGAAGCGTTCCATATTTAAAAAAAAAACAAAAACAAAAAACTGCTATTGCATAGCATCCAAGTGGATTTGACCAGAAGTGGTTCAGATATGGGTAGTGTGGAACTCAGAGCAAGATCTGAGCTGAAGAGGTAAGCTTGGAAGACATTAGCAAATGGGTGGTAACAGAAGGCATGTGGGAGTAAATGAGAGGACCATCCAGGGCAAGTGTATAGTCTAAGAAGAGTAAAGGTTGAGGACAAAACTCCAGGGAACACCAATACTTAAAGGGTTGCTGAAAGAAAGGAGTCCCAAAGGGACTGAAAAGGGGACGCCAGAAAAGTAGGAGGGAAAACTAGGAGAGAGTGCCATCAGGGATGCCAGAAATTTGACCAATTTAGGAGATGGGGTATGGCCAACAGTGTCAGATGTTGCAGAGACTAGTTCATTTGATTTGGCAACACAAAAGTATTGGTGAACAATTGCATTGTTGAGAGTTAAAAGATTAAATGGCAAGAATGGGAGCGGGGCCACAGTTGCCCATGACTTTTCCAAGAAATCTGACTCTGCTAGGGGAAAAAAAATAGAGTCCTTTTTATATATTTATTTATTTATTTTTTGAGATGGAGTCTTGCTCTGTCACCCAGGCTGGAGTGCAATGGCACAATCTCAGCTCACTGCAACCTCCACCTCCCGAATTCAAGTGATTCTCCTGCCTCAGCCTCCTGAGTAGCTTGGATTACAGGCACCCGCCATCACGCCTGGCTAATTTTTTTTTTTTTTTGTATTTTTAGTAGAGATGGGATTTCACCATTAACCAGGATGGCCTTGATCTCCTGACCTCGTGATCCACCCCCCTCGGCCTCCCAAAGTGCTGGGATTACAGGCGTGAATCACTGCGCCTGGCCAAATAGAGTCCATTTTTAAATGCTAGAAAGGGATGGCAGAGCTGAGTGTTAGAAAGCCAGAGCCTCCTGGATTTACCGGTGCTGTGCCATTATTTTCAGAGGCATTCATAGCTAATGACAAAGTAGACAGTGAACTACTGCAAAGCAGAACTGGCTGCCTTGCTCATCTCTTGCCCACAATTATTACTTTCCAAACTGATGAGAGACTATTCCTGAGATACTTATGATGGAGGTAGTTGGGAGGTCCTGGTGGGGAAGGATTACATGGAGGGAAGAGTAGTTATAAGTGTTTGAACTTGTTACCATTTAAACTGAGATTATAGAAGGGGAGAATGGAGTTAACCACCCCTCACCACAGTCTTGGTGAGGGATGGTTATGTTTGTCCTCACCTTGGTCTTGTCTACACTGTGCTCCCTATGGAGAACTTGGACCCCTCTGCCTTGTTCCTCTCACCCAGAGAAATTGCAGTGTCTGCTGTACCTATTCCTATGCCCTTCCACCCAGTCTAGTTTCTCCTGTTCTTCCCCAGATCTCCTTCCAAATAGACTGGTGTAACTGGCACAAAGTGTTTGTTAACTGATTGCCAATCCAATAATAAGGGGACTGAGGTTCTTCTTTGAAGGGTGGGTTTAATTTGGGGCTTTCGTACCAATTCTGACCACGTGTAGAGCATCATTCAGCACACTATGGGCTGTGAGCACAATCTTGCCTACCACCTGTTTTTAAATGGCCTAAAAGCTAAGAATGGTCTTCACATTTTTAAATGGTTAGGGAAAAAAAAAAGCAAATGAAGAATATTTCGTGACACATGAAAATTACATGAAATTTGAATTTTAGTGTCCATAAATAAAAAGAGGGTTGAGGACAAAAACTCCAGGGAACACCAGTATTTAAAGAGTAGCTGAAAGGAAGGAGTCTATGAAGGAGACTGAGAAGGAGATGCTCAAGAAGTGGGAGGAAAAGCTAGGAGGAAACTAGGAACACAGCCACTCTCCTTCATTTACATATTGTGCATGGAGGCTTTCGTGCCACAGTTGAGTACTCATGACAGAGATCTGATAGCCCACAATGTCTAAAATATTTGCCATCTGGCCCTTTACAGAAAAAGTTTGCTAACCCCTGGTTTAGGACTCTAGGTGGCTGTGTCCCATATGTCTCCCCACTGGTAGTCTCATAAACTTCTTTTCTACTGTCCAGGGGCCTGCATCTTCCCACTGCCAGAACCGCTGATGGGTTAGTGCATAAATGTTGGGATACTGGGAAATGTTCTTTTGTTTTCTGGAGGGTTACCATGATTTCCAAACCCTAGTCCTTCCCTGGCACCCTGCCTCCACCACACAGACACACACACATATATACACATTGCTGTTCCAGAATATCTAGGAGGTCATAGAGTTGTTTTTGTTTTTGGCTATTACTGCTGCTATTACTTGTTTATCAAAAGAGGATATGAAGCCAGGCACAGTGGCATGTGCCTATAGTCCCCAGCTACTGAGGCGGGAGGATCGCTTGAACTCGGGGGTTCAAGACTGGAGTGAGTTATGATTGCACCTGTAAGTAGCCACTGCACTCCAGTCTGGGCAACAGGGGAAACTTTGTCTTAAAAAAAAAAAAAAAAAAGGTGGAAGGTATGAATTTTGAAAGCCTCAGAAACACTGTTGGACAATATTCACATATATTAATTTCTCAGATTACTTGATTGCCACATTAGAGCTTTCTCACTGCCTCTTCCCCCACCCCTTCTGTCTTTCTCTTTCTTTTGTCTAACAAACTTGAAGCATGTACACTGACAGTTTCTTCCTCACCTCCCACTTACTTCTCAGCCCACCACAATCTGGAGTTGACTCCCACTACAACACTGAAACTGCTCTCAATAAATTTGTCAGCCATCTCATAATCACCAAATCTAAGGACACTTTTCAATCCTTTCTTGACTTTTGAGTAGCATTTAAAAATGCTGACCTTGCCCTCCTTCATGGCACACCTCTTTTTTATTTCTCTGATCTGCTTCTACCTTGGTCTTTTCTTAGTGCTCTGGATGGTCCTCGTGCCACCAGATTCTTACAAACCAGGGTATTTCAGTGTACTCGTTATTATCTTTGTCTCAGTGACACACACACCCTCCTCTACTGTGTTTTGAACTGCTTAGCTTAGGAGTCAGCCAGGTGTGTATTTCCCAGCCTTCCTGGACATCTGGCTTCCTTTTTGATTCTGCCAGTAGGAGGCACTGATGGGAGATCAGAAGGCAAGAGAAACTGAGAAGCATCCTGCTTCAGCCTCTAAACAGTGTCGGTGGCTGGCAATAGCTGGTAGCTATTGGCTGTAGCTGTAGCAGCAGGAAGAATGGGAGACTCAGGACTCCAGCCTCCTGAGCAGAAGTACCTTCTCAAGGATTCTAGCCTTGAAGGAGGTGGCACCTTTCTAGTAGATTGGAACTGACTATGACAGTGTCTCTCACAAGGCAATGAGTAGATTTACAGATTCCAGCTCAGGGATGATGGCAGCTTCTGATTTCCAGATAGCAATCTTTTTTTAAAATGTACATTTCTAGGACTCTCCTTTTTTTTTTTTTTTTGTACTTCTTGCCCTTTTAACACCTTTGTAACCAATTCTCTATATTAAATTCTTTCAGTCTGAAGCACATAAAGTAGTTAAATGCTCCTGACTGGATCCTGGATAACTGGTATGAGGTTTGGGGTTTGAGCCCATGCATGCTTTTGTCCTTGTTTCACTTCCCACTCCTTCTGCACAGTTTACTTGGGTGATCTTATTCATGGCCTCTGCTTCGACATTTGTGCTGATGACTCTCAAATCAGGGTCTTCAGACCATACCTGGGGTCCATACCCACACGCCTCACTGCGCTCCCATGCAGTTTCAGCTGGCTGTTCCACTGGCATTTCAAATTCAACATGTACAAAATCAAGCTCTTTCTCTCTGTAAACCTGCTCCCATGGCATTCTTTTCTGCTTCAATTCAGTCCATCCCTGACCACCCACCCAGCCACCCATGCTGGAAATCTGAGATATCTTTGACTCCTCCACCTTCCCACTCCCACAGCTAATCAGTAGCCAAACCCTTTAGATTCTACTTCCTAATTATCTTGATATTCTATCTCCTCCGCCTCCTCTTATTATGACTTAATTCAGGCTCTTATTATCTGTCATTTAAATTATTGCTGTATTGCTACAGGAGTGGTGTGTATATGTGCAACTGTTCATCTTGGTATGCTATAGACTCTTGCCCAGCAGTTTTGCCTCAATTCTTTAAAAGCTCCAGTTCATTGTTTGAAATATCAATCAGAACATTTTTTCCAAAATGCTAAAATGATTGTCATTCCCCAGTTTTAATATCTCTATCATCTGCTAAGTAAAAGCAAGCTCCTCCTTGTGGCGTAGCAGGGCCCACGTGATCTGGCCCTTGCCCGAATTTGTAGCTTATCACAACATCCTTCTACCCCCCATTACCTCCTATTATACAGGAACACCCAAGCGACCTTCACAACATTCATATCAACTAGTACACAGGGTCTCCAAAGAGGACCTCTGGATGCCTGTGATCTTTGTACTTCTGCCTACCCTTTGCCCTGGCGTGTTTTTCTCTTCCTTCATGTTCTGCTGGCCAAATTGTTTTTCCTTCAAGTCTTAGGAGCCTGCCTGATTATGTTCCTCCTATTCCGCATCCTCATAAAATTACTGCGACTTCCAAAACACTTGGCACATTCTTATTTGAATACATTACATTGTTGTGTAATTATCCCTTGGCCCCCTCCCCCAGCACTAGACTCTAAGCTCTTTGAAGGCAGACTATGCCTATTCATCTTTGTATTTCTAGCCCTGGGCCCAACACCCAGAATTTCTTGTATTTTCAATATATGTCTGCCAAATGAATTAGAGCTAATGCCTGAAGGAGAATAAGTTTTTTTGAGAAAGAGGAAGAGCCAGGAGGGAGGAGAAGGCAGGGTCCGAAGAGCCCTGGGGGTTTACTTGGGGAAGATGCGGTTCCCCATTGCAGCATTCTGCCAGGAGGTGGCACTGCTCTGAAGAGCCAGCTGGTCGCTTACAGACTGAGGCTGACAGCTTGAAACCAAAGAGGGAACTCCACCAGGAAGCAACATTCCTCCACTGGGCTTCCCAGCCCAGTTACATGCCATACTCTGCCCTGGTCAAACAGCCAAGTCTTCAGGAGGTTACTGGCCCCAGGCGTCTCCCCAGTGACTGATGATGTTAAACCCTACGCTTCTCTGATTGGTTTAGACAAAATGACAAGGGCACCTATTGGAAATGATCTGGCAAAACATGATCTAAGGCCACCCTCTCGGGGAGGGAGTTGGGGAAGCTGGGTTGGCTGGGTTGGTAGCTCCTACCTACTGTGTGGCAAGAAGGTATGGGTCATGAACAGAACCAAGGAGCTGCGCTGCTACAGATGTTACCACTTCTGTGGCTGCTACCCCACTCCTGGGCCGTCCCTGAAGGTAAGATGGTACTCCTATTTACTTCCATCCTGAACCTAGGGAGCCCACTCAGCTTTGTGAGGAAAAGCGCTGTGCTTTGTGAGTGGTGGGAAGTCTTATGAGGCAGTGGAAACAACAGGGGAGTGGGGAAAGACAGCTGCTATGTGTGGTTGGTAAACGATATCAGTGATGCTTTGCATGTTCCATTTAAGACAATCTCTTGAAGCGGAGATTGTTCTCTCCATTTTACAAATGAAGAAAATGAGACTCAGAGTTATTTGTGCAAGTTCACACCATTGGAAAGTGGTAGAGCTGGGATTTGAACAAAGTGAATGTTATTTTCACTCCTCCACTCAAGATTCTACTCTGCTTTCTATCATTAACTTATCTTGTGATTCTTGAAAAGTGTCTTAGTTTCCTTCTCTGTAGAGGATGGGGCAGAATGGAAGAATAATCTGGAAGATCCCTCTTCCTCCAAATGTCTGTTTTTCTGGGTATTGGGTTAAAGGTTTCCTGCTGGCTGAGCGATTCCTGCCAAGAGCTTCAAAGAAGAGGGATTATTTTATGCAGTTATGGGGTCACTTCTCCCATTGCTGTCTTTGGGAGGCCTGGTAGGTTAAGGAACAGAAGACATTTTGAGAGACGCTTGGTGCCAATGAAGTGGCTGAAGAAATGTCTGGATACAGGTTTTCCAATTTACCATTTGTGTCTGGGGATAGTGGGAGGCAGTCCCATCTATGGCTTGGGGAGGCTGTAGCCATTCCTCCTCTTTCCCTTCTAAGAGTGAGAAACCCATCCATGGCCTTCTCTAGTCAATACAGTGGCCTGGTATGAATTAGACAAAGGAATCCCCTTTGGGAGGATACAGCCCTATGCCAGGATGTATGGCATGGTGAGCAGAATGCAGGCTTTCACTTGCTTCTTTGGCTAGGTGTCTTTGTGCAGCCCCCAAACACACAATGAACAGTGACTCTGAATCTGTCACTTTATTTTATATATATACATTTTTAAATTTTTTATTTGATTTAATTTATTTTTTTTGACACGGCATCTCGCTCTGTCACCCAGGCTAGAGTGCAGTGACGTGATCTCGGCTCCCTGCAACCCCTGCCTCTGGGGTTCAAGAGACTCTCCTGCCTCAGCCTCCCAAGTAGCTGGGATTACAGGCGCATGCCACCACACCCAGCTGATTTTTGTATTTTTAGTAGAGATGGGGTTTCATCATGTTTGCCAGGCTGGTCTCAAACTCCTGACCTCAGGTGATCCACCCGCCTTGGCCTCCCAAAGTGCTGGGATTACAAGCTTGAGCCACCGCGCCCGGCCTTTATATATATATTTTTTGAGACGGGCTCATTCTGTCACCTGGGCTGGAGTCCAGTGGCACAATCATGGCTCACTGCAGCCCCAACTTCCTAGGCACAAGCAATCCTCCTGCCTCAGCCTCCAGAGTAGCTGAGACCACAGGTGTTTGCCACCACACCTGGCTAAGTTTTTGTATTTTTTGTAGAGACAGGGTCTCGCTGTGTTGCCCAGGTTGGTCTTGAACTCCTGGGCTCAAGCAATCTGCCTGCCTCAGCCTCCCAAAGTGCTGGGATTACAGGCATGAGCCACCATGCCTGGCCTGAATCTGTCACTTTAGAAAGTAGAACTCTTTACTTTTGCCAACTGGCCTTTTTATAGGCAGGGGAAGCTTGGAGAGATGCCATAATTTGTTCTTCACCCCCTTTGGGAGGGGGAGTCTAAATAACAGACACAGGAAAGGGTCTCACCTCAGCCCACGCTCCTTAAGCAGGCCTTGCTTGTTTTTGTTGTTTTGTTTTGAGACAGAGTCTCACTCTGTCACCCAGGCTGGAGTGCAGTGGCTTAATCTTAGCTCCCGGCAACCTCTGCCTCCCTGGTTCAAGCAATTCTCCTCCCTCAGCCTCCCGAGTAGCTACAGGCGCATGCCAACATGCCCAGCTACTTTTTTGTATTTTTAGTAGAGATGGAGTTTCACCATGCTGGCCAGGCTGGTCTCAAACTCCTGACCTCATGATCCACCCACCTTGGCCTCCCAAAGTGCTGGGATTACAGGCATGAGCCACTGCGCCTAGCCCCACCTTGCTGTTTTTTAAGTTGGAGGAGAAGGCTCCCACCTCCCTGAACCTCACCCTGTGTCCTTTGCAGCTCCTACTCCAATGTGGCCAGATGACCTGCAAAACCACACATTCCTGCACACAGTGTACTGCCAGGATGGGAGTCCCAGTGTGGGACTCTCTGAGGCCTACGACGAGGACCAGCTTTTCTTCTTCGACTTTTCCCAGAACACTCGGGTGCCTCGCCTGCCCGAATTTGCTGACTGGGCTCAGGAACAGGGAGATGCTCCTGCCATTTTATTTGACAAAGAGTTCTGCGAGTGGATGATCCAGCAAATAGGGCCAAAACTTGATGGGAAAATCCCGGTGTCCAGAGGTCAGGAGTTTTCTGGGGAGTGAAGGGAGGAGGGCTGCATTAACCTCATTGATCTGTACACTGAATAATTCCCCTTGATACCAGCTCCCCATCTCAAATACTTTCTGGTTCTCTTCATCACCTTAATTTTTCCACCAGCCTTGGTCTGCACCCTGTGTTCTTTTGGTGGGCCGAAGTACCTAGCATGTAGTAGGCATTCAGAACTATGTATTGAATGTGATGAATTCAACAGGTACCAACTGATACCTACTGAATATTAACACTTGTGCTACTATGCCCAGCAAGATGGATGGGAAGAGTGGAAATATCTGATGACGTGACTATGTCTTAGTGAGAAGACAGTGCATGGTTAGACATCAATGTGAGCTCTAGACAGGAAGTGCTGAAGGAAGTCATGGTGGAGGGGTCCAGAGTAGCCTGGATCTGGCTCTGCTTCTACGTCTAGCTGCAGTCCTTGCCTGGAAGAAGACCTCCCTTCAGAGCCCAGCTCCTCGCTCATCTCTGTCTCCCAAAGCCTGACCCACTGTGTTCTTCTCTGCCCTCCCCTCCATATGCCATGGCCCCTCCAAACACAGAGATACCATCTAAACTAGTCTCTTTTTCCCCCTACACTTCAATCCCCCCACCAGGGTTTCCTATCGCTGAAGTGTTCACGCTGAAGCCCCTGGAGTTTGGCAAGCCCAACACTTTGGTCTGTTTTGTCAGTAATCTCTTCCCACCCATGCTGACAGTGAACTGGCAGCATCATTCCGTCCCTGTGGAAGGATTTGGGCCTACTTTTGTCTCAGCTGTCGATGGACTCAGCTTCCAGGCCTTTTCTTACTTAAACTTCACACCAGAACCTTCTGACATTTTCTCCTGCATTGTGACTCACGAAATTGACCGCTACACAGCAATTGCCTATTGGGGTGAGGCTTTCTCCCTGGAATTCTGGTCCTTTTGGGGGCAAAAAGGGATAGATCCATGGGAGGAGGCTTCTTTCTCCACTGGTACCTTGTTTAGTCCATTCCTACCCTAAGCCCATCCCAGTCTCCCATGTCATCCCAGACACCCACGTCATTTCCCTGGGTGGGAGGCTCCCTAACTAGGTCCCCAGGCTGAGCCACTCATTTCCTCCAGTACCCCGGAACGCACTGCCCTCAGATCTGCTGGAGAATGTGCTGTGTGGCGTGGCCTTTGGCCTGGGTGTGCTGGGCATCATCGTGGGCATTGTTCTCATCATCTACTTCCGGAAGCCTTGCTCAGGTGGTATGTCATCTGGAGGGGGCGGGTGAGCCTGTGGGAGCCAGATACAGTGGTGCATGCGTGCATGTGTCAGGATTATTTTGTGGCATGGGGGGACATATAGCGATCCTCAGGCCCTTGGGTGTGGGGGCCTGTATCCAGCACCATGGGGGCACATCTTCCCAGTTGGGGACCCAGTTACACACACACAGTTATGGGTCACAAGAATTGCTTTGAGTGAAAAAAGGAATCATGGGGTGCTGTAGGAAGGGTGCTTGGAGATGATTTGGGAACAAGGAGAGATCAACTTCTGCAGGGTGTGGTGCAGGCAGGGCGAGCAAGGCCTTTGTGGGGGAGGAGGAGGAGGAGAAGGAGGAGGAGGATGGATCCCCTGATGCCTTTCCTCCATCCCTGTCTCTCCCCCAGACTGATTCTTCCAGACCAGAGTTTGATGCCAGCAGCTTCGGCCATCCAAACAGAGGATGCTCAGATTTCTCACATCCTGCCCAGGATCTCCTCTTAGGGTAGAAGAAGTCTCTGGGACATCCCTGGGGTGTGTGTGTAGATTTCCCACCTGGGGACTCTGCTGTCCCTGGGCTTGCATCCCAGGGATCCCAGAGTGGCCTGCCTATCACAACCACATCCCTTCCCCCCACAAGGCAATAAATCTCATTTCTTTATATCAGTGTGGCTTCTTTCTTAACTCATGGTATTTGTTTCTGGATATCTCAACTTGAGTGGGTTGTCGTTTCAAATTCAGCATGCCTTAACCTGAACACAGCTTGACCTCGTTAGGGAGGGAAATAGGGAAAACCCCTAATTTGCCAGCTGAGCTCTTATTCCCTGGTCTTGGCGGTACATGATGTTTTTCCATCTATCGGTTTGTGCAAAATATGTGAGAAACGAAGGCAGAGTTATTTTCTAATAATCTGCTTACAAAATGGTTAAGGAAGCTGCTTGTGTGTTTTGTGCGTGTGTGTGTGTGTTGTGTATTTTACTGTTTGTGAAAATGTTTATGTCTCGTATAGGCTGCCCTGAGGAACATATAACTCCCTTCAACCCTCACCGTAACTGAGAAACAGAAGCTCAGGGATGGGAAGAATAAGCTCCCAAGTGCTATACCAATCAGTTATGTCAGTTCTGGGAAAACAGTATCATGAAGCCCCTAACATGAAGTGAAAACAGCCTGGAAGGGCAAAGAATTCACATGTCTTTCCTGACAATCTGTTCCTTGGCCTGAGTGAACTGTCCAAGGAGAACTGCACAGGTGCTGTCCTGGGAAGATAACGAAAGGTGGCAGCACATGACCACTGGTGGTAAATTGCTTTGCATATGCTTTCTTTCTTGCATTCCTTAGGGTCTGGGAGTTGCTTTGGATGACAGGGTGGCAATAAAGTTGAGAGGGCAATTATTTGGTGAGGGAGTTTCTGTTCTTGGCATTGTACTAGAGTCTAATCTAAAAGAAAATATTAAATTCTCCCTAAGAGAAGTTGCACTGTCTCTGAACCATCTCATTTCTAACAGCATCATGTGTACCGGTTAAGAAGCATGGGCTCTGGAACCTGACTGCTGGGGATTCAATCGTAACTGTCAGCGTTTAGCTGTGAGCCCTTGGGCAAGTTACTTAACTTGTGCTTTGGTGTCATTTTCTGTAAAAGGATGATGATAACAATGGTGTCCCCCTTACCACTCTACACCCACCATGTTGCCAACATTTGAAAGTCAAATAAGTATTAGCGAGGATAAAGGAAAATGTGAACTGTAATATCTTGGTCTGTTGGTGGGAATGTAAACTGTTTATGATGCCCGAATTACAGAAATTATGAACTAGTTGAGTGAAAAAGTTAATATAGGAAATAAGGCAGCATATCCTCATGCTGTGAAGCTTAAATAAGTTAATACCTACAGAATGCTTAAAATAGTGTTTGGCACATAGAAAATGTGCTGAATAACCTAACCTTATCATTATTGGTCTTGATCTTCAGAGGAGAACTTAGTTGCCTCGTAGACTTCTTTCTCTTTTCTGAAATATACCTCAATACTAGCTTCAAGTATTGTATTTTCTCCATTTTAGATGTTTTTCTTTTTATTCTCATGTTAGTAATTCTAGATGTGGTGCTTTCTAGTTCTTCCTAATTTCTCTGTCTCTCTGTTTTCCAACTTATCTAGATATTTCCTGTCAGGCAAGACTTAAAAGTGCTTTATTATGCTGTGTGACTTTAGACAAGTCACTTCCCCTCTCTGGGCCTCAAAGTCTTCATCTGTAAAATGATGGGCTTAGATTAGATGCTCTCTGATGAAACCTTCTATGATACTGTTACTTAAGTACTCTAGAAGCACTCAGTATCCTCTCTAGTCTGGTGCCCCTTTTCTAATAAAAAATATTACTCACTATTCCCAGCAGGAATGCTATTCTTGAATAAATCTTTTTTCCTCACTCTTCCTTGAGGTATTATATCTGGTTTTGGTTTAGGGCATTTGCCCAGGCTCTTTCCTCTCACAAGAATGCTTTCTTTATTCTGCTCATCTTGTTCCTGTCTTAACCCACTCCATAGGTCCAACTCCAGTTCAACTTATTCCATGAACCTGCCCCTAATTTCTCTTTATTGAAATCTTCCAAGACTTAAAGCACTCAACCTAAGGATTGGGATATGCCGCTTTATTTCCTATGTTAATTTTTTCGCCCAACTAGTTTATAATTTCTATAATTCAGGGATCATAAACAGTTTACACTCCCATCAACAGAGCAAGATAGTTCACATTTCCCTTTATGCTCATTAATGCTTGTAATTATTTGACTTTCAAATGTTGGCAACATGGTGGGTGTAGAGTGGTATTTTGTTGTTTTAATTTGCTTTTCTCTCATTACTAATCAGTATCATATTGTTTGATTATTTTGGCTTTTTAATATGTGTTACTATTTAGTAGAACTAGTCTCCATTCCTTCACCACCTTCCCAAAAAATTTATTTTCCTTTTCTTTATCAAAATATTCTAAGATACTCTTGGACTTTATTTCCATGTACATTCTATAATCAGTTTGTTAAATTCTCCTGAAATCCTACTGTTACTTTAATTGGGGTAGCATTTAGGTTAGAGATGTGGGGAGAGGTTGTCATTATGTTAGCATGGCCTATCCATGAATATGGTATATCTCTACACCTCTCAGGTCTTTGTGCACTTCAATAAAGTTTTCTTTTTTCTTAAAATTCTTATATTTGATATGTTAATTCATAAATATGCTATGGTTTTTATTGTTATTATAAATAGTAGGCAATTTTCAGTTATTTTCCAATTGATTATTGGCAATACAGGATTTAAAGTAATAAATCCTGAGTTCAAGTAATGGTTTTATTACTTAGTATCTGGGTAAATCTGGGCAACCACTTAACCTCCCTCTGCCTCCATTTTCTCGTGGGTAAGATGAAGATAGCATTCTTCAATAGTTGTGGTGGCAAAAAATAAAATTAAAAAAGGAAAAATAGTTGTGGCAAATCAGATAGACTATCCCTAGTAGTTCAAATAATTTGACTGTAGGTTGGAAGGATGGTGAACTGACTACAGAAACTATAATCCAAAGGTCAGGGTCTAGAGCAGTGAATCCTGACAGGGTAGGAGGGTGTGTGTGTGGGCGGAGGTGAGGTAAGGGGTAGATGGCAGGGGTGGGGTGGGGATTGGACAGATTGGGCAAGTAATATAATCTTGGCAGGATGTAGGTGTGTGTAGTTTTGAAAAGACACTGAAGTCACGAATGTGGTCTTATGCTATGAGGCGTGATTAACTGGTTGAGCAATTTTGTGTTTATAAAATGGAGACTTCAGTTAAAACCGTCTGCCCCAAGAACCTGCGAACTGACATGGAGCAACTTTAGGAAGTGCCTAGAAGAGATTTATTATTATGGCCATACTCTCAGAAAAAAACAAGAAATCACATTTGTGACTTCCTCCAACGTGCAGTGCCAGTGACGTTATTGTAGCTTGTCTTTGTTTTAGCTAACCCAGGCTCTCGTAGGACACCTCCTCCCTGATGGCACCTCACAGCATTGTCAAGCTTGTGGAGCTATACACCAGACCTACAATGCCAACTGCCTTCCTCCTCTCCAACACAAATCCAGCCCAGTATTCAAGGCTCATTCCAGGCCCTCTCGACTGAGAGTACTCCCTGTCTACCATGTCCATGGTGATTTCTCTCTTCTCTTTTAAGACCACTGGCCTTATTGCTTACTTACTTTAATATAAACTATTTAAAGTGTTTGTTCTCACTCCCCAATTGACGTACAAGCAAAGCGATATGGGGGCAGAATCCATATCTTCTCACTCTGTATTTTCCCAGTAATGCTTTGCACACAAACCCTGGGACTAGTTTACTGCAGGCATGTGGTGGTCAGGCTAAGGGCAGAGGCAATGGGAAAGGAGAGGACTCACTCTTTGGGTGGTTGTGTAGAGGCAATAAAAGAAAGGCAACATGTGGGAACCTGGTTGGGGCTCCATACCTCTTCGGTCCCGGTGCTATATCAATAATTAACAAATAAGTAACAATGGACAGAGCAACTGAAATGTTATTTTGAATTGGCTAGAGGTGGAAAGACAGAGCTATATCTGTAAAAATGGAAGGGTTGGGAGGAGGAGAGGAAGGAAAACACTGCTGAGCACAGGTGTCTGGGTTTTCTGTCCTTCTTTATTCTAAAAAGCTCCCTCAGTGTTTGAATTAATAGAGAAGTGAAATCCTCTCCTACCATTTCCTGTTGTGGCCTCACAGAAGGTTTCACATCTCCTTTGACTGCCGGAGCAGAGATCTAGACATAAGAGGGAACTACATTCAGCCCCACTGTTACTGGCTAGGGCCATGTTCAGTGCTGGCACAGGACCACACAGCCAGTGCTCCCTTGCCAGGGCTAGGCTTTGTAGACATTGAAAAGGATCCCAGGACTTGGTTCCTATAAGGTTAGGCTAACAGCTTACCTGGGCAGGATGGGGAGGAATGTGAGGGGGAAATGTATTGGGGGGGTGTGGGGGAAAATTCAGTTTTGAAACTTGTCAAAAGAGAAAGTGGAAGGGACGGTGGTTCTCAGAGCAGAAGGAACTCTGAGGACAGGAAAGATAAGACTTGGGTGAATTGGGTTATGGATTGTGACTCTTCTCTTTCTCTCTTTCTCAGCGGAGGCCTCACTAACTCCCTTTATTTGAGCCATCCCAGTTCCAAGATGTAGTGAGTGTGTGGGCATGCTCAAGAGAGTGTGTATGTGTGTGTGTGTGTACACATGTGCATGTGTAACAGCTGTATAAGAAGAGGAGTTACAGCCTTTAGACCTTGGGTGTGAATCTTTGGACCTGTTTTCCAACCTGGGAAATGAGGACAATTAACAAGTTTTTTTTTTTTTTTTTTTTTTTTTTGAGACAGTCTCATTCTGTCACCCAGGCTGGAGTGCAGTGGCACGATCTCGGCTCACTGCAACCTCCACCTCCCAGGTTCAATCGATTCTCCTGCCTCAGCCTCCAGAGTAGCTGGGATTACAGGCACGCGCCACCACACCCAGCTAATTTTTGTATTTTTTGTAGAGACGGGGTTTCACCATGTTTGCCAGGCTGGTCTCAAACTCCTGACCTCAGGTGATATGCCTTCCTCAGCCTCCCAAAGTGCTGGGATTACAAGCGTGAGCCACCATGCCCGGCCAACAAGTCTTTTAAGATGAGATGAGATATTATAGAAAGGACCTACCTAGCACTGTATCTGTAGAAGCTCTACAGATTATGCACTCCCCACCCCATATTCTGCCCATTCCAACACACTTGACAGTTCGTTAGCAGAGTTAGAGTATATAAGCAAGGTGAGTGGGGGCAGTGGCTGGGAGCTATGGCAGAGCTTCAGTTAATCTCAATTAGTTACACAACGAATCTTTCGTTTTTGGTAATAATCTTTGTATGCATTTTTTATCCCCATTTTCTTCATAAGTGTTAGATTTTCCTGAGATCAGGGACTTTGAGGGAGGGCAGGTAAGTGTGGTGTCAAGGGGCCCCTTCCACAATCCTCTTTTGTTTAGCTCACTATTTAATAAAATCCAAGAGTTCTCAGAAACTAAGATGTGAAGAGGCAGCCCTGAAACCTACTGGGGAGCAGAAGGAAGCCAATTTAGAGTTTCAAGTTAGTGATGGAAAATCCATCAACTGTATAGTTCACAATGGGATAGAAGAATGAATTGCCGTTTAAAATCTGCTTTTTCAGGCCAGGCACGATGGCTCATGCCTGTAATCCTAGCACTTTAGGAGGCTGAGGTGGGTGGATCACTTGAGGTCAGGAGTTCAAGAACAGCCTGGCCAACATGATGAAACCCTGTCTCTACCAAAAAAAAAAAAAAGACAAAAACTAACCAGGAGTGGTGGCACATGACTGTAACCCCAGCTACTCAAGTGGCTGAGGCATGAGAGTCATTTGAACCCAGGAGGCGAAGATTGCAGTGAGCCGAGATTATCCCACTGTACTCCAGCCTAGGCGACAGAGTGAGACTTTCAAAAAAAAAACCTGTGAAAAAAATAAATACGCAAATACATAAAATCTGCCTTTTCAAGACACACACGTGACCAAGAAGCATATGAAAAAATGTTCAACATTACTAATGATTAGAAAAATGCAAATCAAAATCATAATGAGATACCGTCTCACACCAGTCAGAATGGCTATTATTAAAAAGTCAAAAAATAACAAATGTTGGAGAGGTTGCAGAGAAAACGGAAGGCTTATACACTGCTGGTGGGAACATAAATTAGTTCAGCCATTGAGGAAAGCAGTTTGGCAATTTCTCAAGAACCTTAAAACAGAGCTACCATTCGTCCCAGGAATCCCATTATTAGGCATATACCCAAAGGAGTATACATTGTTCTACCATAAGGACACATGCACATGAATGCTCACTGCAGCAGTATTCATAATAGCAAAGACATGGAATCAGCCTAAATGCCCACCAACAGTAGACTGTATAAAGAAAATGTGGTACATATACACCATGGAATACTCCACAGACAAAAAAGGACGAGATCACGTCTTTTGCAGCATCATGGATGGAGCTGGGGGCTGTTATCCTAGGCAAACTAACACAGGAGCAGAAAATGAAATACTGCATGTTCTCACTTTTATAAGTGGGAGCTAAACATTGAGTACACATGGACACAAAAAAGGGAATAATAGACACTGGGCCCTACTTGAGGGTGGAGGATGGGAGGAGGGAGAGGATCAAAACACTACCTATCAGATACTATACTTATTACCTGGGTGATGAAATAAATTTTTACGCCAAATCCCGATGACACACAATTTACCTATATAACAAACCTGCATGTGTACCCTTGAACCTAAAACAAAGGTTAAAATAATTTAAAATAAATAAAAAATAAAATCTTACTTGGTATTCTCAAAAAATAAAAAACAAAATCTGTCTTTTCAGGGGAAGAAAAGTAGGAAAGCTTTATCTCATTTTCCTAGTGGCTTCATAATGCAGGGACCTGCCCCCAGGGAACAGGGTATAGTAGGGGAAACACACAGGGGTGTTTAGAGTTTGGCGAAAGGCAGGTGAGCTCTGGGCACTGACCCGTCACCAGCTATTTTTCAAGGAGTCTGAGAGGTGTTAACCTGCGGTCTACCCCGTGAGATTGCTCAGAGTGTAGGAGGATATGGTTTACTAGCTCCGGAAAGCAGCTATTATAACTGAGGAGGAAATGAAGCTTGACTGGCTAGAACAGAAGCAACAATGGAGGCCCATGGAGGGATTTTCCAGGCCCCTATTCCTGATCTCCATGGTGGCGCTGCTTCCCTTATTCTGCAGTCTTGCTTTGAGACCAGACAATTCTGTACTCTGTCTGTGCCTTCTTCCTTCTCAGCAGCCCTGCCTCTGCCACCTGCCCCAGAAGGGCTCTGGGTCCTCTCATCTCAGGACAGACAAGGGTTTTTGTAATTATCTTCTTGGGTAACCTCCCTGTAAGGAATAGGAGAGGTTATCTGGTCCTGGTCTTTTGGGAGAGCATTGAGAAGAAAAAGTTAAACCAGTGGGCAGCCCAGGCTGCATACATCCTGGGAATATTGCGATTATTCTCTCCAGTAATCTACGGAAATCTACTGGTTGTTCTGCAGAAAAAGAATTAAGAGAGACAAGGAGACCTGTTGTCTAAGACTAAGGCAGGATGACGTTTACCTAGTAACTGATGATGCTAGGCTGAGGCACTCAGTGATTTGTCTCTACATTTGTCCCTGCCTACCTAGCCAATCTGTCCCTGTTTGGGACACTGGACTCCCGTGAGCTGGAAGGAACAGATTTAATATCTAGGGGCTGGGTATCCCCACATCACTCATTTGGGGGGTCAAGGGACCCGGGCAATATAGTATTCTGCTCAGTGTCTGGAGATCATCTACCCAGGCTGGGGCTTCTGGGACAGGCGAGGACCCACGGACCCTGGAAGAGCTGGTCCAGGGGACTGAACTCCCGGCATCTTTACAGAGCAGAGCATGATCACATTCCTGCCGCTGCTGCTGGGGCTCAGCCTGGGCTGCACAGGAGCAGGTAAGGACACTTCTTCTGGGGACTCTCCCTTCCCCTGCTCCTGTTTCAGGGTAAGGGTGTTCCGTTTTGTAATTGCATTTGACACCCCAGATAGTTTGTCTCCCTGGTATACATTCCTATAGCACTTTGTACTTTGTAGCAATTTTAATGTAATTAATCTGTATAATTATCTGTGCAGTGTATATTCCCTGCTGGAATATAGGCAAGGACAATGTTCATCTTATTTATTGCTGCCTCCTCAGCTCCTAGCACAGTGCCTTGCATGCAGCAAGTGCTTCATAAATATGTGCGAAGTGAATATTTAATATTTCCAGCACAATACAAGGCTGACTCTTTCTCTTGACCCTTTTTCTCTCTCAATAATTTGCCTTACTGAAGGTCTGTGTTCTGGGCAAATTGTCATGTTTAAACATGCAAATAATCTCGGGGGGCTACTCCTATCCCTGTGCTTAGTCTTGCATAAAGAGGAGACTGGATCTAAAAACTTATCTACTACTTCTACTGACTCCCTCAAATCAGACTTTCAGAAACTTCAGTGTATGAGCTTGGTCAGTAGATGTTCCCTGAGCAGGAAATCTGTGCCAGACTAGCTGGATGTCACCAAGGCTTAGGTTCTGAGCTGAATATAGGAAAAATCAACTTTTTTTCTTCTATATGCTCACACTCAACACTTCTTTGACCAACTGTGTGAGGTTTTTTTTTTTTTTTTACTCATACCAACCAATTCTCCTATATTAGCTGGATATCCTATAATTCAATTCCATTGTGACATTAACTAGAGTTAACATAGACACCAAAGGTTAAAGACTCAGTCCCATAAGACTGCCTCCATTTCAGACACCAATCACAAGTAGTAGGTTCCCAAATTACCCACATCTTCTGTCCAACTTGCCTACAAATCAGAGGTTCCCATGACCCCCTCCTTGGGGTTGGTAATTTGCTAAAGTGGCTTATGGAACTCAGGAAAAGTTTACTTATTATTGTAGATTTTTTACAAAGGATATTTTAATTGATAATAATAATTATAAATATTCATGGGGTGGATAATGATGTTTTAGTACATGTAATGTACAGTGATCAGATCAGATCATCATCTCATTTATCATTTCTTTGTGTTGGAAACATTCCATATCCTTCTTCTAGCGATTTGAAATGATATAAAGTATTATTGTTAATGACAGTCATCCCACAGTGGTATAGAACACTAGATCATAATTTTGCATCCTTTAACAAAGGATATTTTAAAGCATACAAAGGAACATCCAGATGAAGAGATACCAGATCTGGAAGGGTCCCAATCACAGGAGCTCTGTCCCCACAGAATTGGGGTACTTCACCTCCTGGCATGTGGATGTGTTTACCAACTGAGAAGTTCTCTGAACTCCATAGTTCCGGGATTTTTATGGAGGCTTCATCATGTAGGCATGACTGATTATTAACTCAATCTCCAGCCCCTTCCCCTTCAGGGAGTATGGGGGATGGGACTAAAAGTTCCAGACTTCTAATCATGACTTGGTCTTTCTGGTGACCAGCCCCTCCTGCAGGAGCCCACCAAGAGTACCTCATTAGAACAAAAGACACTCCTGTTATCTAGGAAATTCTAAGCGATTAGGCACTCTATGTCAGGAACCAGGGTCAAAGACAAAGCTCTGTGCAGAGCTCCTAAATATACGTCTGTATGTTTTATATATTTATTATTTGTGTATATTTATTATTTATATATTTATTTATTTATTGCCAGGCCAGTAGAAGACATTGACCTGTTCTCCCTTCCCTGGCTCCTCTAGGTGGCTTCGTGGCCCATGTGGAAAGCACCTGTCTGTTGGATGATGCTGGGACTCCAAAGGATTTCACATACTGCATCTCCTTCAACAAGGATCTGCTGACCTGCTGGGATCCAGAGGAGAATAAGATGGCCCCTTGCGAATTTGGGGTGCTGAATAGCTTGGCGAATGTCCTCTCACAGCACCTCAACCAAAAAGACACCCTGATGCAGCGCTTGCGCAATGGGCTTCAGAATTGTGCCACACACACCCAGCCCTTCTGGGGATCACTGACCAACAGGACACGTGAGGAGAGAGGGGTGCAGAGGGGCTACCAGGAAGTGCAGTTAGGAGGGCAGGCCAGGGAGGATCCCACAGTGGCCCAGGGGTTTGAGATTTGAGCAGCAAATAAGAGAAAATGTGTGGATCTGAAATGTAGAAAGACGGAGGATTGAACCTCAAGGGGAACAAGGTGGCTGACGTGAGTGGAACAGGAGTAAAGAAGGGGAGGTGAGGCTTGAACCGCGAGGTGCCATGTGGGGAGCTTATGCAGAGGCTGGGGCATCTCAGGATGCATACCCAAGATGTTCTTGCCTTGTTATCCCAGATTTTGATGTTCCAGATCTGATGTGGGCCCAGGCATGGGAATATTTGGAATCCCAGGGGATTCTGACACATGCTTTTTCTCACCCTTAAACTCTTGCATTGACAATGGCTTGAAGTTTGTGAAAGTAAACTTGAAGATCTCCACAGTACAGAACAGTGTGTCTCAAGGGTGGTTTCTGAACCACCTTTCTCAGAATTGCCTGGAGGAGGTGCTTGTTAAAGATGCAAGCCCCTTAGTACCACTCCAGATCTGTTGAAAGAAAGTATCTGGGGATACAGCCTAGGAAATCTGCATTTTAACATAATTCCTTGGATTTTTATTTAAGATTGTGTTTGAAAAATGTCAAGATAGAGGCAAGCAAGAGGATCACCTAGGAGAGTAAATTAGTAAAAGATGGCAGTATTAGCAATCTCATTAGTTTGACTACATTCATTCCAAATTTAAGAGTGAGTCCTAAGTTAGGCTTGTTTCCTTGAACTATGTGAGGAGAAAAAGCTTTAACTAGCAAAAGAACGTATTAAACAAGATTTGGAGAAAAATTCCTTTTCCACCTTAAAAAAACCCAATGTACAACTCTGGATTACTCTTAGCTTCCTTATTTCAAATACTTTCCAGTTTATGTACTTGAAATAAATACAACAACTTCTAGAACAGCTTGCAGTTCAGATCTGGCTTTTACTAATTGTAATCAAACATAATTCTGGAGGAGGAAAGAAAGAAAGGGGCAATGAAGGAATGGGAGAGAAGAAAGAGTAATGCAGGAATACATTCTAACGGTTCCCCTTCAAGGGGCAGCATGGCAGAGGGGGCTGGGGTGGAAAGTGGGTTGCAAAATCTACGAAGAGTTGCGATAGGGAAGAAACCAGGTTGAGGAAGCAGCCAGAATGTCACCCTCCTTCCTAAACATGTTTTTTTCTCCTATGCAGGGCCACCATCTGTGCAAGTAGCCAAAACCACTCCTTTTAACACGAGGGAGCCTGTGATGCTGGCCTGCTATGTGTGGGGCTTCTATCCAGCAGAAGTGACTATCACGTGGAGGAAGAACGGGAAGCTTGTCATGCCTCACAGCAGTGCGCACAAGACTGCCCAGCCCAATGGAGACTGGACATACCAGACCCTCTCCCATTTAGCCTTAACCCCCTCTTACGGGGACACTTACACCTGTGTGGTAGAGCACACTGGGGCTCCTGAGCCCATCCTTCGGGACTGGAGTAAGTGTATGGCAGATGGATGGAATTAGGGTCAAAGCAGAGAAAATGAGATGTGGATCGATACATGGTACATGGTAGACAGCGAAGTGCTGAAAATGGGGACTGAGTCTGGAGGAACTTACGGGGGGCTTAGGACCAGAATGGGGAAATGGGATAAAGAAATGGAAATATTTAGGTTGGTGCAAAAGTAATTGCAGTTTTTGCCATTACTTTCAGTGGCAAAAACCGCAATTACTTTTGCACCAGTTTAATATTTAGTCTGTGCTATTGCTGCTCTGGTGGTGTGGCTGATGTTGCTGCGTCTATGTTTGAGGGTGAGAGGGGAGCGTGCTTGCTTTGAAATGAGGCTGTAAATTTGGCAATCATATTTTCAGAACCCCAAATTGTAATACACTATTCTAGCCTCCTTAGATTTCAACTATTCTGGTGCCAGAAGCAGATGGGAGCTGAAGGAATGATGAAGGTTGAAGAAGGGGGGCTTTTCTTGGTGTGGGGCAGTACTGCATTTGGCCTGCTCTACCAAGCATACGGGAGTAGTAAAGCCACGGCTGGCAGACCATTTGGCATGCATGCTCAGGGGCCAGTGGATAAAGAATTACTTACAGTTCAAACACTGTTTGAACTCAGTGTCGGGAGTAGTTAAAGGTATCGTGAGAAGTTGCACACAGCTTTGGGGACTCTTGGAAAAGAAAGAGGAAGAAATGAGGAAGAGGAAGGGTGTCTACAAAGGGCCAGAGAACAGGATCTCAGATCAGCTGCTGTAACCAGGTTTCCCCTTGTGGGAAGTGTTGTTTCTTGCTGGGCAGTTGGGAAGGGAATGGAGAACAGAGAAGAGAGTGGAAATCACATGCTCACTTGAACTTTCCTGGGGAACGTCTCCTCACAGCGTGCACAAGAGCCTCCCTTTAGAAATGGAGTGTTCATTTTATCATGGGAAAAGAATCTGAGTGGGACATGATTCAGAACAGGACCGGCCCAAGGAAGTGCAGGGGCTGTGGAGTGGGATGGAGACAAGCTCTGAAAGGACACATGGGAGATCTAGATGTAGAAGGTACACAAGTAGTAGGATAACTCACAGGATGGATCCACTGGAGGTTAAGACATGTGGTAAGACAGTGTAATAGGAAGCTGCTCAGTTGGAGAAAGTAAGGAAGCAAACATTGTTACCGTGGGGGCAATGGAGAGGACAGTGAGGAGCCCTTTATCCTGATAAGGGTGGCTTTGAGGTAAAGGAAGGAAAGAGGATGCCTTGAGAGGCCCCACTGTATTAGAGAGGACCTGGAAGCCAGGATGCTAATTCTGGGGAGATGGATTCCCCAGGCTTACTCTAGGAGTAGAGGTCCATGGGACGAGGGTTTGATTTGAGAAAGATCATTTTCTTGGGAGTGGGTGGTGTGAGCTAGACCCTTGGAGCTGGGATAAAGGACCTTTTAACCCACTGAGAGGTGGCTGCAATAAATGGAATTGCCCTGGGGGTGAGCAACAGAAACTGGGTCAAGTAAGTTTCTATTTTTTGCAGCACCTGGGCTGTCCCCCATGCAGACCCTGAAGGTTTCTGTGTCTGCAGTGACTCTGGGCCTGGGCCTCATCATCTTCTCTCTTGGTGTGATCAGCTGGCGGAGAGCTGGCCACTCTAGTGAGTGACTCGCTGAACTCCCATCCCCACTCTTGGTCCCACTCTCTGCTTACTTTCTGTTTGTGATTAACTCTCTCCTTCCTACTGCATTTGCTATGAATACTGCTAGATATTTTCATCCACAAAGACTGGTATAATCAAGTATCTTCCTCTCTTAGGTTACACTCCTCTTCCTGGGTCCAATTATTCAGAAGGTAACATCTCTGTTGGTCTGTTTCCCTACTTGCCCTTTGGTAGGGGTGCGGGTTAGAGGGGTCAGTGTTGGGTTCAACTAATCTTGATTATTATATGGGTGAGCTTCCATGAGGATCTAGGCAAGGGCATGATTTAAGCTGCCATTGCTAGGATTAAGAGCAGGAAGGAGCATCCTCCTCTTCTACCAAGTGGGATGTCTGTGGAGAGGAGGCTGAAGGTGCTTCCTTTGTATTAGTTGTTGGTGCCCTGGAGTTTTCAGTATCACTGTATTAAGGCATGGGATGGTTACAGTGACAAACGATGGGGGCAAGTTGGGTTGAAGCCTCATTATCTCCCTTTTATTTATTCTGTAGGATGGCACATTTCCTAGAGGCAGAATCCTACAACTTCCACTCCAAGTGAGAAGGAGATTCAAACTCAATGATGCTACCATGCCTCTCCAACATCTTCAACCCCCTGACATTATCTTGGATCCTATGGTTTCTCCATCCAATTCTTTGAATTTCCCAGTCTCCCCTATGTAAAACTTAGCAACTTGGGGGACCTCATTCCTGGGACTATGCTGTAACCAAATTATTGTCCAAGGCTATATTTCTGGGATGAATATAATCTGAGGAAGGGAGTTAAAGACCCTCCTGGGGCTCTCAGTGTGCCATAGAGGACAGCAACTGGTGATTGTTTCAGAGAAATAAACTTTGGTGGAAATATTGTTTTTCCATGTCTTCTTCCTGGGGCCCTGGGGAAGGAATATGGGCAAAGCAGGGACTGAGGTTAATTCTCTTCTGCTTGAGTAGGGGAGAAATCAATGCCTTCTTCCATTTTCCCACTTAGACATGACAGAATTTGGGGCCGTTTTCTGATTTATAATTCATAAGGAGAAATTCAACTGTGGTGGGTTGGAGTCACAGAGTATGGGCAAGGAAGGGAATTAACAGCTTACTCACCTCATACAGGATCTTATGAGGATTAAATGAGTTCATACTTGTAAATGGCTAAGAACACCGCCAGGCACATAGCCAGCCTGCAATAGTGACGTTAGCTATATTCGATTATTCAACTTTCTGGCCAGGCATTGTACCAGGTGCTTTGATCCTCATCACAACCGTAAGGCAGACCTCTCATACCCCTCAGGATTCAGGGGACAGAGCTTAACTCCAGATTGAGTTCTAGACAGTTATTTCTTCCATACCCTGAATGCAGAAGGGAACATAGCTTGAGTGATTATTATGTCTTAGGCACTGGTCTCAGACCTTTATATTTGTAGCTCATTCTCTTCTCACAATAACCACACAAGGGACAGATTGTTTCCCTCTATGTTACAGACAAAAGATGTGAGGCTCAGAGACATTTAAGTGACTTGTCCAAGGTCAAAGAACAGATTTCTGTAGGATGTTTGTCTACCTGAGCTGGAAGTAGCAGATTACTTTATTCTGAAGACCCTCATGCTGGTGAGCACACATCTCTTCAGAGCCACCGTTCCATTCCCTTCTACCCCAAGACCAAGGAGAGCCCTTTGGGGGAATGGACTCCACCCTAAGGAAGAGAGGATGCTGGCTGGTGGTTTGTTGTCCCACGAAGGGCGACACCTGCTGGACACAGAAACCTAGGGTGTGGAATTGTTTTTGGAATTAGAGCTAGATACTAGAATATGGGTAAGAAAAAGAAACCAAGAAATGAGTTGATTTGGAACACCTCCATAATTTCTTCAGAAGCATCCTTGGAATTAGAGCATCTCTTCTGGAAGGGGTTAACAGAAGAAGTCAGTGGAAGGAACTTAATCTCTACATTTTACCATTTTTATGTTTCATTTTCATTTTTTTCTATTCACTGTTTTTGTTTTTATTTTTGTTTGTTTGACAAAGCAAATTCCTTTTGAAATTCTAGTTTAGTCTAGGAATGGGGGGCTTTGGGCCTTGTCTATATCTGGGCAGTTTTATTTATTATTTTTATTTTATTTATTTATTTTTTTTCGAGACAGAGTTTTGCTCTTGTTGCCCAGGCTGGAGTGCAATGGCGTGATCTCGGCTTATTGCAACTTCTGCCTCCCATGTTCAAGCGATTCTCCTGCCTCAGCCTCCCAAGTAGCTGAGATTACAGGCGTGCACCACCATGCCTGGCTAATTTTGTATTTTCTTAGTAGGGATGGGGTTTCACCATGTTGGTCAGGCTGGTCTCGATCTCCTGACCTCAAGTGATCCACCTGCCTCAGCCTCCCAAAGTGCTGGGATTACAGGCGTGAGCCACCGCACTAGGCCTATCTGGACAGTTTTAAAGGAGAAGCTGCAGATCTGAAGGGTCTAGTTCTAGTCACAGCAGTGGGAATCAAAGTGGCAGGATCCCAGAGAAAGGAAGTAGAGAGTTAGCTAATGGGACGGCTTCCAGTTCCTTTTCTAGAGATTCCCAGTGCAGGCTTTTCTCTGCCCTAACTTTGTAGGTTTTTTGTTTTATAGGAAAGGCTGTCCCCTTCCAGGTAAGAAATAGGGAAAAGTATATGTAGGTCTGCTAGGATCCAGAAAGTCAGAATACTATAGGTAGAAAGGGGAGTTCTTACACAGGGGAATGAGTGGTACTTGAAAGGAAGGTGGAAGAAGGGTGATGGTGCACCAATTGTAGGAGGATGAGGAGAAGAGAATGGATGCTGCATGAGGAGAATGGAATGTAAACATAATGGATTGCCAAAAAAGGAGTGTGTGTGTGTGTGTGTGTGTGTGTGTGCACTTGAGCACATGTGAGAGAAAGAGAGGAAAAAAAGAGAAGGAGTGGAAGAGAGTAAGAGAGAGGGAGCAAAAGGGTGAGAGGAGAGAAGTGGAGTGGGAGAAAGAAGGAGAGGGACATAGAGAGAGGGAGGGAGGGGAGCGGGGGAAGAGAGAGAGAGCTGGACTTTCGGGTTATACATAATCCAAGCTGCACAAAGAATTGTTTTCGCCCTTCAATGTCTTGTTGTTTTAAAAGCTGAACTTGGAGCTAGAATTGGTTTTAAAGGTCATCTAGTCCACCTCCCCTCCCATGAAAGAACTGGGCCTGTGTTAACAAGGGCACACACAGTGCAGGGAGTTCCTTCAACACTTGGGGCAGATAACAATATTTTAGAGAAACGCGTTGAGCCCACATTTGAGCTTCTTCTTTTGACCATTAAAGACAATGAGAATAAATCTCAAATACACCACGGGAGGTGGTATCCTTGGCATTTTTTTTTTCCCTGAGGGAGAGCATGTTCCTAGGTTCCAGGTTCTCTTTGCCTCCCTACCCACGAACACATGCATGTGAAAGAAACAGACAAGATTGACATTTAATCCCAATGTCTATTTATGAAAATTATCTTTAGGCCATTTTCTCAAGTTTTTCTCTTTCCAAAGTAAAATTGGGCAAATCAGATGAAAAACGAGGGTGGAGTTCAACCCCATCCTCAAATCCTTTTTTTTTTTTGGCTTGAGTGTCTGTCATTCCCAAGAGCCCTCCAACTGCCTTGAAGCAAGGCATGGGGGATTTCTCCGTGGTGCTTCCTGCCACTACTTGGCCAGACCAGTCTCCAGGGGTTTCAGAGAGTGGAGAGGCCCCAAACCTATAGAGACTACTCCCAGATGGGGGGCTCCTTGTTTCTCCAGACCCTTCCTCTTCCATTTCATATGAGGCTTCCAAGAGGCCCCTGGCCGTGCTGGTCTGGGGCAGGGAATAAAGAAATGGCTTTTATTGTATCAGAGTCTCAACAGAAAACAGATGGCATACTCGAAATAGGACATTTCAAGGAAAGTTTATTTATTAGCAAAGTATTTACAAAGAACTGGGTGGAGGATAGCTGTTACTACCCCAAGGTCCAAAGAGGCCAGGGACAGAAGGGGTTATCAGGACTCAGAAGGACAGCAAGCCCTGTACAGTCACCACCTTGCCAAGGGCAGTGCCCTTCAGTCAAGGGACACAACAGCTTAAGGTGACCTTGTAGGGAGGAAGCCAAGGGATTAGAAACACTGACCTCACTCCCCTCTTCCCTCTGCTCTTAGGCTGATGCTGGAAGCAAGAAGAAGCCAGGGAGCATGGGAGCCATTCAATGTCATGCAGGTCAGCACCTGAGGCAGACCCCAGGTGCAGAAGTATTGAGAGTGGGTCCAGAAGGACAGATGGAGGACAGGAAGTACATTCACAACAAGAAGGAAAAACGTCAATGTTGTGGGGTGGAGAGAGAGGTGCAAAATCTGGGCTTCTTTTGGCCTTGGACAATGACAAGCGCATAGTAGCAACAGAAACTAAGTTTGTAGTTTCCTACTGGGGAGTTTGGGAGGACACTCACTTCTAGTTCTGTCTTCCCCACTTGAATTTTGATTGTGGTTATACTGAATTTATAGAAATTTGGGGTTAACTGACTTGTTTTTATTACTAAATCATACCATGCAAAAACAGGATGTTTTCTCATTTATTGAAATCATTTTGTTTGCTCTTTATTATGGTTTTTAAACTTTACTTTTTCATAGTAGTCCTGAGTATGCTCAGTTAATTCTTAGGCATGTTGTAGCTTTTGCTGCTATTGTGATTGGTATCTTATTGCAATTCTACTTTTGAATCAGTAATTTCTGATGTAGAAGAATGTATCTAATTTAAAAAATTGTGGTTAAAAAAATAACATTTACCGTCTTAACCACTTTGAAGTGTACAGCTCAGCAGTGTTAAGTATATTCACATTTTTGTGCAACCAATCTCCAGAACTCCTTTTCACCTTGCAAAACCAGAACTCTACACCCATTAAACAACAACTCCTCATTTCTCTCTTCCTCTAGCCCCTGGCTACTATCACTCTACATTCTGTTTCTATGAATCTGACTACTTCAGATACCCTGTACAAGTGCAATCATGGAGTTTTTGTCTTTTGGCGATTGGCTTATTTCACTTAGCTTAATGTCCTTAAAATTCATACTTGTTGCAGCATGTAAGAGTGCTTTCTTCCTTTTTAGGCTGAATAATAAGCTACTGTATGTATATGCCATATTTTGTTTGCCCATTCATCTGTCTATGGACATCTTTGTTGCTTCCACCTCTTGGCTATCGAGAATAGTGCTGCTATGAATATGGGGGAAAATATCTGCTTAAGTCCCTGCTTTCAATTCTTTTGCATTTATACCCAGAAGTGGACTCTTGGGTCATATAGTAGTTTTACTACTGATTTTTTGAGGAACTGCCGTACTGTTTCCCATAGCAGTTACACATTTTACAATCCCACGAACATTGCATATAAAGGTTCTAATGTCTCTACATCCTCACCAACACTTATTTCTTCCCTCCCTCTCTCCCTTCCTTCCTTCCTTCCTTCTTTCCTTTCCTCCTTCATTTGCTCCCTCCTTCATTCCCTCCCTTCTTTCCTTTTTCCTTTCATTTTTATAGTAGCCATGCTAATGAGAATTAGATGATGTTATGGTTTTAATTTGCACTTCTCTAATAATAAGTAATGCTGAGCATCTTTTCATATGTGTGTTTGCCACTTGTATATCATCTTTGGAAAAATGTCTGTTGAAGTTTGTTGCCCCCTTTTTAACTGTTTGTATAAACAATTATTGTTGGGTTTTATGAGTTCTTTACATATTCTGAATATTAACCCTTTATTGGATATATGATATTCAAATACTGATATATGATTTTCAAATATTAGAAATTAATAATTTTTGTAAGTTGATCTTATATGGGACAACCTTGCTCGATCCTCTTATTGGTTTTAGTGGGGTTTTTGTTGTTGTTGTTGTCATTGTTGTTATTGATATTCTCTCTGTCTCTCTCTTTTTCCAGGTAGATAATAGTATCATCTGCGAGCATTGTTTTGTGTTTTCCCTCTTAATCCTTAGTGTTTTATTTTTCATGTTGTTGACTAGGATCTTCAATGCTGTGTCAAACAGTAGGGTGATAATGAGCATTACTCTTAAAGGAAATAAACCTAAATATTCTCCATTAAGTATAAATTTTGCTGTATATTGTAGATTCACATGCAGTGGTAAGAAATAATAAAAACAATCCTGTGTATCCTTTACCCAGTTTCCCTTGATGGTAACATTTTGCAAAACTATGGTACAATATCACAATTAGGATACATGGATACAGCCACAATACAGAACACTTCTATGATCACAAGGATTCTTCACCTTGCCCTTTTCTAGACACACCCACTTCCCTACCATCCCATACCCTCCTTAATGTCTAGCAATCACTAATCTCTTATCCATTTCTATGACTTTGTCACTTCAAGACAAATTTTTTTTTGTCATTTTAAAACAAATGATTAATAAATGGAAACATATAGTATATACACTTTTGGGATTGACTTTTTTTTCTCTCAATGTATTTCTCTGGAGATCATACAAGGTTGTTGCATATATCAATAATTTATTATTGCCTAGTTGTATTATATGGTATGGGTATAGCACAGTTAGTTTAGCCATCTGTCCATCACATCTGGGTTGTTTCCAGATTTGGCTGATATGAATATAAGTTTTTGTGTGGACATAAGTCTTAATGTCTCTGGAGCAAATGCCCAGGAGTGTACCTGCTGAATTGTATGGTGGTTGCATTTTTAGTTTTTTAAATAAACTGTCAAAGTGTTTTCCAGAGTGGTTGCACCAGCAATGTGCGAGTGATTGTTTTACTGCATCCTCACAGGCATTTGGTATTGTCACTATTTTTTTTATTTTTTTTGAGATGGAGTCTTGCACTGTTGCCCAGGCTGGAGTGCAGTGGTGCGATCTTGGCTCACTGCAAGCTCCACCTCCCGGGTTCGCGCCATTCTCCTGCCTCAGCCTCCCAAGTAGCTGGGACTACAGGCGCCCGCCACCACGCCCGGCTAATTTTTTGTATTTTTAGTAGAGATGGGGTTTCACCATGTTAGCCAGGATGGTCTCAATCTCCTGTCCTCATGATCCGCCTGCCTCAGCCTCCCAAAGTTCTGGGATTACAGGCATGAGCCACTGCGCCTGGCTTATTGTCACTATTTTTTATTTCAGCCATTCTAATATGTGTGTAGTGAGATCTTATTGTGGTTTTAATTTGCGTTTCCTTAATGGCTAATGATATCGAACATCTTTTCATGTGCTTATTTGCCATCTGTATATCCTTTTAATGAAATGTCTCTTCATGAATTTTTCCCATTTTCTAATTAATTTTTTTCAAACTGTTGATTTTTTTTCTTTTTTTTTCTGAGATGGAGTCTTACTCTGTCACTCAGGCTAGAGTGCAGTGGCATGACCTCGGCTCACCCCAACCTCTACCTCCTGGGATTACAGGCGTGTGCCACAACGCCCAGCTAATTTTTAGTATTTTTAGTAGAGACAGAGTTTCACCATGTTGGCTAGGCTGGTCTCAAACTCCTGACCTCAAGTCATCCACTCGCCTCAGCCTCCCAAAGTGCTGGGATTACAGGCATGAGCCAGGGGGCCTGGCCTGAGTTTTGATAAGTTGTTATATATTCTAGATACTAGTCCTTTGTTGGATACATGATTTGCAAATATTTTCTTCCATTATGTAGCTTGCCTTTTCATTCCTTTACAAGTCTTTCACAGAGCAACAGTTTTTAGTTTTAATCAGGTCTAATATATCCATTTTTTCATTTTACAGATCATGTTTTTGGTGTCAAATCTAAGAACTTGTTGCCCAGATCTAGATTCAGAAGATTTTCCCCTATCTTATTCTAAAAGTTTTATAGTTTTACATTTTGCATAGAAGTTTGTAATCCATATTGAGTCAATTTTTGCAGAAGGTATGAGTCTTAGATTAAACTGCTGCTCCTCCTTCTTTTCCTCCTTGTTGTCTTTCTCTCCTCCTATGGCCCTTGAATGTTCAATTGTTCCAGCACCATTTATGTTTTTCCGATGTCTGCAGGGTGTGTAGGGATATTCCCTGTGGACATTTCTATATTCTTTCTTTCTTCTTTGTCAGTGTAGTCTGCTAGAGGTTCATCAGTTGACTGATCTTTTCAAAGAAGCAACTTTTTGTGTCTCACTCTGTGGCCCAGGCTGGAGTGCAGTGGTGCAATCTCACCTCACTACAACCTCCGCCTCCTGGGCTCAAGTGATTCTCCTGCCTCAACCTTCCAGGTAGCTGGGACTACAAGCGCCTGCCACCACATTTGGCTAATTTTTTGTAATTTTAGTAGAAGCAGAGATTCACCATGTTGGGCAGGCTGGTCTCTAACTCCTGAGCTCAAGTGATCCACCTGCCTTGGCCTCCCAAACTATTGGGATTACAGGCGTGAGCCACAGTGCTCGGCCTTCCTTTCTTCTTTGGATGTATTTTGATCTTCTTTTTCTGGGCTCTTGAGATGAGAGTTTGAATTATTAATTTGTGTACTTTTTTTTTTTTTTAAAGAGACAAGGTCTCCTTATGTTGCCCAGGCTGGCCTCGAACTACTGGGCTCAAGTGATCCTTTCCTGCCTCAGCCTCCCAAGTAGCACCCAGTTTTTCTTCTTTTTAATGTATGCATTTAATGCTATAAATTTCCCTTTCAGCACTGGTTTAGCTGTGTCCTATAATTTTTTTTATTATTTTGAAAATATTTCGTGGGTTCATGGTAGGTGTATATGTTTATGGGGTACATGAGATGTTTTGATACACGCCTGGAATGTGAAATAACCAAATCATGGAGAATGGGGTAGCCATTCCCTCAAGCATTTATCCTTTGAGTTACAAACAATTCAATTACATTCTTTAAGTAACTTAAAAATATACAATTAAGTTATTTTTGACTATAGTCACTCTATTGTGCTATCAAATAGTAGGTCATATTCATTCTTTCTACTTTTTTTGTACCCATTAACCATCCCCACCTCCCCGCTCAGCTATCCACTACTTTTCTCAGGCTCTGGTAACCATCCTTCTACTCACTATGTCCATTAGTTCAATTGTTTTGATTTTTAGATCCCACAAATAAATGAGAACATGTCATGTTTGTCTTTCTGTACCTGGCTTATTTCACTTAACATAATGATCTCCAGTTCCATCTATGTTGTTGCAAATAACTGGATATCATTCTTTTTTCTAGCTAAATAGTACTCCATTGTATGTATGTACCACATTTTCTTTATCCATTCATCTGTCGATAGACACTTAGGTTGCTCCGAAGTCTTAGCTATTGTAAACAATGCTGCAATTAACATAGGAGTGCAGATATCTCTTTGAAATACTAATTTTCTTTCTTTCGGGTATATTCCCAGCAGTGGGATTGCTGGATCATATGGTAGCTCAATTTTAATTTTTTTGGAGGAACTTCCAAGCTGTTCTCCATGGTGGTTGTACTAATTTATATTCCTGCCAACAGTGTACAAAGCCTTCTCCACATACTCACCAGTACTTGTTATTGCCTGTCTTTTGGATACAAGCCATTTTTTTTTGAGATGGAGTCTTACTCAGTTGCCCAGGCTGGAGTGCAGTGGCCCAATCTCTGCTCACTGCAACCTCCATCTCCCAGGGTCAAGCGATTCTTCTGCCTCAGCCTCCCAAGTAGTTGGGACTACAGGCATGGCCCACCATGCCCAGCTAATTTTTGTATTTTTAGTAGAGACAGGGTTTCACCATATTGGCCAGGCTGGTCTTGAACTCCTGACCTCAGGTGATCTGCCCGCCTCGGCCTCCCTCAGTGCTGGGATTACAGGTGTGAGCCACCGTGTCCAGCCTGCATACAAGCTATTTTAACTGAAGTGAGATAATATCTCATTGAACTTCTGATTTGCATTTCTCTGATGATTCATAATGTTGAGCACCTTTCATAAGCCTGATTGCCATTTGTATGTCTTCTTTTGAGAAATGTCTATTCAGATCAGCTCATTTTTTGTTTGGACTATTGAACTCTTTTTTCCTATAGAGTTGTCTGAACTCCTTATATATTCTAGTTATTAATCCTTTGTTAGAGGGGTAGTTTGCAAATATCTTCTCTCATTCTGTGGGTTGTCTCTCCTAGAAATTTTTGATATGTTGTATTCTTATTTTCTTTCAATTCAGTGTATTTTTAAATTTCCTTTGAGATTTATTTTTTGACTCGTAGAGTATTTAAAAGTTTTCGCTTAGTTTCTTGACTTTCCTCTGTCATCTTTCTGTTATTTATTTCTAGTTTGATTCCAATGTAGTCAGAGAACACATTCTGTATAATTTATATTCTTTTAAATTTATCAATATTTGTTTTATGGCCCTGGATATAGTCCAACTTGGTATATGTTGCATGGACACTTCAAAAGAATGTATATTCTGTGCGGCCAACAAGCATGTGAAAAAAATGCTCAGTATAACTAATCATTAGGGAAATGCAAATCAAAACAATGATGAGACACCATCTCACCCCAGTCAGAATGGCTATTGTTAAAAAGTCAAAAACAACAGGTGCTAACAAGGTTGTGGAGAAAAAGGAACACTTGTACACTATTGGGGGTAATGTAAATTAGTTCAGGCACTGTGGAAAGCAGTCTGGAGATTTCTCAAAGAACTTAAAGCAAAATTCCCATACAACCCAGCAATTCCATTGTTGGGTATATACCTAAAAGAATATAAATTGTTCTGTCATAAAGACACATGCACATGCATGTTCATCACACTGCTATTCACGTTAGCAAAGACATGGAATGAACCTAGATTTCTTTATCCAGTGCTCATCAACAGTGCACTGGATAAAGAAGATGTGGTACATATACACCATGAAATACTACACAGCTATAAAAAATGGGATCATGGCCTTTGCAGCAACATAGATGGAACTGGAGGCCATAATCCTAAACAAATTACCGCAGGAGCAAAAAACCAGCTAATTGCATACACATGGACACAAAGATGGGAAAAATAGACACTGGGGCCTATTTGAGGGTGGAGGGTGGGAGGACAGTGATGATTGAAAAAGCACCTATCGGGTATTATGCTGATGATTTTTCCTCTGCTGTCTTTCCGTTATTGATTTCTAATTTGATTCCATTGTAGTCAGAGAAAAGTTTGTATAATTTAAATTCTTTTAAAATTATCTGTACACCAAACCCTTGTGACACGCAATTTACCCATGTAACAAACCTGCATATGTACCCCTTGCACCTAGTAAAACCGGAAAAGAAAAACAACAAAAAAGAGCCAATGTGTATTCTGCTATTGATGGGTGGAGTGTCCTGTAAATGTGGATTTGATCCTGTTGGTTGATGGTGTTATTGAGCTCTTCTACATCTTTGCTGATTTTCTTTCTAGTTTTTATTTTTTTATTTTTATTTTTTTTGAGACAGAGTCTTGCTCTGTCCCCCAGGCTGCTGGAGTGCAGTGGCAGGATCTCAGCTCACTGAAAGCTCCATCCCCAGGTTCACGCCATTCTCCTGCCTCAGCCTCCCGAGTATCTGGGACTACAGGCGCCCGCCACCACGCCCAGCTAATTTTTTGTATTTTTAGTAGAGTCGGGGTTTCACCGTGTTAGCCAGGATGGTCTCGATCTCCTGACCTCGTGATCCACCCCCCTCGGCCTCCCAAAGTGCTGGGATTACAGGCCTGAGCCACCACTCCCTGCCTTCTTTCTAGTTTTATTAATAGTTGTGAGAGTTGTGTTGATGTCTCCAATTATAATTGTGGATTTTCTATTTTTTCTTTCAGTTCCGTCAGTTTTTGCTTCACATATTTTACAGCTCTGGTGTTTTGGGCATAAACATTTCTGACTGCAATGTCTTCTTGATAGACTGACCCTTCTATTATTATAAAACGTCCTTATCTTTCTCTGGTAATTTTTTTTGTTTTGGCTCTGAAGTTTACCTTATCTGAGAGTAGTACACTCACTCCTGTATTCCTCTAATTAAGGAAAACATGTTGTGTCTTTTTCCATCCTTTTACTTTTAACCTGCCTATGTTGTTATATTTGTGTGGTTTTATTGTTGTTTTTGTTTGTTTTGTGTTTTTTTTGAGACAAAGTCTCATCTTGTCACCTAGGCTGGAGTGCAGCGGCACAATCTCTGCTCACGGCAACCTCTGTCTTCCAGGGTCAAGCGATTCTCCTGCCTCAGCCTCCTGAGTAGCTGGGACCACAGGTGCACACCACCATGCCTGGCTAATTTTTGTATTTTAGTAGAGACGGGGTTTCACCATGTAGGCCAGGCTGGTCTCGAACTCCTGACCTACCTCAAATTATCCACCTGGCTTAGCCTCCCAAAGTGCTGAGAGCCACTGAGCCTGGCCTATATTGTTATATTTGAACTGGGTTTTTTTTTGTTTTTGTTTTTGTTTTTTGTTTGTTTTTTTTTGTAGAGTGCTGGGTTTACAGGTGTAAGCCACCATGCCTGGCCTGAACTGGGTTTCTTAATTGAGGTATTTAGATCATTTGCATTTAGTGTAATTTTTTTTCTTAATTTTTATGTTTAATTATTATGGGTACACAACCGTTGTATATATTAGTGAGGTACATGTGATGTTAGTTACAGGCATACAATGTGCAATGACCAAATCAGAGTAATTGGGGCATCTACCACCTCAAGAATTTATCATTTCTTTGTATTAGGAATAATGTAATTATTGATATATGTATTAGCTTGGGGTGCCATAACAAAATAAAACTAGGTGGCTTAAACAACAGAAATATATTCTCTCACAGTTCTGGAGGTTGGAAGTCTGAGATCAAGGCGCCAGCATGGTCAGCTTCTGGTAAGGGCTCTTCCTGGCTTATAGAGAGAGTTGCCATCTTCTGGGGGCAGAGTGAGAGAGAAAGAGAGAGGAAGGCTGGGAGGGAGAAAGAGCAAGAGAGCATACCCTGGTTTCTCTTCCTATTGAATTAATCCTATTGAATCATGGCCCTACCCTTATGAATTCATTTAACCTGAATTACTTCTGTAAAAGGCCCTATCTCCAAATATAGTCCCATTGGTGGTTAGGGCTTCAACATGGGATTCTGTGGGACACAATCCAACCTGTAGTAACATGAAGGGCTTAATTGTTTTTCATTTATTTTGTTTGTTCTCTCCAGTTTTCATCTCTGTTTACTCTTTTCTGACTTTCTGTGGCTTACTTGGGCATTTTTTAGAACGCCAGTTTTATTTATCTACAGTGTTTTTGAGTGTATTGATGCATAACTTTTAAGTGGTTGCTTTAAGTATTACATATACATGTAACTTGTCACAGTCTGCTGGAGTCATCATTTACCATTTTGAGTAAATAATAAAAATCTTACCTTCCTAATTTATGTCCCATCCCTTTATCCTCCTCACTGAAAATACGATTGTCTTAAATGTTTCCTCTACATACATTTAGAACCACATCAGTGTTATAATTTTGGCTTCAACCATCAAACATACTTTAGAAAACTTAAGAGGAGAAGAAAAATTTATTGTATTTACCCATCTATTTGCTTACCTTGTTCTATCTTCTTCCTTGATGTTCCAAGGTTCCTATTTTATCATTTCCATTCTGTTTAGATAACTTCTTTTAGCCATTTTCATTATTTCTGGGCAGGTGTTCTCCCCCCGCCCCCATCTCCATTGACATCTTAGAGAGGGGGCCCCATTACTGGCTTGCAGAAATGAAATTCTTAGCTTCCTAATTGGTCTTCTTGGATACCACTGCAGAGTGATGTTGGAGCACCTTGTTACAGCTTCAAGAGGGTGAAAGTTTAGGTCTCCCACTTGGTCTTTCTGGTGTGAATGGCAGTAGAGTCACAGTTATTGCTATGGTATTTGCCTAGAACTGAACAGTTACTTTCTAAGGCTTGACAGGCTTGCCTGCCTCTGTCTTGGTCTTTTGGCTAGTGATATCAGGGCTTTTGTTGTAAGTGTTGTTGGGGCTTTTTCTGTTTGTTTGTTTGTTTGTGCCAGTTGGTCTTTCCAAATTGTCACTTTCTTCAGCTCCAAGCCCAGCATATATGTGGCAAAAAGAAAGCCCAGGGAACTCACTAGTATGTCATTCCTCAGATCCTGAGATTCTAGCTGTTCTGCCTTCTCATTTCCACCTTTTAGAGTCTTCTTATGTTTGTTTTATATATATATAATGTCCAGAGTTTTTAGTTGTACTTAGTGAGATGAATAGGAAAAAGTATGTCTACTCAATTTTTCCAGAAGTCTTTGCTGTCAACCTTTACTAAATTAGTAGGTTTCCTTTTATTCCTGGTTTTCTAAAAGTTTATTTTTTAAACATAAATGGTTTTTTACATTTAAAAAATAGTTTATCAGAATTGACTCATTTCATTGTATTTTCCTTCTTAATCTCCTAATATAGTGAATTATATTGAGAGATTTTTAAAATGTGAAACATCTTTGCATTCCTGGGATAAACCCTATTTGTTCATCCTATAGTTACACATTTACTGTTGGTGTTATTTAGTTAATATTTTACTTGGGTTGTTGTATTTACTTTTATAAAGCATGGACGTAAAACTTGCCTTTCTTGTATTTCCTTGTTTGTTTTTGTAATAAAAATTTCTCTAAACAATAACCTAGGCAGATTTTGTTCTTCATTCTGTTTCCTGGAATAATAAATAGAAATGTCTTTTCAAAGGGCAGCTTTTGTTTTTGTTCATCTATTTTATTGTTTTTAGTTCTCTATTTCATTTATGACTATCTTTACTATTTCCTTCCTCCTTTGGGTGTATTCTGTTCCTCTTTACCTAGCGTTTGAGTTGAACACTCAGCTTATTGATTTTGGTCTTTTTTTGTGTTTCCTAGTAAGTGTATTTAAAGGTAAAAAATTTCCTTCTAAGTTCTGCTTTAATCATATCTAACACATTTTGATATGCAGTGTTTTAATTTTTATTTAATTCTACATATTCTTTATATTTTTCTTTTAACTCACAGGTTACTTGTGACATTTAAAAACTTTTTATTTTGAAGTAATTTTAGAAGAGTAGTACAAAGAATTCTTACGTACACTTGTCCAAATTCAATGATTTGCAACATTTTGTCATATTTGCTTTCTTTTTCTCTCTGTCTCTGCTTCCCTCTCTGTTTTTTTCCTAAAAAACATTAATATTCCTAAGTCCATTTTAGGGACTTACTCTAAAATGGTTATGAAAAAACATTAGAGAGAAAAAATGGTTTACTCTAAAATGGTTAGGAAGTCTGGAGTTACATACACACATGCCCCTTTCCTGCTAAATATTTCAATGTATTTCCTAAGAACAAGGCTGTTCTCTTACATAAACACAGAAAAACAGTCATATTAAGAAAATTTAACTTGGATATAATATTAGCTAATCCACAGTACATATTCAAATTTTACCAGTTTTCCCAATAAAGAACCTTATAACTCCAGCCACTCCCAGTCTCTTGTCCTGCAATCCAGAATCAAGCATTTCAGTAAGTTTTCATGTCTCTTTGGTCATTTTTAATGTGAGAGAGTCTATCAGTTTCTTATTTATTCAGGTTTTATTAATTAGCTTGAACTTATATAATTTTATTATTTTGCCCTTCAAGAACTCTGCTTTTTTTTTTTTTTTCTTTTTGGTCTAGTTTATCTACCAGTTTTTGAGAGAGGGTTTGTAAAAATCATCAAATGTATTTTTAAAAAACTCAACTTCTAACTGTAGTTCTTTCACTTGTTGCTTTATAAATTGTGAGGCTGTATTGTTGAGTTTATATATATTTATGATTACTATATCTTCTTGTTTCTTTAAAAGTTATATGAACATCTTTTCTTTTGTCCTTTATGCACTTTATTTTTTTTATTTTTATTTTTTTTTGAGATGGAGTTTCGTTCTTATTGCCCAGGCTGGAGTGCAGTGGCACAGTCTTGGCTCACTGCAACCTCCATCTCCCAGGTTCAAGCGATTCTTCTGCCTCAGCCTCCCGAGTAGCTGGGATTACAGGTGCGTGCCACCATGACCGGCTAATCTTTTTGTATTTTTAGTAGAGATGGCGTTTCACCATGTTAGCCAGGCTGATCTCGAACTCCTGACCTCAGGTAATCCGTCCTCCTCAGCCTCCCGAAATGCTGGGATTACAGGCATGAACCACTGCACCTGGCCCAAAATAGAATTTAAGGTTAAAAATAAAGTGCAGGCTGGACGTCGTGGCTCACGCTTGTAATCTTAGCACTTTGGGAGGCTGAGGCAGGTGGATCACCTGAGGTCAGGAGTTCAAGACCAGCCTAACCAACATGATGAAACCCCAACTCTACTAAAAATACAAAAGTAGCCGAGCATGGTGGCACATGCCTGTAATCCCAGCTACTCGGGAGGCTGAGTAGGGAGAATCGGTTGAATCCAGGAGGCAGAGGCTGCAGTGTACCGGGATCGCACCATTGCACTCCAGCCTGGGCAACAAGAGTGAAACTCTGTCTCAAAAATAAATAAATAAATAAATAAATAAATAAATAAATAAAGTGCATAGGCCGGGCACGGTAGCTCATGCCTGTAATCCTAGCACTTTGGGAGGCTGAGGCGGGTATATCACCTGAGGTCAGAAGTTCAAGACCAGCCTGGCTAGCATGGTGAAACCCTGTTTCTACTAAAAATACAAAAAATTAGCTGGGCATGGTGGCACACCTGTAATCCCAGCTACTCGGGAGGCTGAGACAGGCGAATCACTTGAACCCAGGAGGCAGAGGTTGCAGTGAGCCGAGATTGTGCCATTGCACTCCAGCCTGGGAGACAGAGGAAGACTCTGTCCCCCTCCCAAAAAAAAATCAATTCTATTTTGTTACATATTGAGACTGTTGCCCAACTTTCTTTTGTGTCATATTTGCCACCAGGTAAATCTTTTTTCCCTGTTTTTAAATTTCAATCTTTACATATCTTTCTGCTTTAAGAGGATTTGCCATATGCATTCATATTAAAAACTTTCAATAAACTAGGTATTGAAGGAATATACCTCAAAAATAATAAGAGCCATATATGACAAACCCACAGCCAACATCTTGCTGAATGAGCAAAAGGTGGAAGCATTCCCCTTAAAAACCAGCACAAGACAAGGATGCCCTCTCTCACCACTCCTACTCAACATAGCGTTGGAAGTCCTGGCTGGGGCAATTGGGCAAAAGAAACAAATAAAGACGTCCAAATAGGAAGAGAGAAAGATAAACTATCCCTGTTTGTAGATGACATGATCCTATATCTAGAAAACCCCATTGTCTCAGCCCAAAAGCTTCTTAAGCTGATAAACAACTTCAGCAAAATATCAGAATACAAAATGAATGTGCAAAAATTACTAGTATTCCTATACACCAAACAACAGTCAAGCTGAGAGCCAAATCAGGAATGAACTCCCGTTCACAATTGTCACAAAAAAAATAAAATACCTAGGAATATAGCTAACTGGGGAGGTGAAAGATATCTACAAGGAGAACTACAAACCACCGTTCAAAGAAATCAGAGATGACACAAACAAATGGAAAAACATCTCATGCTCATGGATAAGAGGAATCAATATCATTAAAATGGCCATACTGCCCAAAACAATTTATAGATTCAATACTCTTCTTATTAAACTACCATTGAGATACTTCACAGAGCTAGAAAAACTATTATTATTATTATTTTTTTTTTGAGACGGAGTTTTTGCTCTTGTTGCCCAGGCTAGTGTGCAATGGTGCGATCTCGGCTTACCACAACCTCTGTCTCCCAGGTTCAAGCGATTCTCCTGCCTCAGTCTCCCGAGTAGCTGGGATATTACAGGCATGCGCCACCATGCCCAGCTAATTTTGTATTTTTAGTAGAGACATGGTTTCGCCATGTTGGCCAGGCTGGTCTCAAACTCCTGGCCTCAAGTGATTCCCCCTGCCTCGGCCTCCCAAAGTGGTGGGATTACAGGCCTGAGGCACCGTGCCCGGCCAGAGCTAGAAAAACTATTTAAAAATGCATGTGAAACAAAAAAGGGCCAGAATAGCCAAGGCAATCTGAAGCAAAAAGAACAACGTTAGCAGTATCACACTACCCAACTTCAAACTATACAGGGCTATAGTAACCAAAACAACATGGCACTGGTACAAGAACAGACACATAGACCAATGGAACAGAATAAAGAACACAGAAATAAAACTACACCTATGACTGTCTGATCTTCAACAAATCTGACAAAAACAAGCAATGGGGAAAGTATTTTCTATTCAATAAATGGTGCTGGGAAAACTGGGTAGCCATATGCAGAAGATTGAAACTGCATCCCTTCCTTACACCATCCACCTTAACTCAAGATGGATTAAAGACTTAAATATAAAACTCAAAATTATAAAAATCCTGGAAGACAACCTAGGCAATACCATTCAGGATATACTGGCAAAGATTTCATGACAAAGATGCCAAAAACAATTGCAACAAAAGCAAAACTGACCAACAGGATCTAGTTAAACTAAAGAGCTTCTGCACTAAAAAGGAAACTATCAACAGAGTGGACAGACAACCTACAGAATGGGAGAAAATTTTGCAAACTATGCATCCAACAAAGGTATAATATCCAGCATCTATAAGGACCTTAAATAAATTTACAAGAAAAAAAAACCATTAAAAAGTGGGCAAAGGACATGAACACTTTTCAGAAGAAGACATACATGCAGCCAACACGTATATGAAAAAAAGCTCAACATCACTGATCATTAGAGAAATGAAAGTCAAAACCACAATGAGATACCATCTCACATCAGTCAGAATGGCTACTATTACAAAGTCAAAAAATAACAGATGCTGGCTAGGTTATGGAGAAAAATGAACGTTTTTACACCGTTGGTGGGAGTGTAAATTAGTTCAACCATTGTGGAAGACAGTGTGGCAATTCCTCAAAGACCCAAAGACAGAAATACCATTTGACCCAGCAATCCCATTACTGGGAACATACACAAAGGAATATAAATCATTCTATTATAAAGACACATGAACACATATGTTCACTGTAGCACTATTCACAATATCAAAGACTTGGAATCAACCTAAATGCCCACTAATGATAGACTGGATAAAGAAAACGTGATACACATACACCATGGAATACTATGCAGATATAAATAAGAATGAGATCATGTCCTCTGCAGGGACATGGATGGAGCTGGAGGCCATTATCCTTGGCAAAATAATGTAGGAAGAGAAAATCAAATGCCAGATGTTTTGACTTATAAGTGGGAGGTAAATTGTGAAAACACATGGACACACAGAGGGGAACTGCACACATGGGCCTATTGGAGGGTGGAGGTGGGAGGAGGGAGAGGATCAGGAAAAATAACTAATGTATACTAGGCTTAATACCTGGGTAATGAAATAATCTGTACAACAAACCTCCCTGACACAAGTTTACCTATGAAACAAACCTGCACATTTACCCCTGAACTTAAAAGTTAAAAAAGAGTATTTGTTATAAATCACACATGATTTGGTTCCCTTTTTCCTCCATTATTAGAGCCTTTGTTCTTTTATTGGTAACTGCTGAAGTAAAGATTTACTTTTGCAACTCATTTCACATTCTGTTTTTATTGTACAATGTTTCTTCCCTTTTCTTGCTTTCCATTTGATAGACTGATTTTTTTCTGCTGTATTAAAAGTTATACATACTGATTCTGTTCTTATGGTGGTTGCCTTTAATTTAACACAGTGAGCATTTACCTTTTAAAATGTCTTAACTACCTTAATATTTATATCTTGCCTCCTAAGTTCTTTAGCATACTCTTATGTTCTTTTGATTTTCTACTTCCCTCCCTCTAATGCCAATTCTCCTACCAAGTAGATATTACACACACACACATTCATTTACCCTCTTTTAAAAATATGGTCCTGGATTTGTTGACAAATCACCCTTATATTTGTTGTTGTAAATTTCTTGATTTGATTCTCTTTTTGTGTACTTCCTCTAAGAGTGTTTTTTTTTTTTTTTTTTTCCACGTCCAAGAGTGTTTTAAATATGAGCCTTTGGATTCTTTGCATGATAATAAATTTGTTATGCCATCTCACTTGAATAGCAATTTTGATACATATAAAGTTCTAAACTCCAGTTTATTTTCCTTCACTACTATAAAAATATTATTTTATTTTATTCTTGCATTCATTGCTGTTGAAAAGTCTGACATCAATCTGATCTTACTCCTTTGTAAACTGTTCTTTTTTTTTTTTTTTTTTCTGATAGGGTATCACTCTGTCACCCACTGGAACCTCCACCTCCCGGGTTTGCCTCAGCCTCCCGAGTAGCTGGGACTACAGGCACACGCCACCAGGCGGGGCTAATTTTTGTATTTTTAGTAGACACAGGGTTTCACCATATTGGCCAGGCTGGTCTCGAACTCCTGTCCGCAAGTGATCCACCCGCCTCTACCTCCCAAAGTCCCAAAGTGCTGGGATTATAGGCGTGAGCCACTGTGCCCAGTTGATAAACTCTTCTTTCTAAGTTTTAAAAATATTTATTTGTCTCAATATAACGAGCATAGGTGTGGATTTTTCTGAAGCTCCTGTTAAGTATCCTTTGAACCCTTTTCTCTGAGGTCTTTCATAATTAAAAAAAAATTGTAAATTTATTAGTCATTATTTTCTCACGTATATATTTTTTTCCTCTCACTGTGAGTTCTCTTATGATTCAGATGTTGATACTTCTATTTCTAGCATACATTTTGCTGAACTTTCTTTTATATTTTTGATGTCTTTATTCTTTCCTACTGTCTTCTGGGATTATCTTTCATCTTATCTTTTACCTCACAAATTATTCTTCAGCTATATTTATCCTGGTACTTGTCTAATCTATAGTATTTACAACTTCTACTGTTATAGTTTTAACATCTAATATTCTGTCTTTGTTTTTGTGAGTTACTGGTTTTGCTTTATGTTGCTGGTATCTTCTATTATCTTAAGTATATTTGCCATTTTGTTTCAAGTTCTTGGTTCATCTTCTTCACAATTCTGCATTAGATAGTATATGGTGTTAATTTGTTGTCTATGTTTTGCAATTTTTTTGTTCCTTAGCCATATCATTATGTTGATCTGTGAGCTCACGTCTCCAGGAGGGCACCAGCTAGTCTGTGGGGTAATGTGTAATGGGGAAGAGATAAAGTCAAATACTGGTCTGTGTCCCTCCAGATCCAGCCCTGGTAGAGAGCCCAGAAACACTGTGGATCTCCCCATTTGCCACTACTCTTTCAGGCAACTCCTAGGAAAAGCACAGTTGGGAGTAGGCAGGTGCTCCACGTTGGGATTCACCAGCGCTGGGAGTTGGGGCAGTGGTCGTGAGTAGTGGAGAAGAGAATACCCAAAAGCTCACCCCTAGTTTCATCTGTTCCCTACTGATTTACCTTGAAGATACAAGTAGCCTGGCCTGTTGCAGCCTGTTTATGTATGAAGGGGAGGCAACAATTGTCCCAAGCCGATTGGGAAGGACATAGTGCAGAAATTAAAAAGTCTTCCTGCAGCCTGTTCTCCCACTGTGGCTTATCTCCCAGGATGCAGCCCTGCCCATTCTCTACGCACACCAGCTCAAGACAGCAGTTCTGTCTCTCCTGGCAAATATAAAAACACTTTATACTTATTTCTGGTGTTGCCAGCTCCCCAGATCCTTGCTTCCTTTTGCTTCTCTACCTTTACAAAAATTAATTTTGGGTGAGGGAGCTGGAAGCCTGAACCTACCTATTTGCCATTTCACAGGAACTGGAAGCTTTATTTCTGGTCCTCAAAGGGCAAAGTGACAAGCGACATTCAATAGCTCATGGCCTGAGGCTTCCTGATGCCCAGGGTCTTACACTCGTAGCCAGGACTGATGTGTCGTCATAGCCATTCCAAGGGTCTCTTTTCAAGGTGTCCAATGGGGTGGCAAGCAGGGATTCTGATTCATCTATGCTCCAGGGACAGGAGAGAAAGGAACTTGGAGATTCATGAGGTAGGCATGAAGCTTGGATAGTGGGAGGGGAGGAAGATAGATGTGTGTTGAGCATTTATTGTGCACTCTATTGAGCCCTTGCTGGGTACACCTTGAGGGCTAATTTACTTCACAGAATCCAGGAGGAATGCCTTCAGGGGTACTTTCAGGAAAGTATCCATAGATTTTTAGGAGGCTGTGTGGTGAAGCTATGTTCATACTACTAGATAATATTTACCTTATAGGCTTCATGATGTATAAATCTGCCTTTCCTCTAATTTATAATAGAAGCATCCATATGATTTATGAATTCTTTCAGATTAGCTCTTTTAGGCCATCCTAGCTAAATACTGAGGGTGTTTAGTATCCTCAGGGTGCTTTGCTGCAGCTGTCCCCAGCTGGTCTCGTTTTTTCCTATTTTCTAATTGGTCTCTACCCCCATTCCTCCCTCAGTCTGTCTTGACAGATGGCAGATGCATCTTCCTATGTGGCAGTGCTTGGCACTAGGTTTGCAGCAAATGCTTGTTGGATTGATTTTCTTTAGATTTGAAGGTTAAAAAGAGAGTTTTTCTCTTTATAGGCACCCATCCCAATTTCTTCTCCTTGCAATGCTCAGTAGTTGCTACCAGGAAGGGCTGTCACCAGGTTGTGTCCTAACTGGAATGAGCTCTTGAGTGGGAGTAAGCAATGTTTGATGGTAGGTCAAAGGGTTAACAACAGTTTTAAGCTCTTTTTTCCCATGGGAAGATGAACTCCAGTTTACCTTATACTTACTGTTTCTTTGAAATGTACTGTTTGGATAAATGTGAAATGTCAGCTGTATTTTAAAAAATCACATTTATTTATTTATTTATTTATTTATAAGTGTGGAAATGACCCCTGGTTGGTGAACTACATCTATGCTGGGCAGACTGCGGGCAGGCATTTAGACTTGGTGGACCTATATGACCAGACCCGTATGAAAACCTGTTGGGAAATGTAGGCCCTGGACTCTGTTATGGTGTGTTTCTTGAATCCGAATATGCCTGTTTTCTTGGAATCCTCACTCATGGGTTGGTATAAGATGTGGTTCCTGTCATGTGAGAGATTCTTCCATCCTAGAATGGCTCCCCCGTGCCTCTCCCCTACTCCTGTGGTCTTGTCTACTATGACCATGCATATTCCCATGAGATGAGAGGGTTAAGAATCAGCATCTAGAATACATAAAGACTCCTGATGAAGATGTCTAATGCTGTCAGGCTGACAAGCTATGTTTCCATATCCAATATTCCTCTACAAAGCTAAATAAATAAGTTGCCGTATAACAGCCCACCAAGTCTTTTGAGTGTGTATGTTAATCTGAACCCAAGGCACAACTAATTTGTATGAAGTAAGCATTGTAGGATTTTTTTTCCTACAAAAATAACTTTCTCTTCATTGCTGAAATTCTGTTGTAAATAAACAAGTGGTAAGCAGAGGATCATAAAATGTTCCTTGCTCAAAGCCTTAAAATTCCCAAAACTCCAGCATTCAAATTTCTCTGGACAGAATTGGAACCAAAATGAAGTCACAGTTAATAATAAAACATTACATTTGTGTAATGCTTTGAATATTCTAAAGATTTTATTCTACTTTTCCTGTCTTCTCTTCTCTGACTGACTCAATATGGCTTCTCTTGTACCTGCAAAAAGATGACTTCAAAATCCATTTCTCCAATTTTGAACCCACTACAGTACTTGATATCCATGTATGCCACTATTTAGAAGCAAAGGAAATAAAATCATTGAAATGACACTTTGAAATAGACTTGGTAGGACCTGAAAACTCACTGAATCCAATCTTCTCACTCAGACAGTTGAGTGGACAGTGGTTTAATCCACTGAAAGAGGAAATACAAGGGAAGGACATGTTTGAGAGGTGTTTAGAGAATGATTGATAAAAGGTCTTAGAAGAGGTGAGTGTCCACTATTTTTGCACTGGAGTATCTACCCCTGCTCCAAGGTCCCTCATGTTCACATCTGTTGGGGATGATGGGAGGGCCAGAAGACAGCCCACCTCATGGAAATAAGAGTAGCCAGGCTACATGGAGTAGGTCGGGAAGCAAGGAGGCTCAGGACCAAGGAAAGGTTTATCGAATAAATATTATGAAATGCTCAGCTGGTATATGAAGAGCAGTGAGGGTTGGGGGTATCAGGATCACAATCCATATTCAGTTCCAAGATGTCTGGACCATTTCACAGTTGGGATATGGTCTTCCTCTAAGGAAGAACATGGGCTGTTTTTTTCATACTTCTGATCACAGTTGGCAAGAAGGAATGGTTGGAGTAATAGACTAGTAGTTGGGTTCTTAGATTTGTTTCTTTAATCAAATTCTCATGGCTAATGGCAAGATAGAATATGCTTATACAGGACATTTATCTGAAAGTTGTGTTACAGACAACATCCATTAGAATCATCCAGGGTACTTCATGAAAATGCAGATTTCTGAATAACCTCTAGAACTGCTGAATTAGGATCCCTGGGCTGGAGCCTGAGAATTTGCATTTAAGCCTACTTCTTAGCAATTCTTATGTACACTAAAATTTAAGAAGCATATGTAAGCTGGTTAATTATGAATTATTCTTATCAATGAAAAATTATACCAAATGAGAATTAAATGGGACAACTGGATATTTCATTGCTTTGAAGAAGCTGGTGACAACTTCATCTAAGACTTCCCAGTTGCTCTTTCAGTATTACTTCTAAATTTACTATTGCAGTTTATTTTTCATTAAATCTTCCTTCTACTGGTACAAAGAAAAATATCTTTGTCTTCCCTTTTAATTTTATTTATTTATTTTGTTTGAGACAGAGCCTCACTCTGTTTCCCAGGCTGGAGTGCAGTGGTGTGATCTCGGCTCACTGCAACCTCCACCTCCTGGGTTCAAGCGATTCTCCTGCCTCAGCCTCTCGAGTAGCTGGGACTACAGGCGCCTGCCACTATGCCTGGCTAATTTTTGTATTTTTAGTAGAGACGGGGTTTCACCATATTGGCCAGGCTGGTCCCAAACTCCTGACCTTGTGATCTGCCAGCCTCGGTCTCCCAAAGTGCTGGGATTACAGGCGTGAGCCACTGCGCCCGGCCAATTTTATTTTTTAATTAAACATTTCTGAGACATTTTGGCTTTAATGAAAATGTTTCCAAAGCATGTTCAAAGCGTAGTCCTTAGTTTGATGGTCTGAAGAATGGAATCATTTATTAGTGGAGTTCAATAAATATTTATTCGCATTTATACATACAAGGTCCTTTGGACAGAGTAAGAGACACAAGACACCACCACTCCCTGAAAGAGCACACAAAACAATTACATAGATAAGACCAACACACACATTTGAACTGTGGTATTGAAACTTAAAAAAAAAAAAAGCCTAAAGCCCTCTCAGTAAAAAAGAGTTGAGTACTTATCGACACTTACATGTTTATTTATACATTATCCCATGTACTAGCATATGGCTTGACTATATACACCAGAACTCACACTGTAACAAATAGAAAGTTTATAAGTTACCAAAATAAATAGAAACTTTAACACTTCCTTCCTGTATCCTCAAGGATCATTTGCACATTCCCTGTAGTGTGCACATTCCATTTTGTAAACCAGTGTTTTTAGAAAACAATGCCTACCTATATATAACCAAGCACTAAGTTCTGTGTTACAGATTAAAAAAACCATTTTAGAGTAAAGAGAAATAAGAGCAAACCCAGACTACTAGAACTGGTAAATGAAAGGAATAGCATTCAGAAAACAATGTATATTCAATAAATAGATAAAATAATAGGAAACATTTGCTTTGGGTTCATGTCAAAGCCTATTAAGAAGGAGACATAGACATAGGACAAAATGCATATGTAGAGGAAAAAGAAACAAAATATAGAAATGTAAACATTACTTCCTTCTGGCAAAATGTCTTCTAGCCTTTGGTGAGGTATTTCCAGACATTTATAGGCTACACTCTGCCAATGATTTTATTTAAGGATGACACAGTGAATGCTTATTTTTATGTCTACAAAAAAAGTTACAAAATTTAGTTATTCACACATTCATTCATCAGTGCCTCTTGATATTGGAAATGTTTCTCCCTATTGCTTTATGGATTGACTGTATTCCTGAAAAGCTTGAATTATATTTTAAAAACTCAGCCATAAGCTTTGTGGGAGACAGACTGTACCTGTCAAGTTCCCTCTTGTATCTCTGGCACCTCGCATAGCATCAGGCTCATAGTGAATATTCAAGAATGTCCTCTCGATGGTTGCAATATATTTGAAAATCTCAGCATTGAAAGGAATTCTGTGACAAACCACTTAAAAAAGTTAAAATGAATGAACATTCAGTAAATTCTGATTTTGATGAAACACAGTTGTTCATAAGTGGACAAAACTATCCTTTAAGTAAACCCATGGGGACATTTGAGTTGAATAATTTATAGAGACTTATAATCTGAAAGAGAGCGCAGACATAGTCTCATATTCTTTTACCACACAGATAAGGAAAAGCTGGAGCTCACAGAAACTTGAAAGAGCTTGCCCAAGGCCACATCACTATTTAGGAGCAGTTATTTTAATATGTAACAAATTACGTGTGATTAATCTTTTTCAGAAGGGGTTACTGCAGGTTTTCTTAAAGTAACAGTATTAGATAATATTTTATAAAACTTAAAAACTCTATAACATAATGCTTCATAATGTTTAAGAATTCATAAACATTTAGTAAAAATATTAAAAACATGCATAGCAATGATAAAACTGACTTCACATTGGTGGTTATATCTGGGGGCAGTGAAAAGAAAATGGAAGGATTCAGAGGTATCAATTTTATTGTAGTCACTGATTTATTAAAAAAACCATTGAAACAAATAGGACAAAATACTAAGATTTAATAAAGCTGGGTGTTTGGGTAATGGGGGTTTATTTGCCTTTCTGTGTGTTTAAAATACTTAACAATACAAATATTAAAACTAAAATTAGTAAGAGATTTGTAAACTAATAGGTTTTTTAAAATACCAAGCAGAGGAACAAAGTCAACTGTTATTTATCCAAAGAACCATTAACAGAAATAGGCTATATATATATATATATATATATATATATATATATATATATATGCTAAAGGGTTTAGTCAACAAAGTAGATATTCTATAATTAGCAGCATGAAGGAGTTAGAGTACATCTTATGTTGTTATAATTAATAGTAAATATTTGTAACATACAGAAAATACATGGAACAACAGTCATGCAACCACTACTCAAATACAGTTGTGCTGTTTGCACCTGACTTCAGGTCCACCTTTCTTTTCCCTCACCAGATGCAATTACTAGTTTAAAGTTAGTGCATATCATTTGTTATTATGTTGTGAGAATTGTCCTTGTGAAATATGGACATTTAGTTTATTTTAATGGTTGCACAATTTATTGTAGAAAGGCAACACAATTTTATTTACTTTTTTATGCACTGATGGGCATCCCCTGACTTTCCACCAATTATAAGCAAACCTGCAATGAACATCCTTATGCATACTTCTTTGTTTTTGTATTTGAGAATGTCTTCAGGTCTCTAGGGCATATAAACATAGAATTGCTTGTCTGTAGGATTCTTGTCTCTTTAAATTTGTACAACACTGCATATGTGAAATAAGTAGTTGAAATAAGTGGGAAAACTAACCCTTCCACCAAGATTCTATGCAAATTCCCATTTCTTCACATTTCTGCTTCAGCACGTGGTATTGTTAGGCTATCTACCTTGAGATAATAAAGTTATTCTACATTTCCCCCCCAAAGCTTTAAACCTTTACCTTTTCACATTTAGCCTTTTATTTCATTTAAAATTTATTTTTGTAATGGTGTGAGGTAGAGATCTGGTTTCATTTATTCCCCATGGTGATAGCCTATGTTCCTGCAATATTAACTGACTTATCCAACAGTTCTCAAAATGTGATCAGAGGATTCCTGGGGATGTTGGAAGGGAGAGATCCCTTGGATCCTTTTAGAGGGTCAACAAGGTCAAAAATATTCATAAAATTAAGATGTTATTTGCCTTTTTTTTACTCTCACTCTCATAAGTGTACAGAAGGGTTCGCCAAAGACAACAATGGCATGTGATGAATAGTGATGACTATTTCTCTGATACCTAACAGATTGTGTGCCTGTGTATTGTATTTTCTAGAGTTTTCAAAGGTAGTGAGTTTACGGTATAAGTATGTAGTTTTCAGAAATTATTTCTTTTCTACCATGCTCTTACCAGCTATCTTCAGTTATACCTGTTATAATCTCTGTAATCTCATTATCTTCCAAGAAATCATTTTTAAATCCTAAAGTTTTTCCTTTTACACAGAAACATAACAAAAATTATGTTTACTTTGTTGTTTTGCAATAATATATTTTTCAAAAATGTTTTTAATTAAAAAATTTTATCTGAATAGGGTGGATGGTTGGCTTTAAAAAGGGAGAAGAGAAAACACATTTTCTGGTGTCTAGATTGCCTATGTCTAGAGATGCTGAAAAGGATGACATTGACATATCAGCAAGTTATCTGATTCCTCATAAAAAGGAGAAATCTATTCCAAAGAAACTGAGCACAACTATACACAACAAAAATATGTTGAAAGTGATCTTTTGTTCAGCTTTATAGATGTTAATAATTTATCATATTGTGTCTTGTGCAGTAAAACATTTTCAAACACTTATATGGTTCCAACAAAGTTGCAGTATCATTTTGGGACCAATCATTCAGAATTTATTAAAAAAAGGAATTAAATAACCGAAATGTAGATGTAATACACTCTTTAAAAGCTTCTTACAGGATAAGCCATCATATTGTATTGGCTAGAGGAGCACACACAATCACAGAGAGACTAATAAAGGCTTGAACAGTTGACATTGCTGAATACCTGCTGGATGAAAAATCACCACAAGAATGCATAGTGCTGGCATTTTCCAATGATGCAATAACTTGTCAAATTAAAGATTTAACTGCAAACATAAAGACTGAGTTAATATATCATCTAAAGAATTGTACCTTAGCCTTACAAAGGGACTGATCTACAGATGGCTATACATCCTGTTTTGCTTTCATTCATCAGGTATCAGCATCAATTGACCATTGATGATCTTCTTTTATGTGAATTCTGGGCAACAGGGGTTCTGAAACATTAAAAGTGTTATATGACTTTTTTGAATCTGGTGGTTTATCCTCAACAACTGTGTTAACTGTGTTAACATTTGCACTGATGGTGCAAAAATGGTGGATTTTATCCAATGGTGGGTAAAATGACTGGTGTCTTAGCACGAATTAAGGCAATGGCACCAAATTTTATTAGTAGTCATTGTATTCTTCACCACCACACATTCGTAGTAAAAAAAAAACAGTTTTACTAAAATAATGTCCTTGATGAAGTTGTAAAAATTATTTTCTACTAAATCTCAACCCTTAAGCACATTTAAAAAAATTCTTTGTGACACAATGTGATGTACCCATAAAACACTTCTACTGCATGCTGAAATATAGTTGTCTTTTGGAAAAACACTTGTTTGAGTTGCAAGCTGAATTAGCCACTTTTTCTTTTCTTTCATGGAAACACCATCTTTTCACTTGGAAAAAAAAAGTGACAGAAAATTGATTATTCAGACTTGGGAATTTGGCAGACATTTTCTTGAAAATAAACAGTGATACTATCACTTTAGGGAAAACAACTAGTTGTATTTGTTGCCAGTGCTAAAATTTAAGCTTTTAAAAGTAGAAGTTGGAATTTTGAAAAGCTTGTATCTGCTACTGTGGGATACTTAGAATTTTTTCTGATATCAGCAGCAACATTAATGAATATAATATTTTTTTGAGACAGGGTCTTGCTCTGTTGTTAAGGCTGGATTGCAGTGGCATGAACAGGGCTCACTGAATGCAGCTCTCAACCTTATGGGCTCAAGTGATCCTCCTGCCTCAGCTTTCCAAGTAGCTGAGACCACAGATGTGCACTCCACTCTTGGCAAATTTAAAAAAATTTTGTAGAGATGGGGTCTTGCCATGTTGCCCAGGCTGGTCTTGAACTCCTGGGCTCAGACAGTACTCCTGCCTTGGTCTCCCAATGTGCTGGGATTACAGGCATAAGCCACTGCAGCCAGTTTGAGTTTTTGATATTGCATGAAATGTTTGAACATTTCGAATACCTCCATAATTCAGTAAACAGATATTTCCTAATGACCATATAATGTTACAGAATCTTACATGAGTAAAAATAATTTCAAAATGCGGATAGGCCAATAGATTTCAATGACTTCCTGTTGTTTATCCCCTGAACCAGAAGATTTACACTCACCCTAGATTCTTACCTTTCCCTCAACCCCTTCATTCTATTACTCAGTACTCAGTGTAAATTCCACCTCCCAGACAGCAGACAGCTCTTAAGTGTATGCTTTCCTGTTCATTACTATTTCTAATGCCCTCATTCAGAACTCTGGCAACTTACTTTATGATGTCAAATCTCTTACGTAGCATAAGAGGCCACTGCCCACCTCTCTTCTCTAGCTTCCCCCATTTCACTGTATTGTCTAGTAAGCTGATCTTATTATAGCTTTTTTTTTTTTTTTTAGACAGAGTCTCTCTGTCGCTCAGGCTGGAGTGCAGTGGTGTGATCTCTGCTCACTGTAATCTCCACCTCCCACCTTGAGCACTCCTCTCGCCTCAGCCTCCCAGGTAGCCGGGACCACAGGCGCACACCACTGAACAGGGATAATTTTTTTTGTTTTTGTAGAGACAGTGTTTTGCCATGTTGCCCAGGCTGGTCTCGAACTCCTGGGCTCAAGTGATCCACCTGCTTCAGCCTCCCAAAGTGCTGGGATTACAGCCACTGTGCCCAGCCTATTATAGCTCTTTATAAAACAAAAACAACAAAAAAACCGAACATATTGATTCATGACTCCCTACCTTTGCATTCACATGATTCCTTTGCCTGGAATGTCCCCCTTCTTCTACCTGCTTGGGAATTCCTAGCTATATCTACTAAAATTCTATTCAGATGTCTTTTTCCAGGAAGCTTTTCTTAACCTAACTCACGCCATTAAGTTATTCGCTTTATTTTTCTAGGTTATCTTCTATTTGTTTCTACTGTTGTACTCATCATTCTGTAAGGTATTGGGGCTCTGTAGAATTTCTGTTACAAAATTACTTTTTGGTTTGATAATATTTACCTACATTGAGCAATCCCATAAGAAACAGGCCTGTGAAACTCTCTATTGGGTTTCCTAAAACAATATTGTTGAGAGATTATTTAATTACCTAGCTTTCTTTTTATAGGGACTTGCCAGAGAAATATATTTCTGGTCTTATCATATTAGTTACTCTTCAGATTTGTTTTAGAAAATAGTCACCATTAACACCTTTTAGAATTGGTTGGTGGAAAGTTTCCAATCAAAATCGTGGTCCACCTCTAGCAAGCTGTAAAATTTTATGATCTCCAATTAGCCTCAGTTTAAACTCTAGTCAGGCATTTAGCTTCACAAAAACTGAAGTCAGGGATAGTCAGTTTTCCCATATTAGTAGAGAGCTGGGAAGTGCTGATGTGCACAACCTGCAGCCTGAAATAGTTGCTTTTTCTAAATAACAGTAAAACTGTTGCTCTCTGAGGATGGATAGGTGGATGCTATTTGTTGTTTGCAAAGCTTAGGGAACCCTGTGGTTGAGATTTTTTCCAATACATGCATTTTTTTTCCCTTTGCAAAGGGACTTTGGATAATTGTTAATTTTCCCAAGAATATAATTATAATTCTTTTATTGTTTAAATAGAGTTAATAGTTTATCTACAGTTTCACTTTCTGCAGTTTCAGTTATCCATGGCTTGAAAATATTAAGATATTTTGAGAGAAAGAGGAAGAAAAAGAGGTGTCAGTCACATAACTTTTATTACAGCACATCGTTACGTTTCTATTTCATTATTAGTTATTGTTCATATCTTACTCTGCCTAACTTATAAACTTTAACATGCATATGTATGGGAAAAAAAACATAGTATATATAAGGTTTGGTACTATCTGCAGTTTCAGGCATCCACTAAGGATATCAGAACATATTCTCTGCATATTTAGGAGCAATTACCGTATGATATTTTTTTCTTTCTGTGTAAACACATGGTGTCATAGTCCATTTTGTGCTACTGTAACAGAATATCACAGACTAATAACAAATAACAGAAATTTATTGGCTTATAGTTCTGTAGGCTGAGAAGTCCAAAATCAAGATGCTGGCATCTGGGAAGGGCTTTTTTGTTGCATCATCACACAGAGGAAGGTGGAAGGGTGACAGAGAGAGCAAGAAGGGGCTGAACTTACCCTTTTATAACATCACCAATCCCACCCTAATCACCTCTTAAATATTCCACCTATTAATACTGTTATCATGGCAATTACATTTCAACATGAGTTTTGCAGGGGAGAAACATTCAAATCATAGCACATGGGTTAGGTGAGAAATGAAGAGTGAGGTATACAAGAGCATCCAGAACCATACTATATACATTCCAGCTGTTTTGGTGTAGAAGCAGCACAAATGTAGAAGCTGCATTGTTTCTTGATAAAAGGGTCCTGGAAAGATGACCAGCTATACAGTTTCCACTAGAGGAAATGCAGATTGGCTTGTACGACTTTAGAGTATGAAATATAAAGATCTGGAGTCTGTTCCATGTTTTTTCAGGACTGGTGTGACTATATTATGGATAACGAAGGAAAGGAGCCTCCTTTGAAAGAAGCATCTAAATTAGGGATGGGCTCCTCATTTGGAGGATGTTAGAAACTACGAATCAATGTCTCTCATGTTCAATGGAGCTCCCATTTTTATCGGTTTCATGAGACTATTATTAATTTATTTGAATCCAAGATGAGTCTCAAATATACCCAGAAGAAAAAAAATTAAGAAATGAAACCAAGACTCCTAATGCTTTGAATGTTCGTAACATTCGAGAAAAATTTGAGCCTGGGCTATATAATCAAAGTCTAGGATTTGTGAACCTAACAGGGTTCCACTGTCACCTGTTTTCAAGAGAGTGCTGAGAAAAATTCCAATCTATACCTTAAACAATTAGGTTAAATGATTTAAAGAAATTAGCCTTCAGAGGACTGAATTTTTAATGATTTTTCTACTTGGAAAATGTGACTTCTAAATAAAAAAAGTGCTTGCTTATTATAAAACCTTGGTTCAAAGGTAAATACTATGTTCTGACAAGTGTAAAATAAGTACAAGCACATGTGAAAATAACTGTTAACAGCAAATGCTTAAGAAGTGTTCTTGTTTTCTAAAATAAACATTTCCTGTTCCTAAAGTTTTTGGATCAGAAAATGGAAAAATATAACTCTAGTTAATGGGGATATGCAATTTGACTGTAGACCAATAATTAATTGTCATAAAGACTTTAAAAATCCTTCTAGATTAATAATGTGTAGAGGAGTCTTAGAGGATTACTCAGTAAAATAAATTCAAGGTAACAATATTAATCTAAGTTTCTTTAATATTCTTGATCTGGGTAAACATTTTCATAAATTAATTTTGTGAATTTTGAGTTTAAAATATGTCCTGCTCTAATTTCACCATGTGTAAAATAAAAAGGCAATCATAGTATTTTAGTCCATATAAAACCATGCCTCCATTTATAAAAACAGACTTTTTTTGGACAGTTTAACAGTTACAGAAAAACTGAACAGGAATTACAGAGAGTTCCTGTATGTCCCCTCAAGCCCTCTTCCCTCCAGTTTCCACTATTAGTAACATCTTGCATTAGTGTGGTACATTTGTTAAAATTGGTGAGCCAATATTGATACATTATTAAGTCCATAGTTTACATTAGGGTTCACTCTTTGTGCAGTTTTATTGGTTGTTATATTTTATTGGTTTTGACAAAGGTATGACATGTATCCACCATTACAGTATCATTCAGAATAGTTTCACTGCCTTAAAAATCCTCTGTGCTCCACCTATTCATCCAACCCTTCCCATGGACCACTGGTAACCACTACCTTTTCACTGTCTCCATGGTTTTGCCTTTTCCAGATTACCATATAGTTGGACTCATACAATATGTAATCCTTTCAGATTGGCTTTTCCTTAGCAATATGCATTTAAGGTTCCTCCATTATCCAGAGATGGTTTTAGTTGTCACAACTTGGGTAGAGAGATCAGGGGTCAATGCTACTGGCATCTAGTGGGTGGTAGAGACTGAGGTAGCTCATGAGCATCCTACAATGCCCAGGACAGCCCCCTACAAAAAAGAATTATTCAGCCCCAAATGCCAACCATGCTCGAGGTTGAGTAACCTTGTGTTAAGAGTGACATGTGGCATGAGAAATGGGGCGGTTTTGGCTCATGTTGTGATATTCTAGATTCAGGTATTTCCCTGAGCAGAGAGGCTGAAATGCTGAAAATTTTTCATTTGATGACCTTGATGCTTCCTTTCCTGACCATCGTAAAGAACAAATGGCTCCTTTGCTTTGGCAAGAAATACTGAAGGTGGTGGCTTTTTTCTGTTTGTTTTGAAATGAAGTCTTGCTATGTTGCTCAAGCCAGTCTTGAATTCCTGAACTTCTGGTCTCAAGTGATCCTCCTGACTCAGCCTCCAGAGTAGCTGGGACTACAGGCACATGTTACTGCACCAGCCTTCAACGTGATTTTTTTTATTTCATTCAGGTGACAAACTCATGCTGAGGTTCCCAATTTTTGTCTCAGAGCTAGGATATTCTAAATTTGTAAAAAAAAAAAAAAAAAAAAAAAAAGTTAAGAAATATTAACTTTCTATGAAACACTCTAAATACTAACAAAGAGCTTGGTGAGTTCTCCCACTTACCTGTGTCCCATCTGTGCTTCAGTTGCAAATATATATATATATATACACAGAGAGAGAGAGAGAGTCTTATTCTGTCACCCAGGCTCCAGCGATCCTCCCTCCTTGGCCTCCCAAAGCACTGGGATTATAGGGATGAGCCACTGCCCCCAGCTCAGTTGCTTATTTTGCATTATTTCAAGGCAGTGGAGGCAAAACGCTCAAAATTAATTTCTCACAGATCAACATCACATCTTGGAGTAAAACAAACACATATTGAAGGTATTTTAATGTATGTTTTCTTGAACTTCTTCTAACTAATAGGGGAAATATTTTCATTAACTTTTACCAAAGATTTCTGGATAGTGTAAATATATTTTTCTATTTGGGTAACAGTTTATAGTATGCTGTTATTTCTCTGTTCATTTATTTATTTTTATCATATACCTCCTAGAGTAAGATTTAATTTGATGGAAATGTTTTGTGGATTCTGCTGTAATTAATGCACATAATAGCAGTCAGTAATAGAATTTCTGTAAACCTATATTTATTAATTATCTAATACCTTCTCTTCATTTTGCTGTTGATTTCCACTAAGTAGATTAAATTGTGTTCTTAAAAACAGAAATTCATTTGTGTATGGATACAAAACAGAATGTTCCCAAATGCAATCTTGGATGTGATGCTCTAAACTTTAGAAATCCAGCTTCATTTATTTTGGATTAATTTCTCCCGCTTGGAGGCTGACACACTGTTTTACATCTATCAAATGCATGATTATAAAATTAACAATTTTGTACAATAATGAAATTAAACACACACACACATGAACTGTAAACTATACAGCACCATCTCTGTGTCATAGTTTTAAAAGGCACTTCCAGATGACATAAAAAATGAAGAGATATTTTTTAAGAACCTATTGATTTTTGATCTCCAATTTTGTGTGTGGGGGGTTGTTTTTCTTTAACCCTAGTTTTATCTAATTTGAGATTCATGAACAAGGTATCTCTAAGGGAAAGAGCAGCAGGTATAATTATTAGTTATTTTATAAGACTTTGTGAAGTCTTTGGTATAGTTCTAAAAACAAAGTGAAAGAACCTAATGTATGTATAAAAATAGTTTTGCAAGTCAATTGGTTTCTAATTCTTTGCTTTCAACAAAATTGAAGAAGAACCTTATACTTGAGTTGTCAGCTGACAGATTATTAAAAATATTATTTAATAATAGCCCATTATGTGAGTTTTGCATACGACTAAGAAGAAATTTTAAAAATTGGGTGAAGTTGCCTCAACAAGTCTTTATTTTCTCATTCATTTATATGATCAAGATTCCTTAGTTCTTTCATGTTAAAATTTTTTAATTGAAATAATATACAGCCCAGATTCATTAACAATAAGTAACATTTGTCAACATGAAATTGGGAAAATAAAGTCCCTATCCATCTCATTAAGAGATGCATTTCTAGTTAAATTTTACCATTACAAACTTACACTTTTATTTACCAAAATGTGTATTACAGATTGAGCATCCCTCATCAGAAAATCTGAAATGCTCCAAAATCTGAAACTTTTTGAGCACCAATATGATGCCACATGTAAGTACTGTACTTAACACAACTTCGTTTCACATATAAAATTATTTTAAATATGGTATAAAATTACCTTCAGGCTATGTGCATAATGTATATAAGAAACATAAGTGAACTTCATGCTTAGACTTGGGTCCCGGCCTCAAGATATCTCATTATGTATATACAAATATTTTAAAATCCAAGATAATCTGAAATCCAACACACTTTTGGTCCCAAGCATTTCAAATAAGGCATATCCAATCTGTACTGACATTATTTTGATCTCTAACAGTTGGTAATCCTATCTTAATCCATATAACTTTTTTTTGAGACAGCATCTTACTCTGTCATCCAGGGTAGAGTGCATGCAGTGGCACGATCATGGCTCACTGCAGCCTCGACCTCCTGGGCTCAAGTGATCCTCCTACCTCAGCCTCCCAAGTAGCTGAGACTACAGGCAGGAGCCACCATGTCCAGTAATTTTTTTTTTTTTTTTTTTTTTGTAGAGATGAGGTTTCCCTATGTGCCTAGGCTGGTCTTGAACTCCTGGGCTCAAGTAATCCTCCTGCTTCAGCCTCACAAAGTGCTGGGAGTACAGGTGTGGGCCACTGCACCCAGCCCATATAACTTTTACACTTACAACAAGAAATTAAAAATTCAATGTAAGAACATATTTTGTTGCAAAGAAGCAGAATAGGTGGCTCAATAAAAGATTTCCAAGAACAAAGAAAAAAATTACATTAGGATGTAACCAGGGTTGAGAACTCAAAAAAAAAAAAAAAAAGAAAAAGAAAAATTCTACATGGGGGGTAGAATAAAAATATGAATTCAAAGTGGGAAAAAAGAGCAATGTAAAATTTCCAACCATTAAGAAAGAGGTTGTTTGTATATTTTTTAAATTAATGATAATGGGTGTCAAAACATTATGATATTTAGATTGAATTGAACATATGAGCGATTAACAGTTTTATTTTAAAGTGTTAATATGGAGAATATGTTGGAAATTATATATTTTTTGCAACTATCTGGACACATGTTGACAATTTTAGGTCTGTCTAAGTCTATGGGAGGAGGCATATGACATTTCACAATCCTTGTAGGAGAGATGTGAAGGGAAGACCCCTGAGCTATTCTTCCTCTTTCTTGTGTTACCCCAGTAGGAAAATGGACTTATAACTGGAGAAGAGAAGCTAGGTGTCAGCAGAGACATGATGGAGTGGACATTTCTTTCAGTCCTTTACCAGGAAGTCCTCTCAAACTGAGGAGGAACATACTAAGGGAGAGACACACTAGTCTTGAAGCCCATGGCATTCCTGAAGATCCACCTCACACCCCAAATTACCAAACCCCAAAGCTCTCTTCAGCTCAGTAGGTTGTCCTTTAATTTTCAGTAACCCTTCCCTACAGCAGAAGAACCAATTTTTCTTTTCCCTCATAATTTGAATCCCTCCCACTAATTTATTTGAAGATGAAGATATTATCCTCTTTTACTACCAGTGAAAATACAATGACTTGAGAAGAGAAAATGATCTGTGTGACGCCAGGGTAGAAGTGGAAGTTGTGGGCCCTCGAATAAACCACTAGTCTTATACTTGAAGCAGGATAAACAATAAATGCCAAACCCAAGGCAGAAACTAGAAACATGGAGGAAAAGAGGCATAAATGCCTCATATTAGACAGTTACATTCTAAGAAATCTTTCTTGCAGCAGTTACTTTCCTACAATGACCAACTTCCTCTGACTCCAAATTTACTCCTTATGTACACTTGGGTTAGATATTCCTTTGACTATCCAATCATACCATTGTATAGTACCATTTACACATGCATACATGCTCACCTAAAGAACTTTTTGTGTGTGTGTGTGTGTGGTTTTTTTTTTTAAATCGAGTCTGGGACCTGGTTTCGCTCCATTGAGTCACTGGTGAAAAATTTAGTAAATCTACGAAGAGAGTTTAGTAAGTGTAAGAAGAGTCTGCTCACTGTGTGTGATATTCCAATAGATTCATGTGTTCTACACACAGGGATCTCTTGGATATAAGGGAGGCATTTCTCAGGTGTCTGGGTGACTTTCTGGTCATTATCCAGGTTCCTGGCTCAGCTTCCCAGGTCTCTTTGAATAAGCAGAGGGGATCCACATTCAGACAAGGCTCCTGGGGCTCTGACCAGAGGGGCTGGACATCCCTGGTAGACCTGACATTGGGCACTGAGACTCCTGGAAAACTTAAGCTGTTAATTTTGCAGTTCTCCATCTTGACTGCTTCTCGGACTGACCATCAGTTGGTGGGTTTTCATCAGCCTTCTGCCTCACCTCCTCTGATCCAAGCAGCAGCAGGGACTCACTTGCATGCACTGGTCTTGTAGGCAGTGACTTTTAAGCCACATCCTCTGTCTACCAGGCTAAACTTGCCTGCCTGAGAGGCATACTCCTTCCATCCTCTATCGTACATCTGTGAGCTACCAACTCTGGCCCTAGTGTGATACTGCCAGAATGTTGTGTACCTCATCTATTTAGAGTGGGAAGCCCATAAGGCAAACTGAAGAGGCCCCGTATCCTCACTCCCTTTCTGCTCAGTTTTTTCATTTATATTATCTCAACTTCACTCTACTAACCAGAGCACCAAGGAAGGGTAGGTTAGCAATTACGTCTATGATGACTATAGAGAAGTGGGGAGATGACTTATGATCCTCTTTGTGCTGGATTCCCTACTGAAGGCATCTGATGGCTTCTGATTTCCCTGGTCTGAGAAGAAAGTCCCTCTCCACCTCTCCCTCCTTACTCTACCTCAGGCTGAGGGGCTCAGGCAACCTTTTATGTTGCATATGGCATAGGTATCTCTGCCTCACTCCAGAAGGGACCAACCAATAGCCACCTACTCACCTACTTCTGAGGTCTAGTGCCTACAGACCTGGTGTTCATAAATTTAAGTTCTGGATTTAGGTCTCCTTTCCTGTAGCCAGGTGATCAGTGACCGGCAAAAATCAAGATCCCAGACTTCCTGAGTAACCTCATCAAGACTGAGGTAACAGCTCACATAGCTAGTGCATAGACAGATGCAGGTTACATGGAGTCTGAATCCCGTACACATTTGGAGGCTCCCTTTGGGACTGCTGGGATGCATGAAACATGGGATTTCACTCACAGTTGTGCTCACTATGTGTGATATTCCTATAGATTCATGTCTCTACACACAGGGATTTTTGATCATTCTGAATTGTTGATTCCCATAAAAAATGAATACATGGTGATCACTGTATATGCTGCATTACTGAATACATATTTACGAGAGTCTCCAACACATCTTTACACGTCTGAGGAGTAAAAGAATTTCCCACAGATTAGCTTCTGGTTCCCATTTCAAACCTCATTTCTGTTCCACCTCTGGCATTGGGTGTAGTATGGCTCCTTAGTGCTCCAGGCCAAAATAAGTGGCACAGGGGTAAAGTCATTTCTGGTGGGGGGTGGGGGATTTGGAGAAAAAAAGAAAGGATTGCAGGGGAGTACACTGGGAGGGTTAGGAGAAATTCTGGAGATACGGTCCACTCAATGGAGGCACATACAACCAAGCTGAGAAACGACATAGTACCCAACAGAGTTGGGAGATGTGAAACCCAAACATCAATCTCCACCTGGGCATAGAGGAAATACTCGATTTCCAAGCAGGTTCTAGGTTCAGAGGAGAGAGCCCTTGGTTGGAAGCGCCGGTCTTGCAGGATGGGGTGGGGGCGTTAATGCAAACTTCTGGTCCAGCAGAGGTAGAAACAGACCAGATCTAAGTAGCAGCTCAGAGGCAGCGGACTTGAGGGATGAAGACGTGAGGCCCAGAGGGTGGTGCCTGGCAGAGAAAACAGCTGCCAGACACCAAGGCCACCTCGGGTTAAAGGGAACAAGTTATATCCAAAAAAAAACCAACACGGTGAAAATAGGAAGAATAAGGATATCACCTGGAGTGTTCTCCTGAGACACTCCCCAAGAACCTGGATTCTTTAACAATCCCTCCAGAGCAGGGACACTCAGCACATACATCTCCCACAAAGTAAAGTGTCTGAAGGCCTGGGCAAACCCTTCTCCCTCCCCTTCTCTCTCCTCCACGGGCCGGCCCGGAGGAGGCTCAGGGATGAGAACTACTGTCACTGCTGTTCCCCACCTCACCCCAACGAGAGAGGAATCTTTAGAGGTCTGTATCCCTCCTTCACCACCCCGCCTGAGCGCCTGCTGGAAAACACAATCACCGTCTCAAATCTCACCCTGCAACTGCATCCAAGCGCTTTCTCCAAGCGTTCGGGGAGCCGCCGGAACTCTTCTTCCAGGCAGGCGTTCCGAGACTCCGCACAATAGGCACCTACCCTTGGGGTTTTGAGCCGCAGTGTCTGCCTCTGTTCAAGTATCCAGGCTCAGGTACAGACCTTTCAGTGCAGGCGGCGGGAGGCGCGAACACGGAGGACCCCCTCAGGCATACTGCCGCCCGGGCGGCGCCTGACAGATTGCCTCCTTGGGATCGGCGGACATGCCCTGGGCGCTCCAGCTCCGCGCGCCTCAGACACAGGCTATGATTGGCCTGGCTGAACGTCAATCAGGGCTCGGCGCCGTGGAGGCGGGAGGAACGCTGTAGGCAGAGGCCGCTTAACTCCCTACGGGGTTATTCTCCGCCTCTTCTAGGGTAGGCAGGTGTTCCCGAGTCCCTTAGGGGGGGTCCCCGCGGCGGCCTGAGATGCTCGGCGCCAGGTTGTCGCGCCCTTGAGCTGGCTGAAGTAGACATTGACTCTGGAGAGTCTGCGTTTTTCCTGGTCCCAGAGCCGTGGTCCCGATACTGCGCTTCCCGCTCCTCCAGTCCCAGCTCCCAGGCTCCGTCTTCTCCCGCTTGGCGCTGGAGAAACACCGGAAGAGAGAGTCGCAGAGTGACTGCTGTGGCCCTGCGACCTGACTGCCACCTTCCAGGACTCTAGCCCTGGCTCCTTCTAACCTTCCCGCCCCTCAGTGCCCCAGAGAGGCTGGTTTGCGGACAATTATTCATCAGCCGGAAGAAAAGGAGGTGCCAGTGTTAGGCGCAGAAGAGGGTTGGACCAGAAAAGCTGGAGAGGGGCAAGAGGGGAAAGAGGGGGAAGGGGGAAGGCGGAAGGCGGAAGAAGTTGGGAGGGGTAACAGCTCGAGCTTTTCCTCTAGCGTAGTTTCTCTTCTCTCGGTGCCGCCCCATCTGCTTCTTGCCTCAGTTCCCCACTCGCACCCGTGCACCTCTGCGGCAGGCGTGTGAAAGGAATGGGAGGGGGGGCTTTTGGTCGGGATATCTGGTCCTCCAGACCCCACAGCCTTGGCTGAGAACTTACTTAAGCCCACTCCAACTGACTTGATAAATGAGAATCTTGACCAGCCCACTGGTAGGTAGAAATGAGGGACGTCATCTATCCCTGAATGGAATAACGCGAAACCGCAGGTCACGTGGATGTGGGAATCCACAGCACTGGCTGCGCTCCTAAGGCTCCTAAGTCCACTTCCGAACCTCATCTAAGACCCTGAAAGCCAGACTAGGGACACATTGGATTATTATTATTATTTTTTTTATTTGAGACAGGGTCTCGCTCTGTCGCCCAGGCTGGAGTGCAGTGGTGTGATCTTGTCTCACTGCAACCTCCGCCTCCCGCGTTCAAGCGATTTTCGTGCCTCAGCCTCCCGAGGAGCTGGATCTACAGGTGCGCACCACCACGCCTGGATAATTTCTGTATTTTTAGTAGAGACGGGGTTTCACCATGTTTGCCAGGCTTGTCTCGAACTGTTGACCTCAAGTTATCCTCCCGCCTCCACCTCTTAAAGTGCTGGGATTACAGGCCTGAGCCTCTGCGCCAGTCCTACACGTTGGATCTTTTCCCAGACCTCCTCCTCAGACGTGGAGCGTACAAATGATGCTCCATCGGTTACTCTGATCCTGACTTTGGGACTGCCAGATAAAACTGGGAGAAACCCTACATTTACTCTTACTGTAACGTATTGGCTTGAAACTGCAGGTCAGAACCCATTTATGTTGAGACCAAAAGACTTTTTTTCCAAGTAGAATGAAATAGAATAAAATACAATTGAAAATACTTGCCTGCATCACAGGTAATGAGAGTAACTATAGTTTCATGAAACCGTTGTTTCAGTTAAATATGTTTTTGCGTGTGTGCATGTGTATCGGGAGGAGATATGTATTTCATATATATATGTAGAGAGGTGGAAATCAACAACAAAACTCCATAATTTTTCTTGTTTTCTAACAGTTCTTGATTTTGAGTAAAAATAATTCTTTAAGAACAAAATTTTGAGCCAGCTAACGAAAGATCAGAGTCAAGCAGCCTCTCATTGGGGCCTGAATAGAGGTTCATCTTATTTGGCTTTTTCGTTTTTTTCCTATCTTGTGGACTCCTTTTAAGGCCCAGCAAGGAATTACCCTCCCCAAGTTTCCACTCTCTGCTTGGTTCAGCCATTCAGCTGTCTCTCGGGCTCTTTGATTAATAAAAAGTCCAGTAGAGCTATTTTATCCTATGCATGTGTGGGAAGAGGGCAATGCCAGTGATTCTTTCCTGATTTGACAGAAAATTCACAAATCACGTTACCTTCTGAAGATAGAGATTTTAAGCTCAAACATTATCACCAGAGAACTGAATTATTAAGAAAGATGAGTGGTCAAAAGTACAGATGTTTTACAGATTAAGGGTCATTTTGTCAGGTCCTGTCCAAAATATTTGAAGTCTAGGGGTTTGAAAAATTGTTAGAAATAACCATTTATGACAACAGTTTTCATTTATTGTTCTCTCCAGCTTCAGGAGCAGGGGAGAACATTTTTTTCCTTCTTACCTTGCTGAGAATTTTTTCACCAGGGTTTCAAGGCTAAGAACTGAAATTCCAGCATTGACATTGAATTAAAAAGAAGCAAGCCCTTTTAGGAAGTCAAATTTTATTATATGAGATGGAATGTAATATTGAGATTACTTATTACTTAGGCATGGGATAGGGGGGCTTTTAACAACAGACCAAAAAAAAAGTTGGAAGGATAGGAATGAAATAAAGCAAACTTTCATTATTCATAGATGATACAATTGTCTACAGAGAAAAATAATCTAAAACATAAGAATTAAGAGTTTGGCACAGTGGTTGGCTAAATATATAAACAAATCTATTGCATTTTCTATAAAAACAAAAAAGTAGAAATGTGATTAACTGGTTTATATAACAAACTTACAGTACAGTTGACCTTTGAACAACATGGGCTTGAACTGTGCAGGTCTACTTATATATGATTTTCTTCTGCCTTTGCCACCCTTGAGACAGCGAGACCAACCTCTCCTCCCCTTCCTCCTTCTTAGCATATTCACCATGAAGACATGAGGATGAAGACCTTTATGATGCTCCACTTCCACTTAATGAATAGTAAATATATTTTCTCTTCTTTATGATTTTTTAAATAACATTTTCTTTGCTTTTCTGAGACAAGGTCTTGCTCTGTTGCCCAGGCTAGAGTGCAGTGTTATCATGGCTCACTGTAGCTTCAACCTCCTGGGCTCAAGCGATTCTCCACCTCAGCCTCCCAAGTAGCTGGGACTACAGGTGCACGCCACCCTACCTGGCTAAATTTTTAATTTTTTGTAGAGATGGGGTCTCGCTATGTTGCTGAGGCTGGTCTCCAACTCCTTGTCTCAAGCACTTCTGCCTCAGCCTCCCAAACTGCTGGAATTACAGCCATGGGCCACCGCACCTGGCCAACATTTTCTTTTCTCTAGCTTACTTTACTGTAAGAGTACAGTATATAACACATAAAAATATAAAATATATGTTAAATAACTTTATGTTATTGGTAAGACTTCTGATCAACAGTAGGCTATTAGTAAAGTTTTGGAGGAGTCAAAAATTATGTGCAGATTTTTGACTGCACAGGTGGTCAGCGCTACTAACCCTCGCATTGTTGAAGGGTCCACTGTAATCAGGAATAAATTCTCAAAAAGGAAAGGCATGCAAGATCTTAGTGGGGAAAATTAAAATCATTAAAAGAAGTTGAAGAAGTACTGCACAGATGGAGAGACACATTCATGGTTAGGAAGCATCAATATCATTAAAATGCCAGTTTTCCCCAATGTGATCTATAGTTTCATGCTATTTCTAGAAAAATTTCAACAAAATGTTTTATAGAATTGGACACAATGATATTAAAATGAAACGAAGGAACACAAGTTCAAGAAGAGCCAAAATACCATTGAAAATAAAGAGGAAGTTGGGGAATTTCCTGACTACATGAGAAGATATTATATACACCACTGGATTTAAGACCATGTGCTATTATTGGTGAGAGAGGGAGTAGACAACTGGGCCAATAGAATAGAATGGAAAGAGTGTCAGGACCCCTTGTATGTGAAGAATGGTCATTAAAGACCAGTGGGTAAAGGATGTATAATTCAATAAGTTTGAATTTATGACACTGGATTAGTGGATATATATACATCATAATAAATTCCAGATGAACTAAGTACCGACGTATTGAAGGCAAAACTGTAAAACTTTTAAATGAAAATGTGAAAGAAATATTTGTATGACTTCAAGGTAGAAAAATATTTATTAAAAAGACACACATACACATTTTAAAAACAAAAATGTTAAGAGAAGATGAATAAATTTGACCACATTAAAATTAGAAACTTTAATCAAAACACACTCTAAAGGAAAAAAAGCCACAATCTAAACTTATTTATATCACACATAATTTACATAGGATCAATATCCAGAACATCTAAGAATAGCCCCATAGGAAAATGATCAAAAGATGTGAAAGGGCAGTTCACAAAAAGGGATATATAAAAGACCAATAAACGTACAAAAGTTAAGCTCACAATAGTTATCAGAGAATTGTGAATTAGAACAGTCCTTGAAATAACATTTTAAAATCACTAAATAGACAAACATTGAAAAGTCTAACATTATCAAAAATCAATGAGGATGTAGGGTGAGGGGAACTCATACTCTGATGGTGGACTTCAAACTGAAATAATCTACTTGGAAAAAAATTGGCATTTTGTAGAGTTGAAGCTGAGAATATCCTAAAGCATAGCAGCTCTACCCTTAAATATATATGCACCTTAGGGAAATTATTGAATAAGGCACCAAGAGCAATGTGCAGGAAAAGTCATGAGAGCATTCTTTGTAATTGCAAAAAGCTGGAAACAACCCAGTGTCCATTTGCAGGTAAACTGATACACAAATTTTGGCATAATCATAATGTGGAATTCTCTGCAACATCAAGATCAGTGGAATACAGATAAAATAATAAACTTGCATAATTCTTAAAATCATATTGTTGAATGAAGAAAACAACAGAAAACTACATTTTGATATTAATTATGATGTTAATTTGTTGTCAGACAAAGACAATATTTACTATGATGAAAAGCAAGATAATGATCAACTCCAAATTTGGAATAATAGTTGCATTTTGCAGAGAGGAAGGGAGATTCTAAGGGAAGACAAATACAGGAAACTTTAATGTTAAGGGTAACGTTCCATTCCTTCATGTGACTGGTGGGAAAAAATGGATGTTTAAAATTCTTGTAGATATGCATCACATGCATTACTTATTTGTAGAAAAATATTTCAAAAACTGGATCATAAGAAAAAAGGAAAAAGATGTATAAGAAATCATTTGCATAGAGACAGAAGTAACAAAGGCAATTTGATGAAATTTATTGAGACAGAAGACTAAAAAATGAAAAAACATGGTAAATATAAAAATATGATGGCAGAAGTAATCCAGATATATATGCATTTGTAATGTCCATTTATATCATTGCATTAAATCTAAATTTTTCTGCTCAGTAAAGATGGTCTGTGTGTGTGTGTGTGTATTTGCTATTCAAAAAGTGCTGGTGGCAATGGCTTATACCTGTAATCCCAGCACTTTGGGAGGCCAAGGAGGGAGGATCACTTGAGCCCAGGAGTTTGAGATCAGCCTGGGTAACATAGCGAGACCCTATCTCTACAAAAATAAAAAAATTAGCCAGGCGTGGTTGTGCATGCCTGTAGTCCCAGCTACTGAGGAAACTGAGGTGCAAGGATCGCTTGAGCCTGGAAGGTTGAGGTTGCAGTGAGCCGTAGTCGCACCCCTGCACTCCAGCCTGAGCGGCAGACTGAGACCCTGTCTCAAAATAAAAACAAAAACAAACAAAAAGCACCTAAAACAAAATGACACCGAGTGATTAAACCAATGGACAATGATAAACTCAGGCAAATGCTAACAAAAATTAATTATGGATAGAAATACTGTCTTACTCCATTTTGTGCTGCTATAATAGAATATCCAAGACTGGATAATTTTTAAAGAACAGAGATTGACTTATTACAGTCCTAGAGGCTAGGAAATCCAAGGTTGAGAGGCCTGCATCTTGCAAAAATCTTCTGGCTGCCTCATACTGTGGTGGAAGGCAAAAGGGATAAAAAGAGAGCTGAGAGAGAGAAAGAGAAAGAGAGAGCGCCCAAGTGCAACAGGTTGAATTCACAGGCTTTTAGCCTTTTTGTAATTGGCATTAATTCATTTATGAGGATGGAGTCGTCATGACCTAAACACCTCTCATCATTAAGCCTCACCTACTAACACTGTTGCATTGAATATTACATTTCCAACATATGCTTTTTGGGGACACATTCAAACCATTACAAATACTAATATTGAACAAAGTAGAATAAATGATGAAGAAATTTTTCAGTGTCAAAGAAGGATACTTTATTATGCTAAAATGTACAATTCACCAACTACCCATAAGTTATAAGCCTTCATATCCTAAACAAGTCTTTGAAAGTTAGGGAAAAAAATGTGCTTTGTTAGGAAGGATAAATTGACACATTTAAGAGCTTTTAGCATACTTTTAAACTAAACTGTCATATCCAATTGTAAAATAATGTGAATGTAAGATATTTTGCTAAAGCAAATAATGATCTTAAGTTATCAAATATTTATAAAATTGTGTACTCAACAAATAGTGAATGCATATTTTCCCAAACATAATGCATTAAACCACAAAGTAAAATTAAATAGAAATTAGAAACTACACGGGCTATATTCTCTCACCGGTATAAAACACATACATAGAAAAACAAAACAAAACTAAAATAAAACAAAACAAAACCTCACCAAAACAGTACTAACAAGAAAGCCTCCACTTGGAAACTTAAAAACATCTCACTAATTTTTGGGTTGAAAAGGAAATCAAAATTGCAATTCAAAGGAGTTATGTTTTTGCTAGGAATATGGAGGGAATTCAGTTCAGAATTCATTTCTCTATATAGTACAGCAAAGAGAATGAAAAAGAAAACCACACAAGAACCTCATTTTTAGTGAAACTAGGAAACAAAAAGTATGGTTACATCCCAAATTGCATGTCATTTGTGCTTAAAGCAACGGAGAGCAGAACTGGGCATAAGAAGCCAAAATGTTGCTGTGGCAACAGATGAAAGCGTGGAGGGAACTAGTGGTGCGGGATCTCGGAAAGGGCCCGAAAATATTCTCTCTCTAAGAGTAGAAGCCAGCCTAGGTTGGAGCTGTTGGCAGTTGGCCTGAGCTACAGTGAGGCCCAGATGCTGGGGAAGGCAGAAGAAGGCCCACATATTGGGGGAGCAGACTTTGTTTTGGAGGTTCCAAGGTGGCAGATAACAAAGGTTCCCTCTGGAATGCAGGGGGTCCTAACACCGTGGTAGAATCCTTCCTGAAATAGATTAAATTCCCCAAGTTGGAAAAAACATGGATGCAGCGTATTTTAAGATAAAGTTTACGTGTTAGTAATAAAGGATTGGTCCTTCGGTTGTAAAACCTGGGAGGTTACTATTGCCCATGTCTTCTCTCACCAACCCATCATCCCACCCCCATCCAATAGGAGTCTTCCACTAATATCTGGTCCAGGAATGCTCAATTTATTCAGAATAAGTAGGAAAAGAAATGGCACAGTTCCACATAAATATGCCATGAGAAAAAAATGTTTACAGAAAGCAGCAAGATTTCCCTCCAGAAGTAATGAAGCAACCTCAGCCATGAAGATCATGGAGCCAAAAGGATGACCTTCAGCAGAAGCAGTTACGAGCCAAAGAGGTCCAAGGGCACTGAGGGAGGAGCCAAGTGGTAAGGGCCACCTCTGGCTGGGATCCAGGGTGCCCAAGTGGGAAAATGAGCAAGCCAGAGAGTGCTTGGTCTAGGGATTAAGAAAAGCACACAGTAATAGGTTGGACACTAAATTTGAAAATGAACAGTGAGAAAAATGCTGTGGGGACCAGGATTGAAATGAAGTAACAGAACAATTAAAATTACATGATCCAGGGACAGAGACTTGAACTCATAAACAGGCCTGTGTTGCCCATTAGTCACAAGGGGAGCAGTGAGCCATTGTTAAAATGCCAAGGATTCCCAATGCAGTTTACTTGGAACTTTGCCCAGCGATGAAGGAGTCTGACTTGTCTTTTCTGTAATAGTTAGAATCAAAGAAAAATAAAGCACAGCTGGTGGGAGGGTGAGAAGCAAGCATCATGAACCACGGTCTAATTCAAGGATCAAACTGCTGTCCAGTTCTGGCAGATTTTGGATTGCAAGGGGAATAAAGCTGAGAGGCCATATTGGCACCTAGGCACAGTGAGGTGAGTCTGGCCACGCATTTAAGAAGCCCCTGCAAAATGATACAGGTGGTTACTAAAAACCACCTCTGGCCTCTGGAAAAAAAGAAATAGCATCTCCCGGATAAGAATATCTGGGTCTCACACCTATTGACCAGGTCGAGATAGGGTTCAGTTGGGGATGGGATATAATAAAAGGCATGGGTAAAGAAACTGGGCAGAGGCATAGTGCCTGCATGTTGGAGATTAAGGAGGGAATTCGGAACTCATTTTTCTATATATATTACAACAAAGGTTAAGTTTGGAGGTTAAGTAAGGATGCTGCAGCTCACTCATGGTTGCTTTTCCTTCAGAGTACTCATGCCTCGGCTTACCCAGGGGGACTCAAGGAGAGGAATGTGTGTGCGCATATCTATCTATCTATCTATCTATCTATCTATCTATCTATCTATCCATCCACCTTCTAATCTACCTAAATCAATCACTGTGTGTATCTATTCCAACCACAATGGACTCCTATCATTCAATTTCATTTAGTGGTACATCTCAGCCCAGTTTACAGAAAAGCTGTAAAGGGCTGTAAAAGGCTGTATGAGAACATAATCTGAAAAGCGTTGCTCAAAAGAGCATATTATATATTATTGGGCATTTATGAAGAAATTAGATCTCACACTGAGCTAGTTAATAAAGATTTATAATTACAAATGGGCTGCAGCATGTGATTCTGAACTTGACTATTTCCTTTTGCCCTTCAGTTTCAGACTATGATATGGATTATGATTCTCTACCACCCCCTAGTGGAAATTCATTCATTTCTTTTTAAGTCCTGTTTCTTCTAATCATTTAGTCTAAATGATTAGACTAAATGAGAAAATTACATAGTAAATATCTGGATTCACTCTTGTTATAAAAGGTTCAAACCGGCCGGGTGCGGTGGCTCACACCTGTAATCCCAGCACTTTGGGAGGCCAAGGCGGGCGGATCACAAGGTCAGGAGATTGAGACCATCCTGGTTAACACAGTGAAACCCCCGTCTCTACTAAAAACACAAAAAATTAGCCTTGCGTGGTGGCGGGCGCCTGTAGTCCCAGCTACTCGGGAGGCTGAGGCAGGAGAATGGCGTGAACCCAGGAGGCGGAGCTTGCAGTCAGCCAAGATTGTGCCACTGCACTCCAGCCTGGGCTACAGAGCAAGACTCCGTCTATAAAAAAAAAACAACAAGTTCAAACCATACAGAAGGGTACGGAGTAAAAGGTCTCCTTTGTTTCTCCCTCCTCCCCATTCCATTCTAGGTCCCAAAGGTAACTGTGTGTAGTTTGTGTTATACTAGGATATTTCCTGTGCTTTTACACATTCCAGGTATATGGCAGGAAAAATCCTGAGACATCAACTGAGGATTATTTTCCTCAGGCATCTTTCTACAACAGAGGCAGATAACGCATTTCCCCTCATGCCATGGGAGACAGACCACAGCAAAACAGCAATGACCAAAAGATTAAGATTTTTCATTTAAAATTTTACATTTGAAAACCATGGTAGGCCAGGTGTGATGGTCACATGCCTTTAACCATTTAGGAGGCTAAGGCAGGAAGATTGCTTGAGCCCAGGAGTTCAAGACCAGCCCGGACAACATGACGAGACTCAGTTTCTACAAAAAAAAAAAAAAAAAAAAAAAAGAAAAGTAAAGAAAAAAAATTAGCTGGGCATGGTGGCGCTCACTTGTGGTTTCAGCTACTCAGGAGGCTGAAGCAGGAGGATTGCTTGGGCACAGGAGGTTAGGGATACAGCAAGCCATGTTCAGGTCACTGTACTCCAGCCTGGGTGACAGAGTGAGACCTTGTCTCAATAAATAAATAAATAAATAAATAAAATAGAAAACCCAGTAGAGGCCAAATGAAAGAAAGGTCTTTGGAGATGAAAAACCTTAGATTACTAGATATCTGAAGTCAGCACTTGTTCCATAAATAATAGATTTGGGAAGTACTCCGGATAATCTTAGAGCCAATTTTCTTCTGTGGAAGTGATAAGAATCCACAGGCTGAAGACAGAAAGAGTGTCAGGAACTGGTTTTGGGGTCTTGCACTCTGTAATCCAGTTAAACTGTGTGACAGAGGGTCAGTGCCTCCTCCAACTCAGATATTTTGGGCATACAAGGATGGGATCAAAGAGTGTGCTGTTTCTGGTCTACGGAATATTACAAATTTGAATGAAATAAAAATATTTCTGACAGTTTCTAAACTCTCTTTTCTTAGTACTCAATAGAATGGACTGTCATCCATGCTGGGTAAGGAAAGATCTTGACAAGGAAAGGAAGGAATCAGGGTTTCATGAGAGACAGGGTTCTAGGGATCCAAGCACCATGATGAGGTAATGGCTAAGTTTTCTCTTGGGTAATGCAAAGAAAAGTTGACCTTTACTGCTGTGAAGCAAATTAGAAGCTAACCCGGGGTGCATTCGTTTGGTTTCTTCCAGAAGCAGTCCCTGACACAGGGACATGAATGAAAGTAATTTATTTTGGAGGTGCATGAAACTTCAGTAGCAGCTGAGTAAAAGATTGGGAAGGGAAAACAGCCAACGAAGGGTGAATGACTGGAACTTAATCCCCTGGGGAAATTCTGGGAAAGCACTTGCCTCAGAGTTAACCCAGCCACGGAAGGAGGGAGTTGGGCAATTGTACATCAATTCCCATTGGTTGAAGGCTGCTGCCTGACACGTGAACTCTTCGGCCCTTCTAGTCTGCTGTGAGTCGGGCAGAGTGGCCCTTCTTGGCTTTGAGGAAGCCTTCAGGAATGATGCAAATGTCCAGCCAGTGTGCACTACAGTGGTAAGGCCCAAGGAACATGGCAGGTATTAGTAGCATCAGCCGTCTATTTCTAGTTGGAGAACCCTTAGATGACTGGAGCCTGTGATCTCTTACATCTATAATATCTGTGATCAGAATGGAAGAATTTTCTATTGTCTTTTCTTTTTCAATTTTGCCCAAGCCTTCATAAAGTCTTGTTAAAACTTTGACAACAGTCTTATTTTTACATTCCTTTAATCAAGAAGGACAGGCCTATGTCCAAATATAGGAGGATGTATTAGTTTGCTAGGGCTACCATAAGAAATACCACAGACTGAATGGCTTAAACAACATAAACTTATTGCCTCCTGGCTCTGGAGTCTAGAAATGTGAGATCAAGGTGTCAGCAGGGTTGGTTTCTTCCGAGGTCTCTGTCCTTGGCTGGCAGATGGTTGTCTTTTCCCTGCATCTTCCTATGGACTGCCCCCTGTGTATGTATGTCCTAATCTCTTTTTATATGGATACTAGCTATATTAGGACCTACTTTCATAACCTCATTTTCACTTAATTAACTTTTTAAAGACTCTAACTCCAAAAAAAATTCACGTTCTGAGGTACTGGGTTTATTCAACATTATGAACTTATAGGGGGACACAGTTCAGCCCAAAAAGAGGAAAATGGGGCAAAGGGAAAATCCTTCTTCTCCATCTTCTTTCCTGTTCTCTCTCAAAGGCCAAGGTGAGTGAGAGCAACATTGGATCATGGGATCTTGGTTGCCCTGCAACTCAAGAGATATCTGGCTTCAACATTAGCAGTGAGCAACAGCAGAGCTGAGAACAGTGGTATAGAACTGAGTCACACTGAGTCAGGCTACATTTCCCAGGCTAATTTGCAAACCAGAATTCCAGATATAATTTTTATTCACTCAAACTTTCCACTCATGAACTTCTTAAATGTATTTTGAAAAACTATGCACATCCTCATACATGTTTTTTAAATTTAACTTTTTATTTTGAGGTAATTAGAGAGTGACATGCAGTTGTAAGAAATAATACAGACAGAACCTTTTACCCTTTAATCCAGTTTCCCTGATGGTAACATCTTATAACACTTCAGTACAGTATTGCAATCAGGATATTGACATTTGTGTCAATGTCAATATTACAGTCAAGACAGTATTTTTGTCACTCCAAGTATCCCTTATCTTGCCCTTTTATGGTCGGTTCACCTCCTTCCCACCCCCATCACTTCCTTAACCACTGGCAACTATGAATTTTTTCTCTATTTCTGTACTTTTGTCATTTCAAGCTTCTTAATACAAAATGTTATACAAATGGATTGTGCTTTTTTTTTCTTTTCAATAAAGTTTATTTTATTTATTTATTTTTTTTTTTGAGATAGAGTCTCACTCTGTCACCCAGGCTGGAGTGCAGTGGCACCATCTCAGCTCACTGCAACCTCCACCTCCAAGGTTCGAGTGATGTTCATGAGTCAGCCTCCCGAGTAGCTGGGATTACAAGCATGTGCCGTCTTGCTTAGCTAATTTTTGTATTTTTAGTAGAGACGGGTTTCACCATGTTGGCCAGCTGGTCTCGAACTCCTGACCTCAATGATCTGCCTGCCTCGGCCTCCCAAAGTGCTGGGATTACAGGCGTGAGCCACCACGCCCAGCCTGGATTATGCTTTTGATGTCAAGCCTACGAATTCTTTGCCTGGCCCTACATCTCAAAGATTTTCTCCTATTTTTCTAAAATTTTAATAGTTTTACACTTCACATTTACTCTGTAATCCATCTTTTTTGTTTGTTTATCTATTTTTAGAGATGGGGTCTTGCTCTGTTGCTCAGGCTGGAGTGAAGTGACGTGATCACAGCTCACTGCAGTATGTAACCTTTTGGGACTGGCATTTTTCACTCAGTATAACTCTCTGGAGATTCATCCAGGTTGTTGTGTGTATCAGTCATTCTTTTTTATTGCTGAGTATTATTTCATGGTATAAGTGTACAACAGTTGGTTTAACCATTTACCTGTTAAAGGATATCTGGGTTATCTTTGGCTACAATGAGTAGGCAGTTAGACAAACATTTGCATACAAGGTTTTGTGTGAAGGCATTGTCTGTGCTTGTGTATTTGTGTATGCAAGTTTTCATTTCTTGGGGCTAAATACCCAGGAGTACAGTTGCTGGGCAGGATGGTAGTAGTATGCTTAGTTGTTGGATTTTTGTTGTTGTTGTTGGTTTTGTTTTGTTTTTAAGAAACTGCCAAATCATCTTCCAGAGTGGCTGTACCATTTTATATTCCCATCAGAAATTATGAGAGATCCAGTATCTCTTCTTCCTTGCCAGCATTTAGCATTGTCGCTTTTTTTTTTTTTTTTTTTTTGAGAAAGAGTTTCACTCTTGTTGCCCAGGCTAGGTACAATGGTGTGATCTCTGCTCACCGCAACCTCTGTCTCCCGGGTTCAAGTGATTCTCCTGCCTCAGTCTCCCGAGTAGCTGGGACTACAAGCATGTGCCACCACACCTGGCTACTTTTGTATTTTCAGTAGAGACAGGGTTTCTTCATGTTGGCCAGGCTGGTCTCAAACTCCCGACCTCAGGTCATCTGCCCACCTTGGCCTCACAAAGTGCTGGGATTACAGGCGTGAGCCACCACACCCAGCCCATTGTCACTATTTTTATTTTAGCCATCCTGATAGGTGTGGAGCGATTATCTCATTGTGGTTTTAATTTGCATTTCCCTAATGGCTAATGATGTTGAACGACTTTTCATGTGCTAATTTGCCATTTTTATATCCTCCTTAGTGAAATATTACCTTAAGTCTTTTGCCTATTTTCTAATTGGATTTTTAATGTGTTTTCTTTGTTGAGTTTTGAGAGTTCTTTATATACTCTAGATACTAGTCCTTTGTTCAATGCATAGTTTGCAAATATTTTCTCCTACTGTGTAGCTCATTTTTTCATCCACTTACCAGATCTTCACAAAGCAACAGTTTTACATTTTGATGAAATCCAATTTATCAGTTTTTCCTTTCATAGATCATGCTCTCAATGTCAAGCCTAAGAATTCTTCGCCTAGACCTATAGCTCAAATATTTTCTATTTTTCTAAAATTTAAGAGTTTTATGCTTTACATTTACTCCATAATCCATTTTGTTTATTTATTTTAATTAATTGTATCTGGTAAAGGTTAAGGTATTGCATTTCTCTGACATTTTTTTTTTTTTGAAACAGAGTCTTGCTCAGTCACCCAGGCTAGAGTACAGTGGTGTGTCACAGCTTATGACAGCCTCGAACTCCTGGGCTCAAGCAATCCTTCTGCCTCAGCATCCCAAGTAGCTGGGACTACAGGCAGGAGCCACCACACCAACATTATTTTTCATTTTTGTGTATAGACAGGGTCTTGCTATCTTACCCAGGCTGGTCTTGAACTCCTGGACTCAAGCAATCCAATCCAGTTGGAATTAAATTTTGCATAAGGCATGAGACTTAGGTCAAGTTTCATTTTTATTTTATTGTCTTGCCTATGGATGCCCAATTGTTCCATTTCACCATTGTTCAATTCACTATTTGTGAAAAAGGCTATTTTTCTTCCACTGACTTCCTTTTGCACCTCTTTCAAAAATCATTTGGGCAGATTGTGTGGGTCTTTTTCTACGTTCTCTATTTTGTTCCACTCATTTGTGTGTCCATTCCTCTGCTAGTAACACACAGTCTTGATTACTGTAGCTATAAAACAATACTTGAAATAGGGCAGACTGATTTTCACTCACTTTATTCTTCTTTTTCAAGAATGTTTTAGGCGTCGGCGTCGCTCCCGCCCTGGAGCTCTAGGCCCGCTTTTCCCCGCTTGAGTCTGGCGTCGGGGTCATTGTGTCTTGACAACCGCTCCGGTACCCCTTTCCGAGGCAGCAGGTGCGGCCGCTTTAGCCTTGAGCGGGCTCCGCGTCTGCCTGCTGGTCTCTGCTAGTGCCGACCCTTCTGTTCGCGGACCCCACGCCAAGCAGCGACCCTGAGCCGACAGGCGGAGCACCCGGCAATGGCGGCCTCCACGGCCTCGCAACGGCCCCTCAAGGGGATCCTGAAGGACAACACCTCTACGACTTCCTCTATGGTGGCGTCGGCCGAACATCCCCGTGGGAGTGTCCACGAGCAGCTGAGCAAAAAATCCCAGAAGTGGGATGAAATGAACATCCTGGCGACATATCGTCCAGCAGACAAAGACTATGGTTTAATGAAAATAGATGAACCAAGCACTCCTTACCATAGTACGATGGGTGATGATGAAGATGCATGTAGTGATACAGAAACCACTGAAGCTATGGCAACAGATAGCTTGCTAAGAACTTAGCTGCTGCTGAAGGCTTGGAGCCAAAGTATCAGGTTCAGGAACAAGAAAGCAGTGGAGAGGAGGATAGTGACCTCTCACCTGAAGAACGAGAAAAAAAGCGACAATTTGAAATGAGAAGGACGCTTCACTACAATGAAGGACTCAATATCAAACTAGCTAGACAATTAATTTCAAAAGACCTACACGATGATGACAAAGTTGAAGAAATGTTAGAGACTGCACATGGAGAAAGCATGAATACGGAAGAATCAAATCAAGGATCTACTGCAAGTGACCAACAGCAAAATAAATCACGAAGTTCATAGAAGGGATTTGTTCAACACTCTTATTGTTTGTTAGATATGAACCCCGTTGCTATAATACATTGCTTCTCGTTCTCCACAAGTCATGACTTAAGTACCAAAGTGCATACCAGTTATTATATATTGCCAAGAATTAAATGAAAACCTTAAAGACTGATTAGACTGAAAATGCCTAATTGATATATATATTCTTGTGCCTAGTACTTTACCACAAATACGGTGTAATATCATCAGTCCAAAACTGTATTACTTTTGTAAAAATACTGGTTAATTTGTATATTATATAGCTTTTCATGCTTTAGAGGTTAAACAATATCTTTGGGGGGGGGGAACTAATTTATTTTCATCACTCTAAATGTGGTGATAGCTCTTATAAAGTTTGTTGACTTTTTTTTTTAACCAAAAGCCAATTGAACAACAGGATATATATGCTGATAAATATTCAGGCTGAATAGTATTTTAACACTTGTCTTCAACTTGATTTGTCTGTTTAATTGAAAAGGATTGTGACCTGGCACGGTGGCTCACGCCTGTAATCCCAGCACTTTGGGAGGCCGAGGCAGGTGGATCACGAGGTCAGGAGATCGAGACCATCCTGACTACCACGGTGAAACCCCGTCTCTACTAAAAAAAATACAAAAAACTAGCCAGGCATGGTGGCGGGCGCCTGTAGTCCCAGCTACTCGGGAGGCTGAGGAGGGAGAATGGCGTGAACCCGGGAGGCGGAGCTTGCAGTGAGCCGAGATTGTGCCACTGCACTCCAGCCTGGGCGACAGAGCGAGACTCCGTCTCAAAAAAAAAAAAAGAAAGAAAGAAAAGGATTGTAAGAGTTACTGTTACATTTTCTGGCCTACTACCTTTAAAATTCCTGTTGCATTTCTTTGTATTTACAAGGAAAAGACTGAACTTTTTCTCATCAAAACTAGCTTTTTTCTCACAGGTTAAACTTGCACCAATGTCTGCTCTTTTTTTTTAATGTTTTTGGTACTCTGGGCAGACTTCAGTTTTTTAAAAAATAAAGATTCTAATGCAGCTATCTTGGCATTCCCTTTAAATACCTGTCTTAACCTCCTACTTTTATTTCCTACTCCTTTCCACACACATGCACACAATCCTTTACCTTTTAAAGAATCATTAAGACTGTCACACATTAGGAACTCTTTCGCTCACTCTTCTGTCATTTGCTGCAATATTGAAATTCTTATTTTGACCATCAATGCCTATTAATTCTTCTAATACATGAAGAAAATGGTTGAGTAGCAGCAGTACTATAGGTGGGAAATACAGTTTAACTGCTGAATTTTTATACCTCTCTGATTTATAGCTTGCTAATTAAATTGCTATTATTAGTTTGTTTGGCTTAATTAGACTTAAGAAAACAACAGGTTTTTTTTTTTTTTTTTTTTTTGCATGAGGAGAGAATTGTATGTAACCAGTGATATGATTATTCCTGAATGTACAGACAGAAGTAATCATGGACATTGTTTAATTTAAAAACTTTAGTCCCTGCTTTAAGGGAATATGATAATGTATACTATGACAAATGTACTTTATTCTTCTAACACAGTAAGAATTACTTGGAACTTTTTCCTGAAACTAAGTGCAGGAAAGCCCTGTGTGTCTTGGTTTAGTGATGGTTTCATTTCTAGCCATACAACTGATGGATTGTATACAATTTTTGTTAGTGCCAAAATAATCTGTTATATGAACAGACTTCTAAAATAATTTCTGTATATTATATATGTAAGTAGGCTTTTATTGAACAGCTTATTTTCCACTTGCAAGTTTATGGAAATATCAGTATGTCAAAATAAAAAGTGGGAGAATTCTTTGCTGTTAGAAGAATGTGCTTATTATTTTGATTTCTTAAATGGTACATAATCAAAGTACTGCTGAACTATAGGTGCAGTATTCTACTAAACATTTCAGCTAGTAATACCACTGATTTAGAAACAAAACTGTTTATTTTTGCTTTCTGAATTTAGAATGCTGGGATTATCTGTTTAAATATGTTTTAGGGAATATAGAGATTAAATCTGTACATACTTGTGCACATATATTCATGCACCCTCTGATTTTGGTTTTCTCGTTTTTGAGTTCTTAGAAAGTATCCACATACTCTTCTTTTAGTAGAAGTAGCTGTTTTAGAGAGAAGAAAAGGATGAGACTTTAAATAGTTGATTCTTTTTGTGTTTTCTACAAACTTTTTTGAATTTTAAATCACAAGCAAACTAATTTTCTGGTTTTTAGAAAGTAGATGATGATTTCAGAGGAGTAAGACATGCCAAACAGCGTGCTCGGTAGGATTTTAGGTAGTCAAATGCAGCTGAGAAAAAGTATTTTCAAGTCATAAGTTGCTAATTGATATGCTATGAACTAGTCAAAATAGGAACCATATGATTCATGTTAGATTTTCCTCTAGAGATGGATCTGAATGTTCAGTTCTAGCCAAGGTAGATTTTACTTTCAACTTTTTAATCAATATCACTTTCTGTGCTTAATCTCTTTGGTGTTACCTTGTCCATTTTCATTTGTCTAAAATTCTGCAGGGATGACTACAATTTGGCATAATGGTATAAATGAATTGTTAAGGGTAACTTTAAGTTGAAGATTAAAGCAAGATGCCATTTTCCCCATGTCTTTCATTTTGTTTACATTTTTTCCCTTTAAGTTAGTATACACTACACATACTACAATAAAATATAATAATATGAAAAAAGAATATTTTAGATATTCTAGTCCCTTTGCCTTTCCTTGTAAATTTTAGAGTAATCCTACCTATAATTAACAAATCTTGCAAAGATTTTGATTGGAATTGTGTTAAACTTGTATATTGGTTTGGGGAGAATTGACATATTTACTATATTGAATCTTCCAATCCATGAACAGTATTTCTCTCCACATAGATAGAGACTGAATAGATCTTCTTTGATATCGTTCACCAGCATTACATAGTTTTTAGCTTGCAAGTCTTGCATGTTTTGTTAGATTTACACATAACTGTTTCATGTATTTGAGTAATTGTAAATAATACTCAATTTACCGCGCCAGGCGCGGTGGCTCACGCCTGTAATCCCAGCACTTTGGGAGGCCAAGGTGGGCGGATCACAAGGTCAGGAGATCGAGACCATCCTGGCTAACACGGTGAAACCCCGTCTCTACTAAAAATACAAAAAATTAGCCGGGCATGGTGGTAGGCGTCTGTAGTCCCAGCTACTCCGGAGGCTGAGGCAGGAGAATGGCGTGAACCCGGGAGGCGGAGCTTGTGGTGAGCCGAGATCGTGCCACTGCACTCCAGCCTGGGCGACAGAGCGAGACTCCGTCTCAAAAAAAAAAAAAAAAAAAAAAAATATATATATATATATATATGTATCACTTGTTCATTGTATGTAGAAATACAATTGATACTGGTTTATCCTGTATTCTGTTAATTTGCTGAAATCACATATCTAGAAGTTTTTCTGTAGCTTCCTTGTGATTTTCTACATAGACAATCATGTCACTTACAAATGGGAGCTGTTTATTTCTTACTTCACAATCTGTATGCCTTTAATCTCCTTTTTCATGCCTATTGCACTGTCTAGAACTTCCAACACTGTGAATAAGAGTGGTGAGAGTGGACATTCTTGCCTTGTTCCTGATTTTAGGTAGAAACTATTCAGTCTTTCAGAATCAAGTATGTTCACCATAGGATTTTTGTAGACGATCTTTATCAAGTAAAGAAAGATCTACTCTACTCCTATATTTCTGAGATTAAAAAAAAATAATGAATGGGTGTTAAAGTGGGTTAAATACTTTTTCTTCATCAATTGATATGAACAAGTAAATTTTCCTCTTCAGCCTATAATATGATGGATTACATTAATTAATTGTGAATATCCAACCAGCTTTGCATCCCTGGGATAACTCTCACGTGGTCATTGTACATAATTCTTTTTATATGTTGGTAAATTCCACTTGCTAATATTTTGTTAAAGATTGCTGCATCATGAGGAATATTAGTCTACAGTTTTCTTTTCTTCCCATTGTCATTGTTTGGTTTTGGTATTGAGGTAATTCTAGCTTTATAAAATAAACTGGGAAATGCTTCCTCTGCTTCTATTTTCTGGAAGAGATTAATTGGTGTTAATTCTTCTTTAAATCTTTGGTAGAATTCTTCATTGAAACTATTTGTTCCTAAATATTTCCTTTTGTGAGTTTTTAAATTATGAATTCAATTTCCTCAATAGGTGTAGACATTTTTGAATTATTTTATATTTAGTGAGTTGTGGCACTTTATATTTTTTGAGAAAATGATCCATTTAATTTAAGTGTCAAATTTATGTGTGTAGAATTGTTCATAGTATTCTTTTGTTATCCTTTTGATGTCTGTAGAATCTTTGATGATATCCCATTTCATTTCTGATGTTGGTAGCTTCTATCTTCTGTCGTCTTTTTTTCTGAGTCTTGCTAGTGGTTTGCCAATTTTATTAATCTTTCAAAGAACCAGCTCTTTGCTTCATTGATTTTTTTTTTGCTTTTGTTTTTCTGTTTTCAGTTTCATTGTTCTGCTTGCTTTTTATTTTGTTATTCTTTTACTAGATTCTTGAGGTGAGAGTTTAGATTATTGGTTTGAGACTTTTCCTCTTTTCCAATGTATGCAGTTAGTGCTTTAAATTTACTTCTCAAATGCAAATCAAAACCACAATGAAATGCCATCTCACGCCAGTCAGAATGGCGATTATTAAAACTCAAGAAACAACAGATGCTGACAAGGTTGCGGAGAAATAGAAATGCTTTTACATTGTTGATGGAATGTAAATTAGTTCAACCATTGTGGAAGACAGTGTGGCAATTCCTCAAAGATCTAGAACCAGAAATACCATTTGACCCAGCAATCCCATTACTGAGTATATACCCAAAGGAATACAAATCATTCTGTTATAAAGATACATGCACTTGTATGTTCATTGCAGTACTATTCACAATAGCAAAGACATGGAATCAACCCAACTGCCCATCAATGACAGACTGGATAAGGAAAATGTACATATGCACCATGGAATACTATACAGCCATAAAAAGGAATGAGATCCTGTTATTTGCAGAGACATGGATGAAGCTGGAAGCCATTATCCTCATCAAACTAATGCAGGAACAGAAAACCAAACACCACATGTTCTCACTTATCAGTGGGAGCTGAACAATGAGAACACAAGGACACAGGGAGGGGAAAAACACACACTGGGGTCTGTCTGGGGTGAGGTTGGAGGGAGGGAGAGCATCAGGAAAAATAGCTAATGCATGCTTGTCTTAATACCTAGGTGATGGGTTGATATGTGCAGCAAACCACCATGGCACATGTTTACCTATGTAACAAACCTGCACATCCTGCACATGTATCCTGGAACTTAAATTTACCTCTTATAACTACTATAACTGTATCTCACAAATTCTGATATGGCATATTTTCATTTTTGTTTAGTTGTGTTTATTGTGTGTATTTTTAAAAAATTTCCTTGAGACTTCCTCCTTGACCCATGTATTTCTAAGTGTGTTGTTTTGTCTCCAAATGTTTAGATATTTTCCTGTTGTTGATTTCTGGTTTGGTTCCATTGTGGTAGGAGAACACTTTCTTTATGATTTTATTTAAAAAATTTTTTGGTCTTTTGTTATCTTAGATATGGTCTATCTTGGCATATATTCTGTGGGCACTTAAAAAAATGTTATTCTGGCTGGGTGCAGTGGCTCATGCCTGCAATCCCAGCACTTTGGGAGGCTGAGGTGGGTGGATCACCTGAGGTCAGGAGTTTGAGACCAGCCTGATCAACATGGTGAAACCTCATCTATACAAAAAATAAATAAATAAATAAATAAATAAATAAATAAATAAATAAATAATTAGCCAGGCATGGTGGTGTGTGCCTGTAATCTCAGCTACTCAGGAGGCTGAGGCAGGAGAATTGCTTGAACCTGGGAGGCAGAGGTTGCAATGAGCCGAGATTCTGCCATTGCACTCCAGTGTGGGCAATAAGAGTGAAACTCCATCTCAAAAAAAAAAAAAAAAAAAAAGTGTATTCTGCCATGGAATACTATGCAGCCATAAAAATAATGAGATCACGTCTTTTGCAGGGACATGGATGGAGCTGGAGGCCATTATCCTTAGCAAACTATTGCAGGTACAGAAAACCAAATACTGCATGTTCTCATAAGTGGGGGCTAAATGATGGACACATGGACACAGAGAGGAAAAACACATACTGGGGCCTATTGGAGGGTGGAGGTTGGGAGGAGCCAGAGGGTCAGGAAAAATAGCTAATGGGTACTAGACTTAATTCCTGGATGATGAAATAATCTGCACAACAAACCTCCATGACACTGTTTACCTATGTAACAGACCTGCACATGTACCCCTGAACTTAAAATAAAAGGAAAAAAAAGAAAAAAGAAAAAAGAAAATCTTGTGGAATCTACTAAAAGCAACGAAAAAGAAAATAATGTATCTTCTGTTGTTGGGTGGTGTGTTCTATAAATGTTGATTAGATCTTATGGTTTGATGTTGTTTATTCTTCTATGTTTTTTCTCAATTTTTGTCTATTTGTTTAATCAATTATTGAGAGAAAACTACTGAAGTCTTCAACTATCATTGTTGACTTGCCTATTTTCTTTTCAGTTCTATCAGTTTTTGCTTTACATAATTTGCAGCCCTGTTGTTTGGTGCATACATATTTAAGATTGCTATGTCTTTTTGGTAGATTTACCCTTTTATTATTACATAGTGTTCCTATCCATTTCTAGTAATTTTCTTTGTTCTAAGTTTATTTGATATTAATATAGCCTCCCTTTATTATTTTTTGCCTGATATATGTTTTTCTATCCTTTAACTTATAAACCGCCTATATCACTATATTTGAAGTGAGTTTATCATAAACAGCAAATAATTGAGTCTTTTTTTTTTTTTTTGAGACGGAGTCTCGCTCTGTTGCCCAGGCTGGAGTGCAGCGGTGTGAAGTGGTGTGATCTCAGCTCACTGCAACCTCCACCTCCCGGGTTCAAGAGATTCTCCTGCTTCAGCCTCCCGAGTAGCTGGGGCTACAGGCTTGTGCCACCACAGCTGGCTAATTTTTGTACCTTTAGTAAAGATGGAGTTTCACCATGTTAGCCAGGATGGTCATCTCCTGACCTTGTGATCCACCTGCCTTGGCCTCCCAAAGTGTTGGGATTACAGGCGTGAGCCACCGCACCCGACAGAGTCATATTTTTAAATCTATTCTGCCAAGCTCTGTCTCTTAAAATTGATGTATTTAGGCGATTTATATTTCCTATAATATTGTTATGTCCAGGCTTAAGTCTGACATTTTATTTTTTGTTTTCTGTTTGTTCTCTCTGTTTTTCATTTCTTTGTTTTCTTTTTCATTGCTTCCTAAATAATTTTAAAATTCCATTTTAATTTATCTATAGCTGTGTGTGTGTATGTGTGTGTACCTCTTTGGATAGCTCTTTTAGTGGTTGTTCTAGGTATTACATTATATTTATGTAACTTATTTATTGTCATTAATTACCAGTCTGAGTGATGTGTAGAAATTTCTTCTCTCTTTGTTTACCCTCCCTCATTTATAATTGCCTGTAATATTTTCTCTATATACATTTATAACCATATGATACAGTATTATACGTTTTTCTTCAATCCTATAATTTAAATAACTCAAGAGAAGAAGTAAAGTCCATTTTTTAACCCATATTTTTTCTTGCCATGTTCTTTCTTCCTTCCTGATGTTCCAACTGTCCTCAATTTAACTTTTTGTTTTTTTAGGGTAGACCTGTTAGTGACAAATTCTGTTAGTTTTCCCTCATCTCTGTATGTCTTAATTTCCCTGGATATTTTTGCTGATATAGTGTTCTAAGTTGATATTTTTTTTTCCTTTCAGCACTGGAAAAAGGTGGTGACCTCCTTCGGGCTTACACAGTTTCTGATGAAAATTTTGCTCTGTCATTTTTTCCACCTGTTAGATGTCATTTATCTCACTGCTTTCAAGATTCTTTTTGTCTTTAATTTTTAGTTAATTACTATGATTTTGGTGTGGCTTTCTTTGGGTTTGTCCTATTTGGGGTTCACTCACCTTCTTAAATCACTAGGTTTATGTCTTCTGCCAAATTTGGGAAGTTTTCAACCATATTTATTTGATAATTTTTTTCAGCTTCACTCTCTTTTTCCTCTCATTTTGGGACTCTGAGTACATGAACATTAAATCTTTTGTTATAGCCCCATGGGTCCCTGAGGCTTTGTCCATTTTTTCCAGTGTATTTTCTTTCTTTCTTTTGTTCAGATTGAGTGATTGCTATTGCTGTGTCTTCAAGGTAGCTAATTCTTTCCTCTGTTCTCTCCTTCTGCTGCTGAGCTTATTTACTGTGCTTTTTATTTTGGCTATTGCACTTTTCAGTTCTAAAATTTCCACGTTTTCTTCCGTATATATCCTATTTTTATGCTGAAACATCCTATTTTTTTCTTTTCTGCTCTTTTCTTCTTCTTTCTTTTTTTAAACCACTGAACTGGACATCCTATTTTTTTCATTCTTTTAAGTGTTAATTGCTCATCAAAGCATTTTAATAATGGTGGCTTTAAAATCTTCATCAGGCTTTTCTTTCCGTTTTGGCATCTATTTTATTGTCTTTTAAAAATTCAATTTGAGATATTCCTGGTTCCTGATATGACAAATAATTTCCAGTTGAAACTTGGACATTTCAGGCATTATGTTATAAGGCTATCGGTCTTATTTAAACTGTTTTAGCTGGCTTCTTTTAACACCTCTCCAGCAGGTAGGCAGGTGAGCTTCATGACGCCAGGTAGGGGTAGGAGTCCAGGCTTCTCACTCTGCCTTCATTGACACCTCAGATAGGTCCCCATTATTATGAGTGGGGACAGAAATTCTGGCTCCCTATTAGGTGCCCACTAATACCTCCCTGGTTGGTTGGGAGAGGAGTGCCACTTACTATCCCTCACATGACCTTTATTGACACCAAGATGGGACAGTGGAGTGGAGGAGTGAGTGGTAGGTATCAGGGAGTGGTTGCTGGATTAACTCTGGGTGGTGATGAAAATCCTGACTCTCCATTAGGCATTGTCTGACATCACCCTAGAGGAGAGGGGAAGAGATGCTTCATTACTGTTGGGTGAGGAATGGAAGTCTAGGTTTCCATTGACATTTCAGGGGCTTGGGGAAAGGAGTACATTTTCACCAAGAGGGCATGACCATCCTGACTCCCTATTCACTTTCTCTGACACCATCCTGGTGTGTGGGCATGTGTGTGTTGAAGTGTTGGGTTCCTTATGACAGCCTGGTGAGGGTGAAAGTCTAGGCTCCTCATTTGACCTTAGCTGGTGGGGGTGGAGTCGCAGTTTTTTCTGTGGTGTTTGGCTGGCCCCATTACCCAAGATGGAGTGTAGTGGTGCGATCATAGCTCACTGTAACCTCGAACTCCTGGGCTCAAGTGATCCTCCTGCCTCAGCCTTCAGAGTATCTAGGACTATGACACATCGAACTATGCCTGACTAATTTTATTATTATTATTCATAGAGACAGGGTCTCATTATGTTGCCCAGGGCTGGTCTTGAACTCCTGGCCTCAAGCGATCCTCCTGCCTGGCCTCCTTCCCAAAATTACTTTAAATGATATAATAGCTGACAGCTTGAATAGGTCCTCTTTATTTTGTTGGAGGCAGAGTGTTAGAAGTGACCTAACAAAAAGGATTTGTTTCTTGTCACTAGACTCATTCACTGTGTCAATGAGTGTGTCAGTGGTTTGTGGGAAGCAAACTTAAATGAAAATGTATATTTTTAATTAAATGTTATGAGATGCTTTTTTTTAACTATTGGCTCTTGTGAATTTCAGAAAAATATTGCAAGTCATTTGACTTAGCTACTTAGCTTGCACTCTATGTAAAAATTTTAGAATTTTACCTCTTTGAAAAACTCCTAATATCAATAGTGATATTGTTGTTTTGCAGCCTCAAATGATTTTGTTACTTTGGACTAATTTTCACTGAGCTAGTTAATAAGTGACTTTTTATTGTCTAAAAAATTCTTAAGTGTATCATAGAGAGAAAGATTATTGGGTCACTAAGTGGCTTTCTATATATATACCTTTGTCCATATTTAATTTTTGCAAAACTCAAATTAAGGTGGTAAACTTAGTGTGGATATACATTCATGTATTGTATTGATAAGATTAACTACATTTTAAAACTAAAGTGGAAAGTTTTAAACAAAATTGTCATTCAACTATGTATGTATTTCTGTAAAACACACACGTAATGATGAATTCGAATTAATAAGCAAAAAAGGAGAGGATTTGTAATTTAAAATTGATCTTGGAATATACACTCTACACTTAAAGACAGAGAAAAAACTTTTTCTTTCCCTTTAGCATAATCTGCCCAGCTAGCGGTGGTTTCTTATCAGAATGCTCTCACTTAATACCTTGATAACTTTTAGTGCTTTGTGCTGATAGCATCAAGTTTTTAAATTATTTTAAAAACAAACAACAACAAAAAACCATTTGCTTCTGAAACACCTAAAGTTTCTTATAATTGTTACCTTCTTTATGTTTATTTTCAAATGTTTTATTGTCACTCTGGTTATTGAGATATCAAAGTTATAACAATTGCTCACTCTCAGGTACCTATGCACTTAAGTGACCAGTTTCTCTGAAAATTCTTTTTTGTTGTTGCCTTCTTCCAACCTCATACCCTGAATTCAGAATACTAACACTGTCAAGCTATTTTTCACGCCCCCAAATCTTTGTTTTTTCTCACTAGACAGCCACTACCCATTTGGCCACTAGGTGGCGCAAAAGGCTTAATTTTTCACCTTCCTCCGCCTACTGTTGAAGGAAGCTAAAAGTAATTAGATGTGTTTGGCATGATTTTTATATTTTAAATTAACGCTGTACTATCAAAAGAACTACCTGTGTCTCAAACCCACAATGTGGTAAAAGCTGACAAATAAAAAACAGTAGCTCAATTTTCTAGATTAATTTTGTCCAGGTTAAAAATATTATTGATATATGTTTTAGTGACCACATAGGTTTCAGTAAGGGTAAAAGGATGCTCTTGTTCGTACTCCAAGTCTGGCATGGTGACTGTCAATACATTCATTTTGAAGAAGATTTTGCTTCTGGGTTTAGCCCTAAAACAGGCCAAATAGAGACGATAAAATGAGTGGAACTGAATTAGAGCATTTCTGAAAAGTTTTATTTGGTTAATTCTGCCCCTTAAGGTCAGAAATTGTGTAGGAAAAGTGTTTCAAAATTATAAATAAGGCAAAATTGTACGTGCTTGATTATTTTATATCACACTTGAACCTTTGCTCATAATTCTGCCTTATCAAAACCAGAGTGTTTCAGGGATTGTAATTTGCCTAAGACGAACCCGGCCAGCCCTGTGCGATTAGAGGTTAATCAGCAGAGAGCTGATAAGGGATGCTGGCTTTCTCTTTTTCTCCGGTAAAGAAGATAACACCAAGGTTATGATTTTATTGCCCTCTAGCACGTTAGCCATTTTGAATCTCTAGCCTAGAAATTATTTCCTCACAGAGAGATACAGCTCTGTTTTTCAAATACTCTTTGGATCAAGGCTCTTGTATTCTTGCTGGTTCCCTCTTTGAGTTTGATAAAACTTTGAAAAGTCTACCAAAGAAATTTCTCTCAGAACTAGACTTTAGAGAGGAAATGCTGGAACTACGGATGAGAGGCACATGTATGTACAGGGTCAGACCACGCAGAGAGCAGGTCTGATGAGCCACACCACTGCTGCTGCCCCATGGCTTCTAGACGCTGCTGTTGGTTCTGTTGTTAGGACCTGGAGGTTGCTGCAGCCACCACTGAAGACACCTCCTAAACCACTTCTGTTTCAGGAACTTCACTTAAAAAAAAAAAAAAAAAAAGGAAAAAACCCACCGCTTCCCCAAAAGACAGTTGCTTCTTCTGTCACCTTTGCCAGAGAAATAAATACAGTAAAAGGTGCTCTGCAACCCCCACACCCTGGTTCCTCCTGTGGCCCCTTTGTAACTGAAGTCTTAGGTGGATGAATTTAATTGGTGGAACTTAGGTGCTCTAGCTTCAAAGAAGGCTAGGGGAAGTGAGCTTTCTGGTTTCCACTTTAGGGAGGCAGGACTCAAAAGGTAGGGGAAATTTCACAGTACTCTAAAGGTGTTCAAATCCCATGGGCAGCCAGTAAACATCACAGGTGTGAGGTGCTGGGTGGAGTGGCTGCCGTGAATATGTGTTTTGGTTCATGGACTACATCAGTGGCTCTTAAAGTCCAGTAATTCACAGTTTCATGAGAGATAATAAAATGATTATTTTTGTTTTAAGCCATTAAGTTTGGAGTTGGTGTGCTGCCCAGCAATAGATAATGGAAACATACAGTATGTATTTCTGCAAGTCTGGCTTCTTCACTTAATATTGTTTCTATGAGATTCGTCCATGTTGTTACATTTTCAGTAGTTGATGAAGTTTCATTGTTTACATAGTACTGTGTTGCACGAATAGACTACGTTTTGTTTATCCATTTACTGTTGAAGAACCATTTTGTTAAACAATTTGAGAGTAATCTGTGGAAATTATGCCACTTGACCCCTAAATATTTTGTCATGTATAATTTAAGAATAAGGACATTTCTCCTGCAAAACCCTAATACTGTCATCACCCCCAAGATACTTAAAATTGATACCATATTATCAAACACACAATCCATATTAAAAAATCCCCCATTGTCCCAGTAACACCTTATAGTAAATGTCTGTTATTTTAAGCGGGTGTCATTCATTACATGGCAATAGGTAACTAATACGGTGAGTCTGCTTCTTCCAGCAAGGACCCTCAGGGGGTGCGGTGATTCATAGTTCTCACTCAGACTTCTCTGTGTCTGCTCATATGTCCCTATTTCATATCTCAGGGTCCGGTCTATCCCAACCAGGGGTCTTGCCTTATCACAACAGCTGCTGTTGGATGATGCAACAAACATTTCTACAACTTCATAACCTTTATCATAAGCCCCCGGGCTTGACCCTCAGCCATATCTGTGCTGGGTTGCAGGAGAAAAGATAGCCTTTAAAACTGCTATAGAGGCATTTACAGTTTTTCATTCATGTCTTGAGTTTGGATTAAAGGCTTTTAATTTGTCTTTTTTCCTTTGTATGCTCTTGAGGGCAGTCTGACGCAGCCAGTCTCTGAAGGTTGGCACAAAAGCCTCCATCGAGTCACCCAGCTTTTGCCTGGTACCTATCCTAACCTAAAACCTTGCCACATGTTACCTTGGCGAAAGGCCAGTGCCACACTTCAGTGATGATTTGGCTGTCCTACTTGGTTAGAACCGAGTTCACTTCCTTCCTCAACACTCCTGCCACATTGATCTGGAAGTTTCACCTTGAGCCAAGTGATAGTTAATTTTATGTGTTAACTTGGCTAGGCTATGGTTTCTAGACATTTGAATACCAGTCTAGATATTGCAGTGAAGGTATTTTTTAGATGAGATTTACATTTAAATCAATAGATTTTGGGTAAAGCAGATTACCCTCCATAATGTAAGTGGCCCTTCCAATCAGTTGAAGGTCTTAGGGGCAAAGACTGATGTCCTCCAAGGAAGAGGGAATTCTGCCTCTGGACCACCTTCAGACTCAAGCCGCAACATCAGCTCTTCCCGGGTCTCCAGCCTACCTGCAGATTTCGACCGTGCCAGCTTCCACAGTAGTATGAGCCAATTACTTAAAATAAATCTCTCTCTGCCAACATCCTATTGGTTCTGCTTCTCTGGAGAATCCCGACTCATACAAGCCACTTTCTATAGAAGGCTGTTTCTTCGAGAAATCCACCCTCTTCTATGTCAACAGAGTTTAGAATCTCCATACTTTATCTCTTCATTTTTGAGAACATAAATTCTGTATTACACATACTTATACTATACTATATATGAAACTTTCATAAACATTGCTGGGCAAAGTTGAATATTGCTGAACCAATTTCCGATGCTTCTGAATAAGTTCAATGGAGTTAAAACATTTTTCTTCTTACATGGTATGTCCAGTGCCCCAGAGCCAGCAGAGTTAAGAACTTGGTAAGGAAGACCAAAGATAATCCATATATTCTAGTTTGTTATATAATATAAAACATGTTTATTAGACTCTAAAAGACATAAAAAGAAAATAATACATATGTATCAGTGAGAGAGGTGCAAATTAGGAAGAGAACTAAGGATTATTCTTAATTCCTGCCTTCCTTTCTAAATCCCAATCCTCAATTGAACTCTTTAATTATATTTCCTGTTTATTTTGTTGAATGGAAAAAATGGAAAATTATCTAACATTTGTCATGGAAATATAGGAGAAATTACTCTCAGAGATATGATGTTATTTAAGTCATTGACATATTGTTAACCTCAGATGCAAATGGTGGAATTAATAATATTCCTCAGTTCATGGTACATAGTCACTGTTGGTCTAGTGCTAGTTTGTAGTTGTATTTGTATTTTTTATTTTTTAGAAATACGGTCTTCCTTTGTCACCCAGGCTGGAGTGCAGTGGTGTGATCACAGCTCACAATAAGCTCAAACTCCTGGGCTCAAGCAATCTTCCTGCCTTGGCCTCCCAAGTAGGTAGGACTACAGGTGCATGCCACCATGCCAGCTAATTAAAATGTTTTAAATTTATTTTTGGTAAATGGGGTCTTGTTATGTTGCCCATAGGCTTTAGTGCTATGATAAGCTAGTAATTATAGTGAACATTCTTGTCTTGGATACCCAAGGTTTTTCCGTTATGTATACTAGTGGTTACAGATTTTTTGGATTATAACCTTTGCCAAAATAGGAAAGTTTTGATTCCTGCTTCCTTAACTGTTTTTCAAAAATCACAAATGGATATACTTTACCAAATGTCTTTTATTAATAGACTGAGCAAAGGAAATGACTTCTCTATGAATATGGTAAATTATAGCAACAATATGTTTTATTATATTGAACCACCCTAGTATTCCAAGGATTCCCTATTTGATCTTGATGTATCATTATTAGCATAATCATTATTATTATTGTTATTATTATACATATTTTTAGAGACAGGGCCTTGCTCTGTTGCACAGGCCGAAATGCAGTGGTGCAATCATAGCTTACTGCAGCCTCAAACTCCTGGGCTCAAATGATCTTCCTGCCTCAGCCTCCCTAGTAGCTGAGACTACAGGTGCTCACCACCACACCTGGCTAATTTTTTAATTTTTTGTAGAGACAGGATCTCAGTATGTTGACAATGCTGGTCTTGAACTCCTGGCCTCAGGCGATCCTCCCACCTCGGCCTCCCAGTATTATTATTTGTAATATTGTTGAATTCGGTTCATAAATAATTATTTTTTTCTCCCATCTGTGTTCAAGGTGAAATGGGTCTATTATTTTTTTTCCTTGAGTTTTCCACAACTCAATTTGGAGTCAAGATTACACTCGGCTGATAAAATTAGCTAATCAGGTTTAGTTTTTTTCTATTTTCTGGAAAAAGTATATAATATAGAAGTTTCATGTTCCTTGAATGTTTGATAGAACTCATCTGTGAAACCATCTGGGCATTTTCAAAAATATATTTTTTTATTAGATGCCATTGATAACTTTAAAAATTGCTTTAATACTCATTGGTATAGTCAAGTTTTGTATTTCTTTTTGTGCTAATTTTGATAGATTAAATGTTTCTAGGAATTTGCATATCTCACCTAGGTTTTCAAATTTATTAGCATATACTTGTTCATAACACTCTATGCTTTATATCTGTGTCATATCTGTAGCTGTTCCCCCTTTTTCATTATGTATTTGTTTATTCATTTTTTCTCCCTTTATCCATAATCGGCCTTGTTGTAACTCTGAATATCTTACAAATATTTTTAAGTAAGCAGCTTTTGGAATCAAAAGTATGTTAATTTTCACTACCTAGTTTTTTGTTCTCTATTTCTGTTTCATTGCTTTCTATTCTTATCTTTATAACTCCTTTTCTTCGTATTTCTTTAGGTTTGCTCAACTTCTCTTTTTCCAAATTTTTGAGTAGAATTTTTAGGTCCTTTATTTTAACTTTTCTTGTTCTAATAAATGTATTTGAAATTATAATATTATTTTATATGTATATTTTATGTGTAACATTTTTAACACCTGGTTCTAAAAGAGTTAATTTTCTTTATAACTGCTGTTTATTTATTTGACACAGGGTCCCACTCTATTGCTGAGGCTGGAGTGCAGTGACGCAATCATGCCTCACTGCAGCCTCCATCTTCTGGACTCCAGCGATGCTCCCATCCACGACTGCCTTTTAAATCCATGTTACTGATAAATATATTTGTTCACTTACAATTTTAAGTATATTTTAGTTATCAAGTTCTAATTTTATTACAGTATGGTTGCAGAATATAGTTTCTTTCTTTCTTTCTTTCTTTCTTTTTTTTTTTTTTTTTTAAGACAGTGTCTTACTCTGTTGCCCAGGCTGGAGGGCAGTGGCACAATCTCAGCTCACTGCAACCTCTGCCTCCTGGGTTCAAGCGATCCTCCCATCTAGCCTTCTGACTAGTTGGGATTACAGGTGCACCCCATCCAGCTAAATTTTTTGTAGAGACGGGGTTTTGCCATGTTGCCCAGGCTGGTCTCAAACTCCTGGGCTCTAGGGATCTGCCCACCTTGACCTCCCAAAATGTTGGGATTACAGGCGTGAGCCACTGCTCCTGGCCTAGAATATAGATAGTTTCTAAGATACCGATACTCTGGAATTTATTGGCGTTACCTTTATGGAATGATGCATGTCCTATTTGAGTAAATGTTCTGTGTGGCTTGAACTATTATATATAATTTTTGGTTTTCTGGCAACTTTTAAAAAATGAATTTTATGAATCTTGTACCTCATTTTATTTCCTTCTTTGCTTTCACTATCCTATGGCCCGGAGCCAATTATTTTTTATCTATTTATAGTTGGCTGATAAATATGTGTCCTGTTAAACCGGCTCTCTGAAGAAAAACAATGCTTCTGACTTGTAGCATTGCTGATTTCTATAGTATAAATACTTCCATAGTGGTCAATATCAAGTTACCAATAGTTAACAACTGTCTTCAAAAATCCTGAATACTTTGCAATCTGCTCTTGCTAGCCAGTATAAGACAGCGCACCACTTTTTTTTTTTTTAAGATATTCACGTTGTCCATTAGTTTCCATTAGTTTCACTCCTTGGCTTCACTTACTTTTCTTAACCATATTTTCTCTTTGACCCAGTGTTGTTTTCTTCTTTTAAAAATTGTTTTAAATTATCTCTGTAAGCTGCTACAAACCTTTTATTGGAATGAAGGGCATTAGAACAGTTATTTGGCCAATACAGAAAAATGAAGTCTTCTAATTTTTTTTTTTTTTTTTTTTTTTGAGATGGAATTTCTCTCTTGTCGCCCAGGTGGAGTGCAATGGCGCAATCTTGGCTCACTGCCACCTTTGCCTCCCGGGTTCAAGCGATTCTCCCTGCCTCAGCCTCCCGAGTAGCTGGGATTACAGGCACCACGCCCAGCTAATTTTTGTATTTTAAGTAGAGATGAGGTTTCACCATGTTGGCCAGACTGGTCACGAACTCCTGACCTCAGGTGAACCACCCGCCTTGGCCTCCCAAAGTGCTGGAATTACAGGCATGAGCCACCGCGCCTGGCCGAAGTCTTCTAATTTTAAAAGATCTAATCTTCATTCAGTTCTCAAAGTCTTTGCTGTGCCCTTAAGGCATGTCACACGCATGTGCAGCTCAGGGGTAACCTGGTACTCCTGAGGGTTCAGACTCAGAATTAGGGAATTTCCGCCTGTACTCTCAGTTTGGAGATTCCCCTACACATTCCTGCCTGCAGGGGCCCTTTTTCTTCATTCCTCTGGCCAGAAAGCCGGTATTTCTCTTGTTAACTCAGGGCTTGTGCTACCACGCAGTGCAGCTCTGCACCTGAGGCCTGACGTCAGGGCAGAGCTGGGAGGAAAAAAGGGGAAAACATTGAAAACCCACTCCCCAGGAGGGGCCCCTCTCCCAGTTTTGACCCTCTTCACAATCCACCTGCTTTTGTTTACTTTTTGGAGTCCTTGAGTACTTGCTTTTTGTATACTGCCCAGAATTTCTACTTGTGATCAGTGGGAAAAATGGGCTATTTAAAATCTCAAATAAGTTAAATATCATGGCTAGAAACAACTCCAGGCATTTGTAATTTTAGATTTTTTTCTTTACACTCCAGGGGGATGTGATTGTTTTAGAGTTTTGAATTCGTATGTTTAGCCTGAGATCCTACTAGTATTTCTGTTGAATATGCCTGTTGACTGCCCACTTGTTAGCAAAATGGCATTGAATGTTGGAACTGTAAACTACCTTAGAAATCATTCAGCACCATCTTTTGACAGAAAAGGATATGAGAGTTCACTCCTGTCACTCAGGAAGTGCAAGGCAAAGATAGAAGCAGAATTAAATTTGTTTTAATACAGTTACTCAGCCATCTGGTAACAGTTTCCTAAGTGCCAACGAATGTATGGGGCTATTTATTGCAGATTTTAAGATGATATATGGGGATTGAGGGAATGAGAAGTTTTAGGGAGTGGTAGAGGAAGGGCATATAATAAGACTGAATCCCAGATCCCAGCCTCAGAACTTATTTTGTGACCTTGGTCAAGTGATTTAATCTTTCCAAACCTCTATGTGTCCTATAGAAGTAATAATACTACCTATATAGGGTTGGGTGTTTTTGTTTGTTTGTTTTTTCTTTTTCTTTTCTTTTTTTTTTCTTAAGATAGGGTCTTTCTCTGTCACCCACACTAGAGTGCAGTGGCGCAATCACAGCTCACTGTAGCCTCAAACTCCCAGGCCTAAGCGATCCTCCCACTCAGCCTCCCAGGCAGCTGGGACTACAGGCATGCACCACCGCACCCGACTAATTTTTAAATTTTTTTGTAGAGATGGGGTTCTCACTATGTTGCCCAGGCTGGTCACTAACTCCTGGGCTCAAGCAATCCTCCCGCCTTGACCTCCCAAAGTGCTGGGATTACAGGTGTGAATACAGGGGGTTTTTTGGTTTGAATTTTAAGAGATAAAATTTATAAAACATTTAGCCAATGCCACAAATGTAGCTTCTTTTGGTTATTGTCATTATTCTTTGAAATTCACAAGTGCCCCAAAATATTTAAGCATTTTTCATGTATTGCCCTTTAATATGAATGAATGCATTATGAAAGGAATTCTTTTACATGCGAGTTTGCTGATAGTCTTAGCTAATTCTCATGTGTGTAGGTGTCTTGCCTATCTGTCAGTCTTAGCCTTAAAGGAAAGAGTCCCATCACCTCACTTGCGGCCTCATCATCATGGACCGCATGATGATGCGGAATGAGAATTTTTATTGTTTGTACTACAAAATCATTCAGTACGTGATCACCTGTCATGTATAGGGCTCTTTATATTTCTAGTTTAGTCCCTTTTGTTTTCTCTAGGAAAGATGTTTTAGACCTGGGACAAAAGAAGAAAGAGTGTATGCTGACATCTAGGAGGGAAGCACCCACCTCCCCTAAGCTCCATCTCCCTGAGCACTCATTTCCCAATGACCATACCAGGTTTTGGCCCTAGAGAGTTTATTACAAAATAAGAAAGAGAAGTCTGGGGAAGGTTCACTCATCATAGAATTTTGGCAGTTCATTGCCCAAGATGACTCGATGGTCCACACCGGCAGCTGTAATAGTGACCAGGTAGATGACACCCCCGCTTGAGCCATCCCGGCTCATGGCCAGAGCAATAGCTGCAGAGGGTTTCAAGTTGGAGAGAGGGAGAGAGAGGATGGCTTAGCTTCAAAAATCTTTTTACTCCCCCTCCATCCATATGCCTACTACCACTTTCACCTCAAAACTCATCTTCCAGGAAGGCATATTTAGTGGTGTGCTGGTAAATCAGTTTTTTTACAAAAAGGCTTCCATATGTGGCATCTGCTGATGTCCATGGTGTAAATGCTCCCGCTATGATGAATTGCAAGTTACAAATAGCTAAGCAGTTCACAAATCCTTGACTATTTAACAGTCCGCTCTCATGAGTGGTCCCAAGCCAGCCTCAGCACACCTCAGCACACCACTGGTTCTTTTTTTTTTTTTTTTTTCTCCAGACAGGGTCTCTCTCTGTCACCTAGGCTGCAGCGCAGTGGTGCAATCACCGCTCACTACAGCCTTGATCTCCCCGGCTCAGATGATCTTTCCACCTCAGCCTCCTGAGTAGCTGGGACTACAGGTGTGCACCACTATGCCCAGTTCATTTTTTTTTTACTTTTTTTTATTGTTTTTTGTGGAGACAGGGTTTCACCATCTTGCCTAGGCTGGCCTCAAACTCCTGGGCTCAAGTAATCCTCCTGCCTCAGCCTCCCAAATTGTTGGCATTACAGGTGTGAGCCACTGTGCTTAGCACACCACTGGTTCTCACAGTGACTGTGTATCCTCATTTGATTTACTCAGAACAGCCCTGGTTTATCCGTATTGCCCAAGAGCCCCATTGAGCTTTGCATTTGTCCTGCCCCTTTTCACTCTTAAAAGTGTACCAGGCCCGGCATTAACTTAAATGGCCACCCCTGTATTTCTCTTCCTGTTCCTCATAATCTACTTCCTTCCCATGTTTCAAAGCCCTCCCCAGGTACCCTTCCACTTGGCTGGTTACCGTCTGTGGTGAAGCGCCTGCACTCCTCGGGAGACATGCCTGGCTTATATGCTGCATCCACATAACCATAGATAAAGGTGCTGCCGGAGCCACCAATGGCAAAAGGCTGTCGAGTCAGCATTCCTCCCAGGGTTCCATATACCTGGGAAAGGGATCCTCAGGTTAAAGAATCATCAAGCCCTTCCTTCCCACTGAGACATTAAGTGGTCTCTGCACCCTGCAATGAAGCCCTGGTATCTCATATCCCCAAAGTACTATGCTTTCAGAGGTAGTGTCCTTGGAACTCATTGCTAGAATGACATAGGACTTCCATCTTCCTCTGCAGGAGAGTGGGGAAGCCCAGAGGAGAGAGTGCTTTGGGAGAAACTCACCTGACCTCCTTCACGTTGGTCCCAGCCAGCTACCATGAGATGTGCAGACAAGTCCTCTCGATATTTATAGCTGATATTTCTCACCACATTTGCAGCAGCCAAAACAAGTGGAGGTTCCTCCAGTTCTATCCTGAGGGAAATATTAGGAATAAAGGTTGATAGAATTTTAAGTCTCATTCTCCTATACTGTTACCATCATCCCTGCTAAACGACCCCTGAAAACTGTAACTGCAATAGCTCAAACTGCAGCCTCCCTCCCACATGTACAGGGGAACCAGAGTCCCACACCACCAACTGGTAAGAAGCTTTCAATTGCTCACTCTTTTGCTCAGCCCCACCCACATAACTTTCTTTTGGCTGCAAGGACCCTGCTCTTATGGGGAAAAGCAGATAAGGTTACTTCCATCCCAACGACCTTGATTTCTCGTATGGTAACTGCCTGATATTATGGTGGGTCACAATATCACCTTCTTCCTGATTATTTATATCAGGATAGTGATTTACAGCTTTTAAACTGTGTTCACATATAGAACGTGGTTCTCAAAATAACCGTCTCATGAGGTGCTATATTATCTCCACTTTACAGATGCAGAAACTGACAGATTCAAGTGCCAGCAAGAGCCGAAACAAGACTTTTCCATTTCCCAGTGTCCAGCTCCTGGAACAGCACACTGTACAGGGATTCATGCAGGTTGGGGGAGCTCTAGTGGGTGGGGAGTCAGAACTCCAGAGCTTCATACCCATGGAGCTCCAGCTGGTAGGCGGCCATGTCGGCCACGGCTTGGGCATCAGCAGCTGAACCAGAGAGTGCACAGTAGATGTGCTCGTGCAGCGGGGACAGCTTGTCAAACACTCGGTTCACCACCGCCTCGCTGTCAGGAGGGAGTCAACAGTCACCAAGTTAAAACTCAGGTTTGCTTTTTTTTTTTTTTTTTTGAGACAGTCTCACTCTGTCACCCAGGCTGGAGTGCAGTGGATCAATCTTGGGCTCACTGCAAACTTCGCCTCCCTGGTTCAAGTGATTCTCCTGCCTCAGCCTCCCGAATAGCTGGGATTACAGGCACCCACCACCAAGCCCAGCTAATGTTTGTATTTTCAGTAGAGACAAGGTCCCAACATGTTGGCCAGGCTGGTCTCAAACTCCTGACCTCAAATATCTGCCCACCTCGGCATCCCAAAGTGCTGAGATTATAGATGTGAGCCACTGCACCCAACCAGAACTCAGGAATTTTTGAGGGTGATCATTCAATGTCTCTCAAATTTCTTTGACAAGAGAATAGCATGAAGTTTAATGCTTGGATTAAAGCAGGAGGCAAATAATCATCTCAGATATTATTAATCACTGCAGATGTTAATCAAAATTAGGCTTATTTTTCAGGCTTAGATTTTATAACAAAGCAAAAAATGCTAAGGTAAGAAAAATATGCCTCATCAATTTTCTTTGCTATTAACAATCTTGAGAGAGTTATGTTCTATGGAACATAATGTCAGTAATATTGACCTAACCCCATATACTCATTTTGCATGTGAGGAAATTGGTTAGGAGTGGGAGAAGAGACAAAATAGTTCAATATATGGTAAATGAGAAACCAGATATCTGCTTGACAGAATCATCTTTTTGATCCCTAAGCACAGATGGAAAGAAGACCCTCAAAAATCTATCTCCTGTCCCCCTCTCAGACCCTATTCCTTTACTCATCCCTGTACACTACTGGGACAGGTCACATACACATTCAGACCCCAGATCCTCCTCCACAAATTCAGAGACCCAAGCACCCACCAAATAGCTTATCATAGTGGCTTTTGGGGAAGGTCAACTCCATTCCTCCAAGGCTCCAGTTTGCCAGTCTTTTCATGAATGGGTAAGGAAAGTGTGTATTTGAGGCCATTAGCTTCTTTCCAAATGCATACATCTTCACTTTTACTCACCCTGCAGACACTCGGGAATCAGAACCCATCACAACGCCCCCGTCAAACTCCACTGCCATGATGGTGGTCTGCAGAGACACAGAATATGGAATGTCAGGGCAAGAACAGCCTTGATGCCCTCATGTTAGAGAAGAAGAAACATTCCCAGAGAGGCGAAGTGACTGGCTCAAAGATTACACAGTAACAGGCCAGAGCTGACTGTCAGTACAGGCTTTTTTTCCCTTCATCTTTCCACTTTCTCTATTGCTTCATCCGGCTGCAGGGGAATGCCACAGCCCAGCTGTGATACAACACAGAAAGAACTGTGTCCCTAAGTTCCAACTTGCCTAGTGGAATCCTCTCCACTGTAGAGAGGTGGAGATGAGGCTCCTACAGGTAGAAGTGAAGCAGCTCCGCAAGTGAAAATTATCTCCAACGGAAGGGCTCATAGTATGTGCAGATGTGGTGTAGACCCAACACAGAGTAATTGACTATGATCTTGGGAAACAAGGTCAGTCTATTTTTTTTTTTTTGGTCCACAATCCTCCACTCTCACCCCCCATTTCATCAGAAGTGAGCTCTTCCAATTTACTGAACATTGGAAAAAATCGAGGAGGGCAGTGGTTAGCATGGCCAGGGGCAAGGCAGGAGAGAAGCAGCAAGGAACACATACAGATGGTTGAAAATAAAAGTTTCAGTTATGGAATTTCCGATCAAGAGGTAAATACATATCTCAGCAGCCAGGGGGGTAAATTTGTACCAAGAGATAATTTGACTGAGAAGTTTAAGCTGACTTTTCCAGGTCAAGAAAAGAATCAAGAAGAAGTGAGGGAAGATAAAGCTACATTTATTCTACTATTGAGTTGGAAGGAGCCTTAAAGATCCTCGGTTCAAATGAGGAAACCAAGTCACAGAAAATGCAAACGACTTATGCAAAGTCACACAGAGTTAATAGTAGACCTGGGACTAAAATTCAGGTCTAACTCTTATCCCTTGTTTCCACTTCTACTTCCTACTTGCCACTGCTCTTTTGGCAGTGAGGGGAGATTTCCCAAATTATAAGTGGTTTCACTGTGTCTTTCTTACCAGGCCGTAAATTACTCTGGCCCCAAAGGACGCTCCTCTGAGTATGCTTTCCGACGGACAGACTTATCATGAATAGAGGGTCAAAGAACAGGGTTAACTTCAAGTTAGAGGCTATTCCTCTCTAACAAAGCCGCCCCCAAGCCACGAGTGGTGGCAGTAGTCCAGAGCAGAAGCCAGCCAGCCAGTCTTGGGGCTGCCATCTGCCCCAGGCGCCCATCCTAAGCAAAGTCCCCCCAGTGGGCACATGGGAGTGGGCAGGGAAGACACAGGGAAGGGAGTAAGGCAGCATCTGGGCCAAGGAGAGGCCTTCCTGGGTCAAGCTAGGGAAGGGCATCACTAGTTAACACAGAACGCCCATTATCAGTGCTTGGGCTAAGAGTTGCCCAGTGGCAAGTTTATCAAAAGTCTGTGTGATGAGTTGGTCCTTCTCAATAAGTGCCTATATTTCCTTCTCCCAAGTGCTGTTCTACTTCACCCAGGGCACCATTTCCTCATCTCTTTGCACCATCCCCAACCCCCTTTCTTGATTTAACCAGCCCCCACTGTCCGGGACCAGAGTGAAAGCGAAAGCGCTTTAGAGTAGCTTCCCGTTGACGCTTCCAGCTAAGAGTCAAAGCACCCCCTTTTTCCACCAGCCTCGCGTGCCTGGTCCCTTCACGGACACTCTAGACGACCCCCCTCAGAAAAGAAATACTCTATGCTCATTGCGGGTTGCAAGCGCTGGCTGCTACAGGCGACCTCCCTGCGCTCCCGTTGGTCTCTGCATTCACTTCTCCGCGCGCGCTTCCAGGGTCCCCTGGCCGCTGCATCTCCTCCACCCCTCTGCCAACCCTCAAGCCCAGACCCATTACCCCGGTGTGGACTTCTCCCGCCCGGGGTAAGTCCCCGGTTGGTGCTCCCGCCCGCAGCATCCCTGCAAGGCACCGCTCTCCTCGCCGCCTGGGGCACTGGTTTCCAACCTGGGACAGCGCACAACGCGCAGCCGACAGCCCCGCCCCTTCGCGGCGCCGCCAGGAGGCGCCTGGGTGCTGCGGGGCTGCTTTGCGCGCGGCGCTAACTTGTGTAGGGCAGATCTGCCCCGAGACAAGTGACGAGGCAGCCCCGCCCTGAGGCTGGGGTGGGAAAACTGGTGCAAGTGGAAAGGCAGGAGGCAGGGAGAGGCGAGAAGGGTGTGCGTGATGGAGAAAATTGGGCACCAGGGCTGCTCCCGAGATTCTCAGATCTGATTTCCACGCTTGCTACCAAAATAGTCTGGGCAGGCCACTTTTGGAAGTAGGCGTTATCTAGTGAGCAGGCGGCCGCTTTCGATTTCGCTTTCCCCTAAATGGCTGAGCTTCTCGCCAGCGCAGGATCAGCCTGTTCCTGGGACTTTCCGAGAGCCCCGCCCTCGTTCCCTCCCCCAGCCGCCAGTAGGGGAGGACTCGGCGGTACCCGGAGCTTCAGGCCCCACCGGGGCGCGGAGAGTCCCAGGCCCGGCCGGGACCGGGACGGCGTCCGAGTGCCAATGGCTAGCTCTAGGTGTCCCGCTCCCCGCGGGTGCCGCTGCCTCCCCGGAGCTTCTCTCGCATGGCTGGGGACAGTACTGCTACTTCTCGCCGACTGGGTGCTGCTCCGGACCGCGCTGCCCCGCATATTCTCCCTGCTGGTGCCCACCGCGCTGCCACTGCTCCGGGTCTGGGCGGTGGGCCTGAGCCGCTGGGCCGTGCTCTGGCTGGGGGCCTGCGGGGTCCTCAGGGCAACGGGTGGCTCCAAGAGCGAAAACGCAGGTGCCCAGGGCTGGCTGGCTGCTTTGAAGCCATTAGCTGCGGCACTGGGCTTGGCCCTGCCGGGACTTGCCTTGTTCCGAGAGCTGATCTCATGGGGAGCCCCCGGGTCCGCGGATAGCACCAGGCTACTGCACTGGGGAAGTCACCCTACCGCCTTCGTTGTCAGTTATGCAGCGGCACTGCCCGCAGCAGCCCTGTGGCACAAACTCGGGAGCCTCTGGGTGCCCGGCGGTCAGGGCGGCTCTGGAAACCCTGTGCGTCGGCTTCTAGGCTGCCTGGGCTCGGAGACGCGCCGCCTCTCGCTGTTCCTGGTCCTGGTGGTCCTCTCCTCTCTTGGTAAGGGGAACGCAGGGCAAGAGGGGAGGACACAAGGGGACTGGGACAGGAATCAAAGGTAATTGTCAGTAAGGTAGAGTAGCGTGGGTTCTGGGAAATGTGGAGCAGGAGAAGGACTCCTAGCGTGGGTCTTGGAACACCACTTCGGTGTAGAAGAAACGGCACTGGACTGGCGGGGGCCAGAGGTTCTGGGCTCCATTGCTGACCGGGTCTTGATTCTTTGGGCCACGCCGGAAGCGGGGAAATCCTTTGCTCTGGGGCCGAAGGGCGGGGCATCCTCATCTCTAACAGGAGGCTTTTCTACTTCATGATCTCCAGCCTTCCTAATAAAATCCTGAAAGTTCTGGTAGAGCAACCACAGGGTAGTGAGTTCCAGGGCAGCCTATTTAGGTTCGGGATTGAGACGTCAGTGTTTCCTTTCTGCTGATGCCCTCCAGGATAATGGTGAGGGGGAGGAGGCGTGGTGGGGCCAGTCTGACTGGAACTGACCTACTTAGACTTAATATTTGTGCGTGACCTCTCTTCTCTTTCTCCAGGGGAGATGGCCATTCCATTCTTTACGGGCCGCCTCACTGACTGGATTCTACAAGATGGCTCAGCCGATACCTTCACTCGAAACTTAACTCTCATGTCCATTCTCACCATAGCCAGGTCTGGGGGCTGAAAATGGGGCACCCTGCAAATGAGGGAGTTGGAAGTTGGGGCTGCTGTCCGAAATGCACTTATATGGGGATACCTGGGACCTTCAGTCTGTTCCCTGAACACACCCTGATCCCCTTTTTTTCCGGGTTCTTTATAGTGCAGTGCTGGAGTTCGTGGGTGACGGGATCTATAACAACACCATGGGCCACGTGCACAGCCACTTGCAGGGAGAGGTGTTTGGGGCTGTCCTGCGCCAGGAGACGGAGTTTTTCCAACAGAACCAGACAGGTTTCTCCTGAAACTCTTTCATTATACGCCATGTACTGTTCATATCCTCATACATCTGCTTTGATCTCCCCCCTCCCCGCTCTCTCTCTCTCACACACACATACACACATTGTTCCTTCTCATTCTTGATATACCCTCTCCCTGTCTCTCTCTCTCTGTCTCTGTCTCTCTCTCTCTCTCTCTCTCACACACACACACACACAATTGTTTTTCTCATTCTTGATATACCTCAGGAGCAAAATATTGTCCTCCTTACCTTAAGAAAAACCTAGAGTTTTCATCTAGCATTTTCTTATAAATCTATTCCTATGTATCCTTAGATAGAAACCATAGAATTTCAAACCTGGAAATTTTGAGCTCATAGAGACCAACTGCCTCATCTGACAGAGAAGGAAACTGAGGCCAAGACCCTAAATGCTGAAACTGCACAGTTACATATGGCTAGAGACACACTTGGGGTTAGAACCCTGGTCTCTTGAGTGCTCCACAGACTTCGGCATGCTTTCTAGCAGCACTAGAAGCTGTACAGTTACATATGGCTAGAGATAGACCTGGGGTTAGAACCCTAGTCCCAGTGAGTGCTCCACAGACTTTGGCATGCTTCCTAGCAGCACCCTCCTCCTCCATCTCTGTTATGTGACCAGTTTAAGCTCTTCCTGCCTGTGTGTATAGCATGGGACATACAGGTTCTCTAGGGAACAGAAAGCTTTCAGGAAAATGGAAATTCACATGTGCATTAATGACTTTATAATTAAAATGAAGGTCAGGCCTTTCCTCTTTAACACTCATCTTCCCTGCACTGAGATTTGCAGACCTCTGGAGAACCCTAACCTTGTTTCCTGCAGCCTCCTTAGAACCCCATGTTGACACCCCTGACCCTGGCATCCTGGCTCATTGTTAGTTCGTCTCATCACTTGGAACCTGTCTGATTCACCTCACTCTCTTCTCCCCAACCCTGCAGGTAACATCATGTCTCGGGTAACAGAGGACACGTCCACCCTGAGTGATTCTCTGAGTGAGAATCTGAGCTTATTTCTGTGGTACCTGGTGCGAGGCCTATGTCTCTTGGGGATCATGCTCTGGGGATCAGTGTCCCTCACCATGGTCACCCTGATCACCCTGCCTCTGCTTTTCCTTCTGCCCAAGAAGGTGGGAAAATGGTACCAGGTATGTTCATGGAGTTGGCCCGCTCTACACAGACCCTCATCTCCCAGACTTGGCAGACTCAGTTCCTCTCACATTGCTTTCAGTCCAGCTTTCCTGGCACCCTTACTGATTCTCCATCTTCATGGAACACCCTGTCCCTGTGGTCCATGTTCCCAGGTTGCTCAACATTAACCTCCATACTCTCTGGGTCTTCTTTTCTAGCTTCTCCCCACAATCTGTCTTTAAGAATTTGATCCCCAACCCGTTCTGAGTCATTTTCCTCTTCCTCGTATTTCTTTAGCATCCAAGGGGCATAGCTGTGTCTCTTTCTCTTTTCTCCTTTTCCTCTGTCTCTTCTCACCTTTAATTTCCAAATAGGTAACTCAGGTATTAGTGTCCCTGATGGTTTGCCAACCCGTGTGACATCTCTTGTCCATGTATCCACAGTTGCTGGAAGTGCAGGTGCGGGAATCTCTGGCAAAGTCCAGCCAGGTGGCCATTGAGGCTCTGTCGGCCATGCCTACAGTTCGAAGCTTTGCCAACGAGGAGGGCGAAGCCCAGAAGTTTAGGGAAAAGCTGCAAGAAATAAAGACACTCAACCAGAAGGAGGCTGTGGCCTATGCAGTCAACTCCTGGACCACTAGTGTGAGCACCTGAAGATGAATACCCATTCCCTTGTCCTTAAGATGCCGTGACTCCATTCCCATTCCTATGACCCTGCTCCCACTCCTCCTTTACTGGGAAATGGTTGGTTCAGTATTTTCGTCCTAGCAACCTGAGGCTCAATGACTCTACTCAGTGTCCCTAGCCCCCTCCCTCTCTTTAAAGATGCTAGGTGGCTTCCTTTCAGTATGGTACATAAAATCCACCCAACCATGTGGATTGGAGAGATGCGTGTCTTCCAGTCCTAGGGCCTTCCTTTGCCTCTCAGGGGAAGTGCAGGGCGCCATAAATTCTTGCACCTGGGACTGCTTCATGCTGGTACCTTGTAGATTTGTTAGTGAGAGTGATGGGAATAGTGGAAGCCAGGGATGAGGGACATCTGTGATGCACTGGAAAGAGAGCTACGCCAGTGATCCGAAGATCCTGGCTTGATGATGCAATTTACTTGTCTTGTGATCATGACAACAAATTTACCTTCTCTGAGACTGTTTCCTCTTTATTTATTTATTTGTTTGTTTGTTTGTTTATTTTTACTTATTATTATTATTTTTGAGCTGGAGTCTCGCTTTGTCGCCCAGGCTGGAGTGCAGTGGCGCGATCTGGGCTCACTGCAAGCTCCGCCTCCCGGGTTCACGCCGTTCTCCCGCCTCAGCCTCCTGAGTAGCTGGGACTACAGGCACCCGCCACCACGCCCGGCTAATTTTTTTTTTTTTTGTATTTTTAGTAGAGACGAGGTTTCTCCGTGTTAGCCAGGATGGTCTCAATCTCCTGACCTTGTGATCCGCCCACTTCGGCCTCCCAAAGTGCTGGAATTGCAGGCATGAGCCACTGCGCCCGACTGGTTGTTTCCTCATTTTTCAAAAATGGAGTGATATAACCTTCTTTATAAGGCTCTTCATGTATTAGCTGACATCACATGAATGAAAGCCTTTTGTGAAGAGTAAAATGCTCCCCAGACAAGGTGATAGTGGTGATGGTGGTGAAGATAACTGTGACTTGCATGATGTGCATTGAGTCAGACTCCATGGGGTCTCTGGTTCATTCTCCTGTCTGCCTATTGAGCCTGCCGATGTCACTTAGGAGACAGGGACTTGATATTTCCTTCAGGTTAATGACTGTGGTTCTTTGTGTCCCCTCCAGATTTCTCTACCTCAGTCCCTTTTTTTGTGGTCTCTTTATAGATTTCAGGTATGCTGCTGAAAGTGGGAATCCTCTACATTGGTGGGCAGCTGGTGACCAGTGGGGCTGTAAGCAGTGGGAACCTTGTCACATTTGTTCTCTACCAGATGCAGTTCACCCAGGCTGTGGAGGTGAGGTCCCTCCACCTTCACTCCCCAGTGTGATTCCTTCCTCTGGCCCAGCACCATCTGTGTGATGTCCTTCCATTCTTTACCCTTCTTGCTTCACATAATGCTGGCAAGCAGACTACCTCACTTTCACTATTCTTACCTCCCTCTAGGTACTGCTCTCCATCTACCCCAGAGTACAGAAGGCTGTGGGCTCCTCAGAGAAAATATTTGAGTACCTGGACCGCACCCCTCGCTGCCCACCCAGTGGTCTGTTGACTCCCTTACACTTGGAGGGCCTTGTCCAGTTCCAAGATGTCTCCTTTGCCTACCCAAACCGCCCAGATGTCTTAGTGCTACAGGTACAACCTACCACTCCCTGTATTCCACTGGCCCCAACTGCAATTCTGCCATCCTAAATTTTCTTCCTGCCTTCAGCCTGCTTACTGCCAAGCATATATCCTCCCTAACCCTTTAAAGGCAATGGTAGGCATCATCTGTTCCATAAATCTTCCCCAAACTCAAGAACCCAGTTTGGGCTTCCAAAGAGAATGAGAGAAGAGGTTTCGAAGAGAGTGCTCTCACGTTCCAAGGAATTGCTGCAGCAAAATCTGTGTCTTCGGTCTTCCATCTTTCCTTTTCCTTTGTAATTTGGAATGTGATTTTTCCCTTTCCTGGTGGTATCTGACATCAAGTGTGTGGCATAGTGGTGCTGGGTCTCTGCCCTTGTCTTTGCTGCTTCTTCTATCTCTACTCCTTGGGGAGGCATCACCCAGAAATCTGTGCATGTGGGAGGGTAGGAGTTTCTATATTTCCCTGTTTTTCTTCTGGGGTAAGACATCATGCTATGTAACAAGGCAATGACACTCTCAAGGTTAGAGGCCTTGGTAGCCTCTTATCGTGTGCTTCTCTGGCCTCTAGGGGCTGACATTCACCCTACGCCCTGGCGAGGTGACGGCGCTGGTGGGACCCAATGGGTCTGGGAAGAGCACAGTGGCTGCCCTGCTGCAGAATCTGTACCAGCCCACCGGGGGACAGCTGCTGTTGGATGGGAAGCCCCTTCCCCAATATGAGCACCGCTACCTGCACAGGCAGGTATGGAAGCAGGTGGCTTGAAGGAGGGCAGGGAGCATCAAATACGAAGAGCATTCTTACTGAGCACTCTGAAAGAGGGGTTAGGGAATGATAAGAGACCTTGGGTGGAGATGGTGGTGTAGTCAGGAGGGAGGTAGTATGATTTTGTGACATGTTCTCAATAAAGATTTTGAGTCTTCGATCTCTAGATAACCATACTCCCATGTGCCTTGTTCTATGACTCTTCATCATATTTCATCTCAGGTGGCTGCAGTGGGACAAGAGCCACAGGTATTTGGAAGAAGTCTTCAAGAAAATATTGCCTATGGCCTGACCCAGAAGCCAACTATGGAGGAAATCACAGCTGCTGCAGTAAAGTCTGGGGCCCATAGTTTCATCTCTGGACTCCCTCAGGGCTATGACACAGGTACTCTCTCCACTCATCTCACCACCCAGCCATCTTTACCTTTGCTGAAACCCCAGTAGTCTTGCCTTTATCCTTCAGTTCCTCCTTACTCATGGACATCAATTTGAAGTTGTAAGATCATGCTCCTATGGCTTCTTCATCCTGACATCCTCAGGATTCTGTTCATCTTCCCAGAATCTCCCCTATCCAGCTACAACCGTCAGATCTTGGTGTGTGTGAGTGCGTGAATGCATGAGTGTGTCTGTGTGCATGTACATGCGTGCACACATGTGGCTATACCGTTCTCATCTTGGCCCTTTGCTCTGCAGAGGTAGACGAGGCTGGGAGCCAGCTGTCAGGGGGTCAGCGACAGGCAGTGGCGTTGGCCCGAGCATTGATCCGGAAACCGTGTGTACTTATCCTGGATGATGCCACCAGTGCCCTGGATGCAAACAGCCAGTTACAGGTGAGGCAGTCATCTTCTTAATGGCTATATCCCACCCAATCTTGCTTCTTTTATACATCTTCTGTTAGTTTTACTAACATCATAATTATACAAACCAGTCCTTGCAGTTCTCAGTTCCCAAATCCAGTTCCATTGGATGCCTCCCCAAGGAGTAGAGATAGAAGACGAGGCAAAGACACCTAGAATCAGTTAAAAGAGACTATCTACAAACTACAGACTGAATTTCTTTCTTTCTTTCCTTTTTTTTTTTTAAGACAGTGTCTCACTCAGTTGCCCAGGCTGGAGCGCAGTGGCACAATCTTGGCTCACTGCAGCTTCAACCTGCTGGGCTCAAGCGATTCTCCCCTCAGCCTCCCGAGTAGCTGGGACTACAGGTGTACACCACTATGCCTGGTTGGCTTTTATATTTTTAGTAGAGATGGGTTTCACCATGTTGCCCAGGCTGGCCTTGAATTCCTGAGCTCAGGTAATCTGCCCCCCTCAGCCTCCCAAAGGGCTGGGGTTATAGGTGTGAGCCACTGCGCCCAGTCCTATAGACTGAATTTCTAAAGCGAAACATAAGGAAAAGACCATCCTCATAATATCGTTTATTTAAAAAAATTATTTTTTGTACAGACAGCGTCCCGCTATGTTGCCCAGGCTGGCCTTGAACTCCTGGGCCCAAGTGATCCTCCCTCCTTGACCTCCCAAAGTGCTAGGATTATAGGCATGAGCCACTGGGCCCAGCCCATCCTAATCATATTAATATTAATTAAGCTAGTCTGTTTACATGCACTGTCACTCATTTATTCATTAGGAATCCTTCTGAGCTAGGCATTTATCATCATTCTACAGATGACAAAATGGAGGTTAAAAGAGGTTGAATAAGCTGCTCATATAGAGGTCATATAGCTTTTGAGTGGCGCAGCCTTGACCCAAATTCAGGTCTGCCTGACTTGAATGCTCATCTCTTTACTACTAAGTTATATTTCCTTAAAATCGAATATAAAAATGCCAAGTCCATGGGTAGAGAAGAGGACTATTCAATAGTCTTTATTCTTCTGTCACGTGTTTCACCCTAGGGTTCTCATTTTTATCCTACTTTTGCACCCTTCATGTAAAACAGTCCTTAATGAAACAAAGGGTTTGCGGAGAAGTACTCAGAATGGGAAACGTTGGTGTCCTTGGGGTTGTTAGCAGAGCCAGCAGTGATCCTGTGAGGTCAGTCCCAGCCCTGGAAACACAGGTGTCTCCCTGGGCTGAGGGTAGTCCCCGGCTCTGACGGTCCGATGTCTTTCCTCAGGTGGAGCAGCTCCTGTACGAAAGCCCTGAGCGGTACTCCCGCTCAGTGCTTCTCATCACCCAGCACCTCAGCCTGGTGGAGCAGGCTGACCACATCCTCTTTCTGGAAGGAGGCGCTATCCGGGAGGGGGGAACCCACCAGCAGCTCATGGAGAAAAAGGGGTGCTACTGGGCCATGGTGCAGGCTCCTGCAGATGCTCCAGAATGAAAGCCTTCTCAGACCTGCGCACTCCATCTCCCTCCCTTTTCTTCTCTCTGTGGTGGAGAACCACAGCTGCAGAGTAGGCAGCTGCCTCCAGGATGAGTTACTTGAAATTTGCCTTGAGTGTGTTACCTCCTTTCCAAGCTCCTCGTGATAATGCAGACTTCCTGGAGTACAAACACAGGATTTGTAATTCCTTACTGTAACGGAGTTTAGAGCCAGGGCTGATGCTTTGGTGTGGCCAGCACTCTGAAACTGAGAAATGTTCAGAATGTACGGAAAGATGATCAGCTATTTTCAACATAACTGAAGGCATATGCTGGCCCATAAACACCCTGTAGGTTCTTGATATTTATAATAAAATTGGTGTTTTGTACTGTGGTTTCTTATGTTTCCGGCACACCAAACGGCCCACTGCCTTTTGCAGCGCACTTTTCAGCTGCGGGTGTCTCCTCTTTTATCATCCTCAATGTTTTACCCCCTAACTGCATCACCTTTTCCCTTAAGCTTTTTAATTCCTATGAGGCCCCTTCCACTTCCCCTATCCCCTTAGGCCCACCCCCAAGAATGTGCAAGACCCCAGCCACAGGGCCCATCAGGGCACTAGCGGCCGCAGCTCAGAGCCGTGGCCTCTCCGAAGTGGCAGATGGGGCGGGCGCGGCCAGAGCAAGTGCCAGGCGGGAACAGAGGGACTGGGCGCGCCTCACAACTCACCACCTCGCCCGCTGGTCCTTCCTGGCTCGCCTGGCTCTGAAGCTGCACCTGGAGGGGAAACCTCAGAACAGTAGGCGGGATTGCCTAGTAAATATCTCCCATTCAGGGAGGCCCAGGTCGTGTGACGTCGACAGTTGCTGGGTAGATGAGGCCAACACAGGTTGCAAGAAGAGGCGGGGTTTAGAGGCGTGAAACTCCGCAGTGCTCAGCCAAGCAGGGAGCAACGCTAGGAAGGGCGGGCAGAAAGGGCACGCTCTTGTGGGTGACTACAGGTTAGGAGACCGTTGAACCTGGAGGGGCCCTAGGATGGACCCCGTGGAAAGATTCAGAGACTGCGCCCTCTCCCTGGCGCCGCCTTCCCCTACACGCGGCGGGTATATTCTGTTGCAGTTGGCCCAGGACCTGTTTCCAAGACTCTGCCCCCTCGCACTTCCGTCCCTCCTGGTTTTGTAAAGTGATGCTCATAGGAACCCCCACCCCGCGTGACACTACTCCCAGCTCCTGGCTGACTTCTAGTCTTCTGGTTGAAGCTGCGCCTTTAGATGACACGACCCTACCCACCCCTGTTTCCAGCGGATGCCCGGGCCTGGAGGTACCTCTTACTGTAACCCATCGCCAAGTGGGCTTTTGAAGGCGCCTGTTCCTTTCTCGCTTTCTTCGGAAGACCCTTGACCCATCATTCCCCCGACCCCCATAACGGGAGAGCAGAGAAGCCGGTCCCCAGTGTGATGGTCCTGGTCCAGGCACTAACTGTCCTTTTCTCGGAAAAGGCAGGGGGATGTGGAAAAGAGTCTTGTTCCCTCCCCTTCGATCTGTGGCTTTCGCTTTCACTTCCTCCTCCGAGAGCGGACAGATCTCTGGGTGCTGGGCGGTCATGGCGCTACTAGATGTATGCGGAGCCCCCCGAGGGCAGCGGCCGGAATCGGCTCTCCCGGTTGCGGGAAGCGGGCGTCGCTCGGACCCAGGACACTACAGTTTCTCTATGCGATCTCCAGAGCTCGCTTTACCCCGGGGAATGCAGGTCGGGGCAGTAGGGAAGCCCCTAGGGATGCAGGGAGGCGGGCGCTGAGGAGTGGAGGGTCGCCTGAGAGGAGGAGGCGAGAGCGGGAGCGCGGGGTACAGGGTCGGGGGTAGCCTTCAGTCCCGGAGAGCGCCAGACCCAAAGAAGAGGCCACATGGGGATGGGGCCTGAGAGGAGGAAGTGCAAGTTAGGACAAAGAGTTACAGGTGAGGTGGGGGCTCCCAAAGGAAGACAAGAGAACTTCCCTGCCCTTGTCCACACACAAATGGTGGAGCCTTTTTCATGGGGTTATCACATGATATAGGAGGTGTGTGGTGTCTTGGGAAACCTATGAAATTTGCCTGCTGGCCTCCTCTCAGCAACTCACTGTTGCGCGACTTAGAACAAGTCACTTAGTCTAGGTCCCAAGCCCCTCTTCTGTAAAGTGAGGATACTGTTACTAAACGTGTTTTGTGAGGGTTGAATGCTTTATGCATGGAAGAAACCCTTTAAGTCACTCTCAAAATTTTTTAGTAATGGTAACATGTGCTTGCTTTCATTTCTGTTGTGCTGGAAAATGGAAAAGGTTGATACTGGCATGCCTCTTCTTTTCCTTCTCCCAAGCCATTTCCTTCTAGAGATTGGTTATTAACTGTTTCATTTATTGATGGTTAGATCATTTCTGCATATCTCCTCACCCTCATACTCCCTAAAACCTTTTCCTGGAGCCTCTTACTACAGAATTTTTCATTGCCTTTCTCAACCTCTTTTCTCTTATCAGCCCACAGAATTCTTCCAGTCCCTGGGTGGGGACGGAGAAAGGAACGTTCAGATTGAGATGGCCCATGGCACCACCACGCTCGCCTTCAAGTTCCAGCATGGAGTGATTGCAGCAGTGGATTCTCGGGCCTCAGCTGGGTCCTACATTAGTGAGTGTATACGCTCCAGCAGGCAGAATCTGGGGAGCTGGGCTCTCCTTTCCACAGGAGGCCAACTCTGCAACAAAGTGGAAGTGGATATTGATTTAGGACACACTGGGGGATCTATGGGGTCATCCCTTCTCTCCCAAAGCTCCATCTTCTTCCAGGTGCCTTACGGGTGAACAAGGTGATTGAGATTAACCCTTACCTGCTTGGCACCATGTCTGGCTGTGCAGCAGACTGTCAGTACTGGGAGCGCCTGCTGGCCAAGGAATGCAGGTAAGTGAGGCCTCTCATCTTCCTTTCTTAGCCTAGTGGTTAATCCCTGGATCTCTCAGATCATTGCTCCTTACTCTTGTCCTATGTGGTCCATCTTAGTGCTAATAGTATATTTCACAAAACAGCTTTTTGGTGATAAGACCCTTCTCCCAAATCTCAGCCTGTGCTCCACTCATAAGCCAGATAGTACGTCAGGTATTTAGCACTGACACATCCACCCTGGCGGGACAGTATCATTTACTAGGCTGCCTTTGTATGTTTCAGATACTTTAAATTCCAAATCTTTCTCTGATCTTTAGATCCTACAAAATAATTCCTTTCCAATGCTTATCTCTTTAATCATTTCCTGCCCCATCAAGTTGGAAAGAGCTAACCTCTCTTTCCTCACTCCACCTTGTCCTCACCCAGGCTGTACTATCTGCGAAATGGAGAACGTATTTCAGTGTCGGCAGCCTCCAAGCTGCTGTCCAACATGATGTGCCAGTACCGGGGCATGGGCCTCTCTATGGGCAGTATGATCTGTGGCTGGGATAAGAAGGTGGGTGCTCTCCATTCTTCATGTTCCCCCACCATGTTCCCTATGGATGACAGATCTGTTTCCCATCATATACTCCTACTCCCTCCCTGACAAGATGCATGGCATATAGAGTGCTTGGTTATAGAACTGTTTCAGTATATCCATGGACTATTTATTGGCCCAGATATGAATCATTGCATGTGTTTTGTAAGCTTGTCCCTTTTGTTAAACAGTTGATTTCAAGTTTGTTTTTCCTTTTTCATTTCTAAAGTTCGATGACTTTACCAAAGTGGTTTCCTAATTCCAATGTTCTTGTGGTAATATTAATTCTTTTGTTCACTTTTTATGTCTCATATTTGAACCCCCATGTTACCAACATCTTCCTCTCCAATTTCAGCCTGAAATCTTTCATCTTATAGGGTCCTGGACTCTACTACGTGGATGAACATGGGACTCGGCTCTCAGGAAATATGTTCTCCACGGGTAGTGGGAACACTTATGCCTACGGGGTCATGGACAGTGGCTATCGGCCTAATCTTAGCCCTGAAGAGGCCTATGACCTTGGCCGCAGGGCTATTGCTTATGCCACTCACAGAGACAGCTATTCTGGAGGCGTTGTCAATAGTAAGAGACCAATGCTCCCACCACCATGCCTGGGAGGAGTCGGCGGGTGGTGGGGGGGGTGATTTAAGATTGAGAAACCAGCCTTGCCAACATGGCGAAACCCCGTCTCTACTAAAACTACAAAAATTAGCCGGACGTGGTGACGGGTGCCTGTAGTCCCAGCTACTTGGGAGGCTGAGGCAGGAGAATCACTTGAACCTGGGAGGTGGAGCTTGCAGTGAGCCAAGATGGTGCCACTGCATTCCAGTCTGGGCCACAGAGTGAGACTCCTTCTCAAAAGAAAAAAAAGAAAATGATTGAGAGACTCAAAGGAGGGAGAGTAGTAGGGAGGAAATTTTCAGAGTCAGAAGAAGGGCATTAAAGGCCCAGTCATATGGTTTTAAGCTTGCGCATGTGTCTTGTTGCTGCCTTCAACATAACATCAGTGACAGGAACTTGCTGAGGTGAAAGGTGACTCCATGTTCTTTTCTCATTTGTCCACAGTGTACCACATGAAGGAAGATGGTTGGGTGAAAGTAGAAAGTACAGATGTCAGTGACCTGCTGCACCAGTACCGGGAAGCCAATCAATAATGGTGGTGGTGGCAGCTGGGCAGGTCTCCTCTGGGAGGTCTTGGCCGACTCAGGGACCTAAGCCACGTTAAGTCCAAGGAGAAGAAGAGGCCTAGCCTGAGCCAAAGAGAGAGTACGGGCTCAGCAGCCAGAGGAGGCCGGTGAAGTGCATCTTCTGCGTGTTCTCTATTTGAACAAGCATTTCCCCCAGGGAAGTTTCTGGGTGCCCCACTAAGTAGAATAAAGAAAAACGGTTATAAATACCTCTGTCTTGTGGCTGAATGGGGTTGGGCCTGTGGTTGTTGGGTGGGGCAGAAAGTAAAGAGACGCTTTTTCTGGAGAAGGGGCTCAGACCCCTATCTAAGAAATGTGGCCTCACCACATAGTTCTTCCTGGGGTTTCCTTCCACACTCATCTCTCCAAGACCTCAGGAAGGCTGCTCATTGCTGTCCATGGACACTTGTTTGCAATTTCACATAGGTTAGGGTCCTTTCCATAGAGAGGCACCTGGGGACTCCTGTGTGCTCCATTGTTAATGGTTTGAGGAACAGGGAGTAGGGCACCTAGGATAACTGTTTTTGACTTTATAGAGTAGGATGAAAAAGCTTCCACTTCACTTTAATATGGTAATCATATAAACACCATACCATTTATCCCAAATAACACTTTGGAGATATTGGATATTGAATATAAAGACAGACATTAAGGGTCTAATTTCATGATGTGTCATGCTGAATTGCAAGATGGCAGGACTATAATTTTAGAGGAAGAAGAGATCAGGAGGACTCCCCTAAGTGAGGAGTGTGGGGAAAATGTAAAAGATCCAGGTTAGAAGAAAGAGACACACATCATGAGATTTTCGGAATCATGCTGGAACTATGGACCATGTCACTTTCCAGAAAATAAAGGAAACAAATGCTTGAAAGTAGGAGCATGAGCTTGAGCATGGAGCTTTTTTCATTAGAGAGAGATTCTTAAAATGCCAGAATGAATAGAGTTGTAAAACTTTAGCGAGCCCCTACTTAAAATCCCTCCTCCCCACCACCACTATTTTAAACTTTAAGTGACTCCTTGGTAGTCACACAGGTAACATTTCAAAATGGTGATCTGGAATCCAAGCGACCCTTCCTTTGGGGAATTTGTTTGTTTGTTTGTTTTTAGTTTGGGAGGTGGTTTCAATCTGAAGAGTCCTTTCTGGAATAAACGAATCTTTCTGTTGCATAGGAAGGCTCTGGGACAGGAAGGATATTTAAAAACCTAATTACTGTTCTAAACAGTGTTAAAATAGAACAAGAACCAAAGCCCAGTACCGGGCATTTCCCTCATAGGCTGAAGGTGCGCCCAACATAATTTGGAGTACAGACTCAGAGGCACCTGAACACGCGCCAGCTCAAGGTGCTCCGGCTGAGAAGGACGGATGAAGATGAACGCTCAGGGCCTACTAAATTCAAAGTCTGTACGTGAAAATCCCCTTTGGCCTGGTGAGATTGGTTGGAACCTTCTATTTAGGAGAGCCCGGCTCGCTCGCCTAAAACTGGAGCTTGCATGGAAGAGGGCACTTTTTTTTTTTTTTTAGACGAAGTCTCACTCTTGTCGCCCAGGCTGGAGTGCAATGACCCGATCTCGGCTCACTGAAACCTCTGCCTCCTGAGTTCAAGCGATTCCCCTGCCTCAGCCTCCCGAGTAGCTGGGATTACAGGCGTCCGCCACCACGCCCTGGCTAATTTTTGTATTTTTAGTAGAGACAGGGTTTCACCATGTTGGCCAGGCTGGTCTCGAACCCCTGACCTCAGGCGATCCGCCCGCCTCAGCCTCCCAAAGTGCTGTGATTACAGGCGTGAGCCACCGCGCCGGACCAGAAAGAAGGCACTTCTTAATAGTAGGCTCAGAGCTTGAAGTAGTAACTTTGAGAAAATTCAGTGATTCTCCAATTACAAAGCATTCTCCAATTACAAAGCAAGGACAACAGATACAGTTGCCCTTGAGACAACTGTATTTTACTTAATGATAAAGAAACATTTTTGCAGTTTTATATCCCAGAGTAACCGCCACTAAAGGCGAGTGAGACTCATTGCAGGCCTGTACAGTGCGAACCAGAGTTCGGGCTCCAGTTCCGCTGTCTGCGGGTCTCGCGCGCCCCCTCCCGGCGGCCCAGCCCAGAATGAAGGCCTTGGTTGGGGAAACGAAAGCGAAAGCTGCCCGAGCCCTGACGCCCGCCCTGGCCGAGCGTAGCTGGCGGACCAGAGCCGGTAGCGAGGTTGGGAGAGACGGAGCGGACCTCAGCGCTGAAGCAGAAGCCCCCGGAGCTGCGGTCTCCCCGCCGCGGCTGGTGAGTTGGTGCGGAGGGGAACCTGGAGCGCCAACAGGAACGCAGCCCAAGTGACTACCCACTCCACGCTCCTGCTTCCCAGTCCCTCTGCACCCGGCGATAGGAGGGAGCGGAGCCCGGACCACTTAGCTCGCCGCGGCAGGCGGGGGTGGGGGTGGGGGTCCGGGGATTTTTTTTTTTTTTAAGCACGAGGCTCCTGATGGTCATGCTTCCAGCTCCCCAGAAGGCCGAAAGCTGTCTGTCGTAGGAGGGGTGTACGGATGAGCACCGGTTACTCAGGAGAGCTCTCAGGGTTGAATAGGATGAAATGAGAAGCCGATGGACGGGTTAGGCGGAGCCGGGCGGGTAGGAGGGCAGGGACAAGGATTGGGACTCCACCCCCATGATTTCTCATCTCGTATCCGTTGACAGAGCCATGCGGCTCCCTGACCTGAGACCCTGGACCTCCCTGCTGCTGGTGGACGCGGCTTTACTGTGGCTGCTTCAGGGCCCTCTGGGGACTTTGCTTCCTCAAGGGCTGCCAGGACTATGGCTGGAGGGGACCCTGCGGCTGGGAGGGCTGTGGGGGCTGCTAAAGCTAAGAGGGCTGCTGGGATTTGTGGGGACACTGCTGCTCCCGCTCTGTCTGGCCACCCCCCTGACTGTCTCCCTGAGAGCCCTGGTCGCGGGGGCCTCACGTGCTCCCCCAGCCAGAGTCGCTTCAGCCCCTTGGAGCTGGCTGCTGGTGGGGTACGGGGCTGCGGGGCTCAGCTGGTCACTGTGGGCTGTTCTGAGCCCTCCTGGAGCCCAGGAGAAGGAGCAGGACCAGGTGAACAACAAAGTCTTGATGTGGAGGCTGCTGAAGCTCTCCAGGCCGGACCTGCCTCTCCTCGTTGCCGCCTTCTTCTTCCTTGTCCTTGCTGTTTTGGGTGAGTCAGGAGAGGACGTTGTGAGTTGGAGGTGGTAAAAGGGCCTGCGCACCAGCACATTCTTGTGTTATTTTTCATGCCTCTTTCAGGTGAGACATTAATCCCTCACTATTCTGGTCGTGTGATTGACATCCTGGGAGGTGATTTTGACCCCCATGCCTTTGCCAGTGCCATCTTCTTCATGTGCCTCTTCTCCTTTGGCAGGTAGGTAGTGGGCAGCTGGGTCCATTTGCTAGCCCCAAATCTTTATAGGGGTCTTCACTTCCCTAACTCCATTTCTAGGCCCTTTCAGGCGCAAAACACAAAAATACTTAAACTAAAATATGGTGAATGTAGTCACCATTCTGTTTCATCTATCCATTCATTTCTTCCTTCGTTCATATTCATCCAATATCTTCAAAGTTTATCTGATCTTATTATAGGAACAAGTTATGAGTGAAGGTAGTACAAAAGGAATTTAAGTCTCAGATGGAATGTCTCTCAGTTGTCTCTCAACATTCCTAGGTCCATGAAATTCCATTTCTTTCTGCCTCCTACCTCCTACCCCTAAGTCTGTCTCCAAAGTATCTCTCCAGGGTCACTCCCTCAGGATGGGTATGCTTCTCCCTTTCACTCTTCTTTCCCAGCTCATCTTGCCAGTCCCTGAAGATCTTACTCTGAGGCTTATCACCTTTCTTTCCAGAATCATTACTCTTTTCCCTTCACTTGCTTTCCTTTCTCTTTCTAGACATACTCAAACAAACAAACTGTTTGATAAGGCTGGGACTGGGATGAGGTGAGCGAGGCACCTGGGGTGCAAAGTTTAAGGAGGTGTGCACTCACCTTACCCAAATCCCAGCCGGCCTGATTGTCTCTATTTTTATGGTCATACTTAATTTAGAGTACCCTCGAAAACCATTTCATTGTGCCTTCATTCCATCCTGGCTGCTTTCTGCTGAAACTACAGTCGTGCACTGCATAACGAAGTTTAGGTCAATGATGGGCCACATATAAGATGGTGGACCCACAAGATTATAATACCATATTTTTACTGTACCTTTTCTATGTTTAGATACACAAATACTTACTTCTGTGTTACAGTCGCCCACAGTGTTAGGTGCAGTTATATGTTGTACAGATTTGTAGCCTAGGAGCAATAGGCTAAACTACATGGCCTAGGTGTGCAGTAGGCTATGACATCTAGGTTTGTGTAAGTACACTCTATGATGTTCATACAACGATGAAACCATCTAACGACACATTTCTCAGAACACATCCCTGTCATTAAAGTACAAACCCTCATTATATCATGTCTGACTATTCCAAACGCCTCTTCAATATGGTAACTAAATTTGTATTAGAAACATATATTTTGTAAAATACATGCTTTTATGCTTTATATTTTTTCCTCTAAGTGTTACTGTAGCATGTAGTTGGTCTAAGAGGGATTTTCCAACTCGAAGGATGAAAGATGGGAATCACATGACTCTGGGGCTCCAGAGAATTGTGGGGGCAGGGAATTTATTATTGCAGTTCCCATGATGAAGTATCTATGATGACAGAGAAGGGCTTTGGGTATGGGGCAGGAAGGAGACCAAGGCGGAGGAGACGCACAGAGGGACAAGCCTGAGGGACGCTGGGACAGAAGCAAGCACTGGGATACTTGTTTTCACAATATCTTTTCCCTTCTATTGTAGTCTTCTATTGTGTCTAGTACAGAGTGCACTCCATAAATACTTGTAAATTTGTACATGTTATGATTTTGTTCTCACATCTAGCTCACCATGTCTCCTCTTTCTTCTTCCTCTGTGTATTCCTTACCTCTTCTCTCTCTGTGTGTCTGTCTCTCATTTCTTTCTCTTTTGCCCCTCCTGGCATGCTTTCCCCTGACTTTGCGCTTCTCTGCACTCCTGGCTTGCTCCTCTGTTTCACCCGCTGGCTTGCTCCTTCTCTGCATCTCCCTCCCCTCTTATTCTCCTACCCCACAGCTCACTGTCTGCAGGCTGCCGAGGAGGCTGCTTCACCTACACCATGTCTCGAATCAACTTGCGGATCCGGGAGCAGCTTTTCTCCTCCCTGCTGCGCCAGGACCTCGGTTTCTTCCAGGAGACTAAGACAGGTGGGGCCTGGAGTCCAGGTCTGAGATTCCCATGGACATCCCTTGCCCCTCAGTGACCTTCCACCCACAGCCTCTCCTCCTGCCTTCACCCGTATGCCAGGACTTGGGGATGCTTTTCTCTTGTTTGGGACAGGGTGGAGAAGCAGCCTCCACTGTCCCTCTGCAAGTGAAGGAGGATGTTCAGAGGAGGGGGCTGTGTCAGAGGGAACGGTCAGGAGGGAGTTTCTGGGGGCCCTGCAGTACACATGGTTTCCTTTTTCCTCACCTGCTCTGTCCTTCTTAGGGGAGCTGAACTCACGGCTGAGCTCGGATACCACCCTGATGAGTAACTGGCTTCCTTTAAATGCCAATGTGCTCTTGCGAAGCCTGGTGAAAGTGGTGGGGCTGTATGGCTTCATGCTCAGCATATCGCCTCGACTCACCCTCCTTTCTCTGCTGCACATGCCCTTCACAATAGCAGCGGAGAAGGTGTACAACACCCGCCATCAGGTGAGCGTGCATGTAAGGGAACCCCAAAGGGAGAATAAAACTGACAGGTGAGGAGGCTTCCACATTTGTGGCTAGAGGATCCCCTAGAGAGAGATGTTCTCTTCTCAGCCATTAGGGGAGAAGGTATATTGTAGTATATACTACATTTTGTTTGTCCAGCCATCCAACAATGGATATTTGACTTCAGAAGATTCATGATTCTCCAGAACTGTAAACAAAAATGTAAAGTGTATGTGAAGGTATGGGGGAGGGAATAGGAAGGGGAGATGATAGGCGATGATAACTTTTCATTAGCTTCTCAAAGGAGTCTGTACATCCCCCGCCCCCACTGCGAAGATTAAAAATGGTTTCTTAGAGGCTTTTAGGCAGGGAGATTTTCCCTTTAAAATCAGCAGAAGAAGTCTGGATGCAGCATAGGGAAAGGAGGCGTCATCAGGAAGTCCTAAGTCTGAATGTCAGCTCCACCTTCTCTTTTTCTCTTATATTGTGGTAAAACATACATAACATAAAATTTACCATTTCAACCATTTGAAGTGTACAGTTCAGTGACATTTAGGAAACCCACATTGTTATTGGGTAACCATCATCACCATCCATCTCCAGAACTTTTTTCATCTTCCTAAAATGAAACTCTGTACCCACTAAATAGTAACTGCCTACTACCCCCAACCCCTGGCCGCTGGCAACCTCCATTGTACCTTCTGTCTCCATGAATTGTGATGACTCCCGGTGCGGTACGTAAGTGGAACCATACAGTATTTGTCTTTTTGTGACTGGCATATTTTACTTAGCGTAATGTCTTCAGGCCTCATCCATATTGTAGCATGTGTTAGAATTTCCTCCCTTTTAAGGCTGAATAATATTCTGTTGTGTGCATATATCACATTTTGATTATCCATTCATCTGTCAATGGACATTTGCGTTGTTTCCACCTTTTGGCTGTTGTGAATTATGCTGCTGTGGACATGAGTGTACACCTGTTTGAAACCCTGCTTTTGGTTCTTTTGGGTATATACTTAGAAGTGGAGCTGCTGGATCATATGGCAATTCTATTTAACAATTTTTGAGGAACCATGTATTAGTCCATTTTTACGCTGCTGATAAAGACATACCCAAGATTGGGCAATTTACAAAAGAAAGAGGTTTATTGGACTTACAGTTCCATGTGGCTGGGAAGACCTCAAATCATGGCGGAAGGTGAAAGACACATTTCACATGGCAGCAGACAAGAGAAAAGACAGCTTGTGCAGGGGAATTCCCCTTTTTAAAACCATTATATCTCGTGAGACTTATTCAATATCACAAGAACAGCATGGGAAAGACTTGCCCTCATGATTCAATTACCTCCTACCCAGTCCCTCCCACAACACATGGGAATTCAAGATCAGATATGGGTAGGGACACAGCCAGATCGTATCAAACCACCATACAGTTTTCCATAGCGGCAGCACCATTTTAAATTCCCACCAGCAGTGCATAAGGTTTCCAATTTCTCCACATCCTCATCAACACCACTTTCTGTTGTCTTTTTTTTTAATAGCCATTCTAATGGTGATTAGGTGATTAGGATTATCTCATTGTGGTTTTGATTTGCATTTCCCTAATGATTAGTAAATATTGAGCATCTTTTCGTGTGATTTTGGCCACTTATGTTTCTTTCTTGAAAGAATGTCTGCAAGTTCTTTGCCCATTTTCTGATTTTTTTTTAAGTTGTGGGAGTTCACTATATGTTTTGCCTATTAATTTCCTATCAGATATATGATTCACAAATATTTTCTTGTATTTCATGGTTGCTTTTTCACTCTGTTGCTAGAGTTCTTTGATGCACAAACGTTTTAAATTCTGATGAAGTCTGATTTATCTATTTTTTGTTGCCTGTGCGTTTGGTGTTATATCCAAGAAATCACTGCCAAATCTAGTGGCATGAGGCTTTTCTTCTACATTTTCCTAGGAGTTTTATAGTGTTAGCTCTTATGTTTAGGCCTCTGATCCATTTGGAATTACATCTCCACCTTTCTTAACTATCTGTGGCTCCTTGGGAAAACTACCCTTCTTTCCTAATTCAGACACTGGGGATGGGAAAATTACCTCAAATGAAGGTTAAAAAAATTGCATGTATCTCCTATACTACCTAACACTGAGAGCTCAATAATATTTTGTTCCCTTGCTCCTTCACTCTTATTCCTTCTGGAAAGAAGAGTAAGGAAGAGGGAGAGAAACAGTTTGGTATTTTTAGGTAGACTAGGGAGCATCTCACTGGCTGGAGTAAGATGTGGGGGCCTGCTGTCTTTGCACATCAGCCCTGGTGTTTGCTGGCCCTCTTTTCCAGGAAGTGCTTCGGGAGATCCAGGATGCAGTGGCCAGGGCGGGGCAGGTGGTGCGGGAAGCCGTTGGAGGGCTGCAGACCGTTCGCAGTTTTGGGGCCGAGGAGCATGAAGTCTGTCGCTATAAAGAGGCCCTTGAACAATGTCGGCAGCTGTATTGGCGGAGAGACCTGGAACGCGCCTTGTACCTGCTCGTAAGGAGGGTAAGATACCAGAGTGGTTGTGAAAGGAGCCCAGGAAAGGGGGAGGGCAAGGGAAGAGGAAACTACAGCTGGTTCTAGAGGCCTTTGCAGCTCAGTCTCATAGAGGCAGAGAGGGGGAAAGAATGGGAAGATTCCCAGCCTCATCTCTTTCTTCTCCTCTTCCAGGTGCTGCACTTGGGGGTGCAGATGCTGATGCTGAGCTGTGGGCTGCAGCAGATGCAGGATGGGGAGCTCACCCAGGGCAGCCTGCTTTCCTTTATGATCTACCAGGAGAGCGTGGGGAGCTATGTGCAGGTGAGCGAGAAGCCAAGCCTGCTCTCCTTTTTTCCCTCTCTTTTTCTTTGTGGACTCCTGGGCCTTGGGCTTTATTTGTTCTTTTTAACAATACAATACAAAACCAAAACCCGCAAGTAATTTTGCTATGGAGAATTTTAAACATATGCCAAAAATGAGACAAAATAATATTACAAACTCACATGTATACATCCTGTGCTTTAACAATGATCAACTCATGCCCAATCTTGTTGGATCTGTATCCCCAGCCACTTCCCCCCACCCATATTATTCTGAAGCAAATCCAAGATATTGTATACTTTCATCTGTAAATATTTCAGTATGTTTCTTAAAAATACAAACATCTTTAAAAGTGTATAACAACAAAGCCATTATCACACCAAAAAATTAACAGTAGTTCTTAAAATTTATCAAATAGTCAATTGTCAAATTTCCACTTGTGGTATCCATGTAGTATATGTGTATGAGTGTGTTTATTATACTTTGCTTAAATCAGGATCCAGAAATGGTCCACATATTGTGACTGGTTGATACATCTTTTAAGTCTGTCTGTCTATCTATCTATCCATCCATCTATCCATCCATCCACCCATCAATCCATGTATCTGTCTAAAAGTTTCCCTTGCACAGTTTATTTGTTGAAGAAATAGGTTGTTTGTCCTGTGGAGTTTCTTAGGGTCTGGATTTTGTTGACTGAATCCCTGTGGTATTATATGCTCTTCTGCCTCTGTACTTCCTGTCTATTGATAGATAAACCTAGAAGCTTGTGAGATTGAGGGGTTTTTTTTGGTCTTTTTCCAGCAACAGTACTTTTTAGGTGGTGATGCATTCTTCCTCCAAGAGGCACACAATGTCTGGTTCTCTATTTGTGGCAACATCAGCCACTGATGAGCAGTACCTACATCCATGACAGAATTAGGGCTGCAAAAGGGAGATACTCTATCATTCTTCATGTATTAGCTGAAGTAGTCTATGAAGGGAGACTTCCCCTCATCTACCATTTCATTACCCGGTGGTACAGTTTGATGAGGAAAGGCAGAGTGAGCATTTAGATCTCTTCCTACATTTACCAGTTCTCAAAAACAGCTACTTCATCCAGGGCTTTATTTAAACATTTTCCTAGACACTTGATAAACATCTTTTTTGTGTAGAGAACTGCGCTGGGCACTCTGACGGCTACAAAGGTGAGTTGGGCACAGTGCCTGCATTTAAGGAGCTCCCCGTCTAATCAAGCAAGACAGAACTGGGCACAAGTAATAGGAAGCAGTAACTGAAAAGATCTGGGGCTAGAGGCAATGCTGTATGGTAGGAGAAGGGACTGTATATCCTTTATATTGCAAATTGGAACACTGGGGTATTGGTGCCACTTTTAAATTCCGTCCAAATTGTACATTTAAAAGTGGAGAATCTCTTTTGAGTATGGAGGAGGAGCAGTGCAGTTGTGAGTGGAGTGTGTGAGGAGTTGGGAGGGTGGTTTCTGGTAGAAGTGTGTTTAATTAGCCGGCTCTCCCATTCCTGTTTTCCAGACCCTGGTATACATATATGGGGATATGCTCAGCAACGTGGGAGCTGCAGAGAAGGTTTTCTCCTACATGGACCGACAGCCAAATCTGCCTTCACCTGGCACGCTTGCCCCCACCACTCTGCAGGGGGTTGTGAAATTCCAAGACGTCTCCTTTGCATATCCCAATCGCCCTGACAGGCCTGTGCTCAAGGTGCCTGAAAGAGGGAGGAAACCTGGACCCTTGCTCTCTGCTGCTAATGCATAATTGGACATCACAGCCTATAGTTCATTTGCCTCTGAGAACCTGGTCTTGCCTCTGCTAAGAAGAGAAATGGAGGGATTTTGAGGGAGAAGGGGCAGGCCCTTAACTCTTTTTCTGGTTTTCTAGGGGCTGACGTTTACCCTACGTCCTGGTGAGGTGACGGCGCTGGTGGGACCCAATGGGTCTGGGAAGAGCACAGTGGCTGCCCTGCTGCAGAATCTGTACCAGCCCACAGGGGGACAGGTGCTGCTGGATGAAAAGCCCATCTCACAGTATGAACACTGCTACCTGCACAGCCAGGTGGGTGAGGAGGGAGAAGACAGGGGACAGGAGAGGGGAGCATGTACAGAGAGAGGATGGGAGATCCACGGGAAGGCGCACCAGGTGTTCATTCTGAGGGAGGTAGGTGGGGAGGACAAAAGGGCCCCTGCCTTGGGGGTTTACACATAGTCCTCTGCCCCTGTCCCCGCTGCACAGGTGGTTTCAGTTGGGCAGGAGCCTGTGCTGTTCTCCGGTTCTGTGAGGAACAACATTGCTTATGGGCTGCAGAGCTGCGAAGATGATAAGGTGATGGCGGCTGCCCAGGCTGCCCACGCAGATGACTTCATCCAGGAAATGGAGCATGGAATATACACAGGTATCTTCTACAAATTGTAAGCCTGCTCCTTCAGTAAAAAAGAGAAAATCAGACTTACTCTTAGTGGTGAAGGTCGTGTCCCTGTAACTTGATGTTTGCTGTTCCTCTGCCCTTTCCTCCATTCCTACGTCTCCTTCCCCACACACTGAATTCTTCAGCCTCCCTCTTGCTCAAGAGTCTTTGTTTGCAGAGAGCAATGCAGCAGTGGTGCTCCCTCCATGGGCAGCCCCGTCAGGTCCCCACCCCATGGCCCTCCTCCCACTGGGCCCTCCCCGCACTGGGCCCTCCCACCTCCCGAGGTCCTACTGGAAGTACCTGCTGTGCACTTGTCCCTCCTTGTGTGTTATCTGTGTCACTTGTATCTGAGGAAGGGAATTTCTCTGATTTCCTCAGATGTAGGGGAGAAGGGGAGCCAGCTGGCTGCGGGACAGAAACAACGTCTGGCCATTGCCCGGGCCCTTGTACGAGACCCGCGGGTCCTCATCCTGGATGAGGCTACTAGTGCCCTAGATGTGCAGTGCGAGCAGGCCGTGAGTACTGTGAGAGGGCAGGGGACAGTGGGGCCTGGGAGGGGCATGCTGGGAGGATCAGCCTGTGTAGAATTGGGCAGAGGGAGGACGAAGGACCTACTAGTAGAAACAGTCTGTGCCTTCTTGGGGTTGGGGAATGGAATCCGGTGGTGTGAGGGCAGCCCCAGTTCCCTCCTGGGCTTCCATTCCTCCAGCTGTGGCAGTACAGCTGGGAGAGAAGGGCAGTCCAGGCCTTTATCTACTGCCCTTTCCTACCTTCTTTTATTTCACACCTTCTTTACCCTAAATCATAAGAGATGGTGCCCAGGTGGATGTGGTGTCCATCTCATTCCTGTCTTTCTGAGGCACTGTGATCACCCCTTCAGCTGCAGGACTGGAATTCCCGTGGGGATCGCACAGTGCTGGTGATTGCTCACAGGCTGCAGGCAGTTCAGCGCGCCCACCAGATCCTGGTGCTCCAGGAGGGCAAGCTGCAGAAGCTTGCCCAGCTCCAGGAGGGACAGGACCTCTATTCCCGCCTGGTTCAGCAGCGGCTGATGGACTGAGGCCCCAGGGATACTGGGCCCTCTTCTCAGGGGCGTCTCCAGGACCCAGAGCTGTTCCTGCTTTGAGTTTCCCTAGAGCTGTGCGGCCAGATAGCTGTTCCTGAGTTGCAAGCACGATGGAGATTTGGACACTGTGTGCTTTTGGTGGGGTGGAGAGGTGGGGTGGGGTGGGGTGTGGTGGGGTGGAGGCTGTCTGTGTCCAGGAAACTTAATTCCCTGGTGACTAGAGCTTTGCCTGGTGATGAGGAGTATTTTGTGGCATAATACATATATTTTAAAATATTTTCCTTCTTACGTGAACTGTATACATTCATATAGAAAATTTAGACAATATAAAAAAGTACAAAGAAGAAAAGTAAAAGTACCCATTGTTTCACTTCCTGGAGATAACCATAGTTGCTATTTTGCTGCCTGTTCCATCAGTCGTTTATCTGTTGTTTGAGATAGAAATTAACCAAAAATGACATAAATATTCATGAGATTGCCTTCCTATATCCCTCCTTGTTCCTACCAGTGTCTGCTATTTTGAAGAAGCTAGGGTCTGGAGGGACAGAGAACAGTTCCCTGATTAACAGTATTAATAATGACATTGGTAACAGCTACCATTTATAGAGTTTTAATGTGAGTAGGAGCTATGCTAAGTGTTTTTCATGTATTATCGTTTTTAATCATTATCTCCAACCCTATGAGGTTGGTTATTATCCCCATTTTACAGATGAGGAAACTGAAGCTCAAAGAGGCTCAATGACTTTCCCAAGGTGGTCGTAGTGGTGGAGTTGGAGTTTGAACACAGGCCTGACCCTAGAGTCCACACCCTGACCCAATCAATTATATTGCATCTTGGGTCCATAAACCCTAATCCATAATCCCATCAAGAAAAGCTCTGCTGCTCTTAGCTCTAAATAATTCAGAATCTATTCTCTTCTCTCCAGTCCCGTTGTTATAGTCTTCACTCATAGACAGCCCATCTGTCTCACCCTCTCCTGTTGTATCCAGCTCCACGACAAACTTCTGCCTTCCCCAACACCTTTGTGCCTTTGCATATGGTGTTTTCTTGCCCATTTTCTGCTCGACTCGCCCCTGATTTTCAAGTTCAAGACTTAACTCAGGGTTCAGGTCTTCCAGGAGGCCTTACTTATGTCGTCAGTCTGGGGAACTCTCCATGTGCTTCTATCACTGTGCGGTTACCTCTTTCACAGCCCTTTTAAAGTTCTATCTTCCCTTTCCCACCTTTTTTGACCTTCCACTAGACCATGAGCACCTGGGCGGAAAGCCATATATCTTATTAAGCTTTATATCTGCTACCTGGCCGAGGGCCTAATTCATAGTGGAGAATAAATAGTCAATTGAATAAATGAATAAATATCTCCACCATCGTACTAATCTTAATCCTCCCTGCCCACTCCCACCACTGAAAATGCAACATTGTACACATCACTGGTTGTTGGGAGGGACTTACCTTGGAAAGTTGCTATTCTAGGAAAGAGAAACCTTCATATTCCTGGAAACAGCAGGTAGTTTCCAGTGCTGGCAATGAATTCCCCAGAACTGCTGTTTTGGATTTTTTCTTGCCTGGCAGCTGTTGGGAGCAGGGTGCAGTGAGGATGGGGTGAGAGTGGGCAGTTTCTTGTGCAGATTTGCCTTTCTTTCATCCTGGGGCTGACTTGCAGCTCCACACCCATCCATCTCTCAAATTTCACAGAGGGTAAAATAGGCATTTGGAGAGAAAGAACTCTGGCCTGATTCCTTTCTCTCCCACAAATGTCCTTTATTCATAAAACAGGAATAGTAATTCCTGTATCTCCCAACTACATGGAAGCTGCAGCCCTCACAGAAGAAGATGATCTGAGAAATTCTTTGATTTCCTCAGTACAGTTATACCCATGCATCATAATACTTTAAGCCTGGAAGGCATCTTAAAAATAATGCAACAGTCAAACCTAATTTTACAGAGAAACTGACATGAAATCACGCAGCTAATCATGATAAAGCTGGGTGGAAAACTTATCTTGATGGGCAGTACAGGAAGATGCAGTAGACCTTAAGATGTCCTGAAAGTTTCTTATCTCAGGGGAAACTCCCAGGTAGGCTTTATGTCAGGGACACAGAAAAATGCTCCCTGAAAGTCAAAATATTCGGGCTAGACAGACAAATTCCTGTAAGTGTGGTTTGTCTGGGAACCACAGATGTCACTAATCCTGGTTTGCTCCAGAGTTCTTTTTGTTCACTCCTACCCCCCATCACCATTTGATTGATCTCCTTACCCTGTAATTTCCCCTTCTTGTCGCTTACCTGCAGTATCTTTCCCACCCAGGCATGCCTTATTCTTTCTAAAGGAAAGTATGAATGGAGAGGGGAAAGCTTGGGAAACTGATAGATTTCCTTGGATGCCAAAACACCTCCATAGCCTGTCTGCCCGGCCCTATGTGGAAACAGCATTGAGTTTCAAGTCCTTTATGCCTCCACCCAGGGATAGCCACTTGGAATCCACATGGCAATTGTGAAACAAGCAGGAAATGCGTAATTGTCAGAATTTTGTGGGGAAAGGACTAGGGAATAAGGAAAACAAAGATCTTCCTTGTGTTTTAGAGCTGTCAGCTAGAGGAGCACCTGCTTGAGTCTGATGCCATCTAATGGTCCCAGAAGAAACTGGGTTTTGAACCTAGAGTTCCATGGACTCTTAGGAATTAGACTACTACTACTACTAAGCATTCACTGGTGCTTACTATGTGCTATTGCTGTGCCAAGTATCTGAAACCTGTCTTCTTACCTTATTTTTCAAGATAATTCTATGTGGCAGGTATTACTATCTCAATTCTAAGAGTGAGAAAATGGAGTTTTAGAAACATTTACTAACTTGCCTGGGTCACATAGCTAAGGAAGAGGTGGACTTGCCCAGCTTTGCATAAAACTCCTCAAAAGAGTTGCCTATACTCCCTGATTCCACTTATCTTCCTACTATCCTCTTTTTAAAATATATTATTTATTTATTTAAATAAGCAATATATGAATGTGGTTTGAAATTCAAAAGACACAAAGAAGTATACAGAGGAAAGCCTCACTCTCAATCCTTCTCAAGGTTTGCTAATTCCTCTTGCATAGGCAATCCGTTCTTCCAGCTTTGTGTTTATCTTTCCAGAGAAGTTTACTGTGTATTAAGCAAATATGTATATCTTTATTCTTGCTCAGTATTTTCGCAAACAGCAGCTGTCTAAGTTCACTGTTCTGAACTTTATTTTTTAAATTAAAAATATATGGCTATGTAGTATTCTATTTTATGGAAGTTCCATATTTCATTTATCCTGTTTCCTTCTACTGATGGCTAGTTAGGTTATTGGAAGTCTTTTGCTGTTGCTAGTTAGTCTTGTATAGACATTGTAATGCACATGTGCAAAAATACAAGTATGATACAATCTTAAAGGGGAGTTGCTGAGTCCAATATATACATTACAAATATTGATAGATATTGCAAAATTGCCTTCATAGAGGCTATATTAATTTATAGTTCCAGCAGCAACATATGAGTTTATCTGTTTCTCCATATATATATATATATATATATATATATATATATATATATCCAACAGACAGTGTTAATTTTTAAAATTTTGACAATCTTCTGGGTGAAAGTAGCATTGTATTGTAGTTATCATTTGCTTTTTAATATTATCATGTAAGTAACAGAGATACTAAACCCAGAAGGATAAGGGAGCAAAGATGAGAAAAATAAACACACACACAAACAACAATAACAAATCTGTCTAAAATATTGGAAAATCAGAATGAGAAATGAAATATGACTGTAACGATAAAAATCAGTAATGAAAATGACTATTAAATTTAAAAATAAGGCAGAGCAACCACAAGTGACATGAGAATGAGGCAGACAAAGTTAAAGCACCTAAAGTCTTTGTCTTGTTTGAAAGGAGGGTAGAGATATTGATTACCTTCAGATGCTGCCACATTTGGTAAACATGTTAAAAATATAAGACTGACTTTTAACTAATATAATTAGAATTTAAAATTCCTAAATCAGTAAGGGGAAATTAAATAATACTTTAAATAAAAATGTAATTGATTTAATATAAGTGATGCAAGGAAAACAAAAGAAGCAAAGTAAGACATAGCAAATACAGAGCACCATATATTGTAACAGAAACGAATGTAAATAGCACAGTGATCACAAGTATAAATAGCTTAAATATGGGAGTTAAAGGAAAGTTCTCAGATTAGATTAACAATATCGCAAAATCCAGTTATATGCCCTTCATAAGATCACAAGAAACCTAAAAACATGAAAATGTTAAATCAAAACCAGATATAAGATACACAAAGCAAACACTAACAGAAGACAGAAAGACAGCTTATGTAATTACAGAAATATCTAAACATATAGTCTAAAACCAAAGGCATTAGTAAAAACAAAGACAGCCATTACATAGTGATAATGAAGTCACCAGAACATTATACTAAAACTGAATCAGTTTGCACCTAGCAATAAAACTACAAAATATGTAAGAAATATAGGAGAATTATAGGAAGAAATTAATTGAGAAATTGAAACACATTTCTCAATGATTATAGAATAAGTGGAAAAATGAATAAGGATATCAAATAAGCCTGTTGATGTTCTTGTCTGTAACATCTAGGAATCAAAATATATTCTTTAAAACTAATAAATCAAGTGCTCGTATTTACACATTTAAGACTACAAAGGTAGACACACACACAGAAAGAGGAAGGGAGAGGATATGAGCTAGTTTTGTGATTGTTCATTATTTAAAACTAATAGGAATTATCTAAAGGAAGAGGGAACTAAGTGTATTATATACAAATAAACTTATCAAAGCAACCTTGAAATATACACCTTCCTTAATATCTGAAAAGGTAAAATTTTTAAAATGCACAATAAAGACATAGTGAAAGATTTTTAAAAATACTCATGTAAACATTATACTTAACAGAAGTTAATATCTCTGAATTAGACTGAATCTATTTGCTGTATGAATAATTATAAATGGGCTTCTTAACTGAACTAAATAAATGAAAATATTTTTAAATTAGATTAAGATAAAAACTCTATTATTTGCAATATGCAAAAGACACCTAACATAAAGCCACTCAGAAAGATGTATTCATTATTTTCAACAAATAAGATGATGGGCAAAGACATAACAAGAGAATGCAAACAAAAGGGAAGCAGAGGTCACATTCGTCTTACCAAACAAGATGAAATTCAGACACTCCTCACCAAAAAAAAAAAAAAAAAAAAAAAAAATTGAGTGTGACAAGAAGGGCACTTTATAATGTAAAGTATAAAATTCATATGAATATATGAGACATGTGTTTAAGTTCTAAATACCAAATAGGTAGCTCTTATAAAGCAGAAATTAAGGTAGATACAAGGAAAATATTCAGAAATGTACTACCAATAGAACACTTTAATTCCCTTTCCCTGGACTAGACCAGTTAAGTGGACAAAAAAATAGGCTGGGCCTGGTGATTCATGCCTGTAATCTCAGCACTTTGGTAGGCCAAGGCGGGCGGATCACCTGAGGTCAGGATTTCGAGGGCAGCCTGGCCAACATGGTGAAACCCTGTCTCTACCAAAAATACAAAAATTAGCTGGGTGTGGTGGTGGGCGCCTGTAATCCCAGCTACTTGGGAGGCCGAGGCAGGAGAATTGCTTGAATCTGGGAGGCAAAGGTTGTAGCGAGCCAAGATCGCACCACTGCACTCCAGCCTGGGCGGCACAGTGAGACTCTGCCTCAAAAAAAAAAAAAAAAAAAGTATGAACACAGAAGATAGAAGATATTACTATCAATAAAAAAATAGATATGCTACATCTATATCAAACTTTTAAAATTGAAAATAGAGGCCGGGTGCAGTGGCTCACACCTATAATCCCAGCACTTTGGGAGGCCTAAGCAGTCGGATTGCTTGAACTCAGGAGCTCAAGACCAGTGTGGGCAACAGCGAAAACCCGTCTCTACAAAAAATACAAAAATTAGCCAGATGTGGTGGCTCGTGCCTGTGGTTTCAACTACTTGGCTGAGGTGGGAGGATCGCTTGGGCCCAGTTCAAGGCTGCAGTGAGCTATGATTGTGCCACTGCACTCCAGCCTGGGCAACAGAGTGAGGCCTTGTCTCTAAAACAAACAAACAAACAAACAAAAATTAAATGGCTCAATGGCATAGAAGAAAATTTTTTTATGAAGCAAGTATAATATTGATGTTAAACTATGACAATGCACAAATATAAAAATTGTAGATGAATTTACTTATTATACTGACACAAAAATCCTAAATAAAACATTCCAAACAGATTCTAGCACAGATTAAAAAACACCCATTAAGATCAAGGGGTTTTTTTTGTTTTTTTTTTCTAGAAAACCCTTTGGAAGTTCATGATATTTTGAATTTCAATGGATATTTCCTGGGAATAATGAGTTCAAATGAACGAATATGTGGAACAAAGCATCACCAACATTTATTTTTTCAGGATGAGGTGATGGACAAAACCATCACAGGGAAATTGAGGCAAATAGTACATGTAAAACAATACTTCGGGTGAGTCCACCTATCCCAAAGTCGTATCAAAGAAGTGGCTGCAGATTGGAGCCCAAAGCCTTTGGTTCCTCAGTTTCCAAATGGATTCTCACTAGGTGGGATCATGAGTTTGCTTTGGACACCCCAAATTCTAACTATTTCTTTTGTTTCTTACATCCTTTCCCTCTTCCCCAGCCCCTTCCCCTCATGTTACACCTCTTGCTGGTTTGAGACGTCAATCACCACTGAGAAAGAATTAAACCAGTATTTTGAGCTGGCAAAATTCTTAGCCTAGTACAATTCCTTCAATTAAACTGTAGCTCAACAATGTGTTCTCTAAAAGTATGATTTAATATTCTACCTAGAAACTCAGAATATTTTTCATAACTCCTCCAGGGCAGTGTGGATTATGTTGATGTGTTAGGAGGAAGTAGAAGGAAGAAAATGAATTGAGACGTACGTTTTACTTCCATGTCAAAGTCACCAAAATAGCAGTTGAAGGGATATTTGTGTCAGGCAATAGGGAGAATAATAATTTTATGCCACCTTCAAAAAACAACCACACATACACCCAAATTCTCTCACTCCTCAGAGAAAGGGGAAGGAAAGAAAAGAGAGAAGCAAAATATGAGCTTGAGTGAAAAATCACAGAGGAGCCTGTAGCTATTTAGGGAGGGCTGCTGGCTGAAGTCAGGCAGGAAAAAAAGATCAAAACACCCTGCCCTATTTTTCAGGCTCGTTCAAGTAGAAGACAAAAACATAAATACAGGAGAAAGGAAGAAAACCACATCTTTTTCCTCTTGTCTCCCCAGAACTGAACAGTGTCTCTGATAAGCCCAGGCCCTTCTATCGTAGACACTGACACTATGCACAGAAAATGACTCAAAAACGCTTCTAATGGGGGTGAATCTGATGCTTCAGTTTATTTAAGATGTACCAGAGGCCATCTAAGGAGATCCATAGCTTGCTAACTGAAGCTTATTGCTTTCTCTTCTTAGTTCCCATGCCAGGCTCTATGCCATTCCTTGCTTGTCATGTGAGATCACTGATTTCCTTTGGTTAGGTAGGATATGATTTCCTTACAGAGATCTGTCCTGACACCAAACAGCTATGATGAAATTCCTTGGTTATTTTCCCTTTTTGTGTACCTTATCATTACCGGAATGCTAAAGCTGTAGGAATAAAGTTTCCCTGGCTTCCCAAGAAATACAGTGTGACAGAAAAAGTACAGCCTAGGGACTTACTAGTTATGTGAACTTTGGTTCATTCCATCCTTACCTCATCTGTAAAAGGGAGATCATGATAGTATCTACTGCAAAGGGTTTTGTGTGATGATTCTCTCTCTCTCATACACACACACGCACACATTTATATAATGCTTAGAAAATGAACTCATAATAAGCAATTGACAAACATTAGCTATTATTATGTAGGCAAGTCAGATTTTAGAGTTTGTGAGCCTTAGACACATTTACAGAGAAGAAAGAGCAGCCCTCCTAACTTTCTGGTCCAGCGCCATATCCTCCACTTCCTCCCCATCCCCACATCCCTTGCCATTTATCAACCCCCTCTCTCCTCTAAATCTAAATACAGGCCCCCGTTTGATCCATATTGTCTAGGCCCTTCCTCTCCTCTCCACATGGCCCTTCCTTCAGCTCTGAGGGAAGCTGCAGAAGCCAGCCATGGTGCTGTCTACAAAGAAGGGGACACACGCCTCTTCCACCCGCTCATGCTGTTACTGCATCTGATCATCTCCGTGCCGTGTCCTTGTTCACTTAGCCTGTGTTGAGTGTTTGTCTCCATTTCCAAATGCAATAAAACATCTGGGAAAGACTAAGGTAGGTGTGGGCAGGAAGAAGGGAGGAAGTTAGACCCAGTGGCTTGAGTGCCCTCTGATGCCTCCTTATCCTCGGCTCCACACAAGCCCTCGCCAGTGTGAGCTCCACAGCCATCCACCTGGAGGAGGAGTACTCAAAACCAGGGTCAAATGCCTTGTACTCGGGGGTCTACCAGTAAGCCTGTGGCCAGCCTTCCACTTCATGAATCGTCACATTTACATGAGAGATGTGGAGGGAGAGGGGTCAGCCTCCTAGCTCCTGTCCTGTAGCAGTTAAGTCAAGTCAGGCCAGGCTGTGGTAACCAAGCCAGTACCTTCTTTAAAGAACAGTTGTTTCTCATTCATACAGAGTGTGTTGTAGGTGTGAGTGATTCCCTGGGGCAGCTGCTCTTCATGGTGACTCAGCTAATTAGACTGCTTTTCTACTGGGATTGTGCCATCTCAACACAAGGCTGTCTTGGTTGACTTGGTAGGGGAGGAGGAGAAGAGTCATGCACGAGGAGTTAAATTCTTTGACCAGGAACCTTTTGTTCACTTTCCATTGGTGAGAACGAGTCACACAGCTCCAGGAGAGTAGGAAGTCTAGTTTCTCGTTTTCCATGGGCCTAGGAATTAGAGGATGAACACTAGCGATGTCTTCCACGTCTTGCTCTCTTTTTCTTTACCTGTTATAATCTCCCATGGAGAAGAAATTATTTTTCTGATTGGTCTGATCCAGGCCTCTAACCAAGGGCATTTACTAAGGGTCATAGAACAGTAAAAGGTTGCACAATTGCATCTCACCTCTCTTTTCTGAATCCTGCTTAATTAAAACTTTAAAAACTCACTTACAGACCACTTCTTGCTCTTCTTAGTTATCAAATATATTTTCTTCCAACTCCTTTTTGACAGATCTTGCCTTGTTCTCAGCTGACTCCCTTGCAACCATCTAAATGGAACTTCCTCATTCCCCTTTATCCCCTGCTAATCGTCCTGTCTTTATTCTTTTATCTGAAGAAGTGTACCCTTCTTCCCCCAAGCCTTATGCTCTCTATCTTAGTCCATTTGTGTTATTGTAACAAGATACACGAGATAGGGTAATTTATGAAGAACAGAAATTTATTTCTCACAGTTCTGGAAGCTAGAAGTTCAAGGTCATGGCCCTGGAAGATTTGATGCCTTGGCCATCGACTTGAAAAAAGTCACTGAAGTGAACTTGTGGTTACCATGATACCCTGGGTTCATTCTTAACATGCACAGTATAGGCAAATCAGGGCCACATTTCATGCTGAAAGATGATGTGAAATGATGAGTAAACATTGCCCTTTAAATAATAATAACATAGATGGTGAATTACAATTTGCACTTTTGGTTTTATTTGCTTAAAGATAGTGTTTTACTGTCTAGGTTTTACTGAAAGAATACTTAACTAAACACTTGAGTCAAATCATTCCAGTGTAACAGTCCTCACAAGGAGGAAGGCAGAAGGGCAAAAGTGCCAAGCTATTGCCTCCAGCCCTTCTATTTTTATTGATTGACTGATTGATTGATTGAGACAGGGCCTCGTTCTGTTACCCATGCTGGAGTACAGTGGTGCATTCATGGTTCACTGCAACTTTGAACTTCTGGGCTCAAGTAGTCTTCCCACCTCAGCCTCCAAAGTAACTAAGACCACAGGTGCATGCCACCATGTTTATTTCTTTAATTTTTTAAATTTTATTTGGACATGGGGGTCTCACTATGTTTTCCAGGCAGGTCTCTAACTCCTAGCCTCAAGCAATCTTCCTCCTCAGCCTCCCAAAGTGCTGGGATTACAGGTATGAGCCATCATCCCTGCTCTCTCTAGCCCTTTTTAAAGTCTCTAATCCCATTCAGGAGGCCTCTGCATTCATGACTTAATCACCTCCTAAAGGGCCCACCTTTTGATACTATCACATTGGTGATTAAATTGCAACACTTGAATTTTGAGTGACATTCAGACCACAGCATTTTGGAGAAAATGTCCCCTTTCTTCTCTTTTTTCTCTTCAGTTTCTCCTTTCTACAGATACCTTGCACTTCACTTGCAACCTTGTTGAAGTCTCTCCTGTCTTAAAAGTTTCTTTTCCCAAAACACCAGAACTCATTCCTTCTGTCTAACTGTAACTTTGTACTTGTTACCAACCTCTACCCATTTCTACCCCTGACTCCCCAGCCTCTGGTAACTACTAACGTACTCTTTACTTCGATGAGGTCAACTTTTTTAGATTCCACATATGAGTGAAATCACGTAATATAGTCCTTCTGTTCTTGGCTTATTTCACTTAACATAGAGCCCTCCAGGTTCACCCATGTTGTTGAAAATGACAGGATTTCATGCTTTTTTATGGCGGAATAGTATTCCATCATGTATATATATCACATACTAATTACCCTGATTTGATCAATACACAATGTATAGGTGTGTTGGAACATCATGCTGTACCCCATAAATATGTACAATTATTACGTGTCAATTTAAAAAACCCAAGAAAAGTATTTTTTCTTAGTGTTGTTTTTTTCTAAAGTGTATCCCATTTTTTCCTTTGTTTTCACTTTCAAAATTCTTGAAAGACTGTTTTAATCTGCGGCCTTTGTTTTCTTGTTTCCAATTCATTCTTTTGAAATATGGCTTCTACCTTTAACACTCTGCTGTCCTCTTGAAGGTTATTGGTGCCCTACTAACCATAAAACACAATAATGCTCTCTTAGATTGTATCCTGGTGAGCCTTTTTGCAAAATTTTATTCTTTGAGAATTCTCTTTCCATGTTTTCTTTTCTTTTCTTTTTTTGTGGTCATTTTGGCTTATAGGAAATCGTACTCTCCAAATGTTCTCTATGTCTTCTATTTCTTCTCTGATAATCCCTTTACTAAATCTTCTTGAGGCATATGCTTCAGAATGCTTAATTTACATACTCTTAATTCCTTCTTAATTTACACACTGCCTGTCGGCAATGTCAACACCCAATAAGAAGGGAGACCTATTGGTCAGAACAGGCCAGGGAATAGAAGAATACATAATAAACAGTCTGCCTAGTTCTTCTAGGGCCCCATAATATGTCAAACATATATTTTTACTTCTTCTCCCAGCCCATTTTTAGTATACCTAAATTACTGTCAGTGATTCTGCAGGCAAACAATGGTTGAGTTGTATGACACAACTTTGTGAAAGTATCCTACCCAGTACCTGATGATGCAAAACTCTTCTATCTTGATTGGTTGTCAATCTGAGGAGTTTCCAATCCTGGGGAAGCCAGAAAAACAGCGATTTATACTCTTAATGGGTACTTTCTGACTGAATTTTATGAACTCATTCTGAAGAGGCTGACGATTTTACTGTCTCATTTTTTTCCTTTCTCCAGAATGGGTTCTGGGTGGGTCCCCTGGGTGGTGGCTCTGCTAGTGAATCTGACCCGACTGGATTCCTCCATGACTCAAGGCACAGACTCTCCAGGTAAGAACAGAGCAATTATTTTTTTCCAGTGTGTATGCAAGAATTGGCATGGGGGAGTGATGCCTTTCTTTGTAAGTCCAGGCCACAGACCAGACTGGAAGTGGCTTTTGGTTTCAAAGAACAGTGTTCTTCCCTTTGGCAGAAAGGTACGCCTTGCCTCTTTACATGGGATGGACTTCATATACCAGAGCCACCTATTCAAGGGGTAGGGAGGCAGGAAGAGGGAAACATTGTGTCTTGTTTAGGATCCTTATTGTGTGTATCAACCTCAGTCAGTGCCTGGGCGTGTTGAAGGCCTTGGCTTGGGTTCGAGCCTGCTGGGAGAAACAACCTGCAGTAGGCTGGGTCACAGAGGCAATCTGTGATTTTTTGGTCAGGACACGGAAACAAATCTCAGTTGGGGTATATGTGGACAAATGAAACTGGAAACAAAGGTTGCTCCTTCTGTCATTTATTAAGCCACTATTATATTGTCAGAATTGTACTAAACAGTTTTGAGAAGTAAGAGAAGTTGAATAGAATACATTGTCCTTGTCCTCCGGCTACCAGGTACAAGTTACTTGTAACTGTTATTTTTCTAGCACAGGTGACAGAATATGCAGCCATGAAGCAATGTGAGATGAAAGCACATATTAATGAGCAGAAACAGGATGTAATGTGCTAAGAACAGAATCCCCTTTGCATGTTAGTTTCATTAAATACAAAAGAGGAACAAACCTGGCCAGGAGAGATCATTATTCTTAGAGAATAGAAACCGCCCTGAGTTTATAATGTCCATTAAACAATACAACTGAAAAAAAAATCAGCACAGATGTTAAATGATGATGAAAAATTCAGATTTCCCCCCTGGTTTAGACTACTAGAGGAAATAGAGAAGAGTATACATGCTGAGAAATTACAGGCTGGAACTTCATCTGAAATTAGCTACTGAGTGAGGGATAAGTGGGGTTCACCCAGGAAGGTCATTCTTATGGCTCAGTTCAGAGTTGGAGGAGGCTTCTGAACTTAGAAAGGAAAGTAAATTACAACCCAACATTAATAGCAATTATCTTTCAAGTCTTGACTTAGATGCAATGTCTTCAGGACGTCCTTCCTGACTTACCTACATTATTAACTCCATTTGAATTTCCTTTTTATTGTAGTTGTTGTTCTTAAGTGCATAGGATTGGTTTAATTTTACCCAATGAGTTCACAGCACATTGTAATTATTGGCAGTAGTGCAAGACTCTCTCGTCTCTTCTCTTGCCTCCGTTCTCATTCTCTCCCCTCCCTAGAGAATCCATTCTAAACGTGTCTGGTATGTCTCTAAGTATGAGAGTGGCTTTTAGAAATATGTAGCATTCTTGCTCTTTATGTGTTTTTAAAATTTAATAAATGTCATTCTCTGTTGAATCCCATTCTGTTTCTTTTCTCACTTGACACTGTGCTTTTTGAGCATACTGAGGTCAAAGGCCTCCTCTTAGATCCATGTGGTCTGACGTAATTTACCAGGCATGGGTTTTCCCAGAGGAGGGGGCTGGTTCATGGTTTTGGTTTTGGTTTTCCAGAAGATTTTGTGATTCAGGCAAAGGCTGACTGTTACTTCACCAACGGGACAGAAAAGGTGCAGTTTGTGGTCAGATTCATCTTTAACTTGGAGGAGTATGTACGTTTCGACAGTGATGTGGGGATGTTTGTGGCATTGACCAAGCTGGGGCAGCCAGATGCTGAGCAGTGGAACAGCCGGCTGGATCTCTTGGAGAGGAGCAGACAGGCCGTGGATGGGGTCTGTAGACACAACTACAGGCTGGGCGCACCCTTCACTGTGGGGAGAAAAGGTGAGCTGGAAGCTGAGGTCTGGCGGGGCTCAGGAATGTCCCCCATGTGAACCTGGCCATGGCTCTTCTTTCTTACAAGCAATTTTCTGCTTTAGGATAAATGGTTGTCTGTGTAGATGTTCTGGCCCCAGCTGTGATATATTATCCTCACAAGTCAGCCACTGTGATCTTGGTCTCAGACCCCCAAGGTTCTCAGGGACTTCGAGGGCTATTGTACCCTCAAAGAGAAGCAGTAATTATGGGAGTACCTCAGAAAGTCTAAATCCTCCTGACAGGCATTGACATACCCTGTTACTGATCTTGGGGGCTGAGACTTGCCTATACTTTGTGTTCACTTGGGTGATCTGGGAAAGAGATTAGACATAGTGATAGTCCCTAAAGAATCTCCTGTCCCAGCTTGGTGGTTTTCTTTCACGGTGTCTCATTTTTCCTCCCTTCCTAGTGCAACCAGAGGTGACAGTGTACCCAGAGAGGACCCCACTCCTGCACCAGCATAATCTGCTGCACTGCTCTGTGACAGGCTTCTATCCAGGGGATATCAAGATCAAGTGGTTCCTGAATGGGCAGGAGGAGAGAGCTGGGGTCATGTCCACTGGCCCTATCAGGAATGGAGACTGGACCTTTCAGACTGTGGTGATGCTAGAAATGACTCCTGAACTTGGACATGTCTACACCTGCCTTGTCGATCACTCCAGCCTGCTGAGCCCTGTTTCTGTGGAGTGGAGTGAGAATTAGTTTCTAGTACTCTCTGGGCCTGACTCAGGACTATACTGACTCAATACAGAGCCTGTGTCACTTCTGCGTTTATCTTGGTCACAACATGAATTATTCTTTCCCTTGATCTGGGACAGTCACAGAAACCAGAGTCCTTGGGTTAGGGTGGGAGAAAACATGGCAGATATCTATCCTCATATCTTCCAAGAAATGAGGAGATCTAATCACCTCATTATGTGCTTCCAACCCTATGAACTGGTGTCCTCTAATTCTTTGGTCTTAGTATTTAGGAGGCATTCTTATGGGCTGTGAGAATCTGTAACCGATGGGTGGTAACTCCATGGGTGCCAACTTTGGTTTCGAAGAACCTTTTCTAAATTTATTTATTTTTCTCTAGCTAGCATTGGATTTGGTGTCTAGTACAGATTCTGGGATTCCAAGAAAGTGCTTTAAATATTGGGATATTTTTACTAATTTAAAGACCTGTTTCCCATAGGAGCTCAGTCTGAATATTCTTGGAGAAAGATGCTGAGTGGCATTGCAGCCTTCCTACTTGGGCTAATCTTCCTTCTGGTGGGAATCGTCATCCAGCTAAGGGCTCAGAAAGGTAATGAGCCTGTGAGGAGTGCCCTGCCACCTGTCCCAGACCTTCCCCACTCCCACCTTCCCTAACGTCAATGATCTGAGGCAAGGAAAGCTGATTGTGCCTCTCAGGGATCACCGGGATAATTTTTTTCTGAAGCTAGAAATGGGATAAGCAGAGAGAGTGCTGACCTTGCCAGCCATTTGTTCTTCCCTCGGGATAATCATATTGGGTCCTAATTGGGGCAATCCATTCTTTTCTCGATTTCTTTCCAGGATATGTGAGGACGCAGATGTCTGGTAATGAGGTAATGTCTCTTTTTCCTTGTCTTTGAGTGGCAGATCATTCTCCCGGTTCTTTGGCCAGAGGGAGATGACATGGGGGTAGGGAGGAGTAAGGTTGCTGCTGTCTGGATGGGACTGTCCCCTGAGTCTCTGGAACGGCTGTGGGGGGTGGTGAGGCTGCCTCCTGAGACCTTCATCACTGTGCCTCCAGGTCTCAAGAGCTGTTCTGCTCCCTCAGTCATGCTAAGGTCCTCACTGAAGCTTCTCTCTCTGGAGCCTGAAGTAGTGATGAGTAGTCTGGGCCCTGGGTGAGGTAAAGGACATTCATGAGGTCAATGTTCTGGGAATAACTCTCTTCCCTGATCCTTGGAGGAGCCCGAACTGATTCTGGAGCTCTGTGTTCTGAGATCATGCATCTCCCACCCATCTGCCCTTCTCCCTTCTACGTGTACATCATTAATCCCCATTGCCAAGGGCATTGTCCAGAAACTCCCCTGAGACCTTACTCCTTCCAGCCCCAAATCATTTACTTTTCTGTGGTCCAGCCCTACTCCTATAAGTCATGATCTCCAAAGCTTTCTGTCTTCCAACTGCAGTCTCCACAGTCTTCAGAAGACAAATGCTCAGGTAGTCACTGTTTCCTTTTCACTGTTTTTAAAAACCTTTTATTGTCAAATAAAATGGAGATACAAAAAATGTACATTTTAGTGAATTATTTAAGAAAAACCCCTGTAATCAAGTCAAGGAACAGGACTTTGCCAGCTCCAGCAGAAGTCTCTGTACGTCAGGCCAATCAAAGCCTCTCCTTCCCCTCGAAAGTGACCATATCCTGATTTTATTGTAACCTCTTTCATGTCTTTGTAGTCTAGTCCCCCAGGTATGTGTTCCTGGACGCCACAGCTTAGTTGTCTTTTACGTCTCTTATACTTCACTGGTTTCTCCCCCATCAGCCTTTTTTTCCCCCTTATGATTAATCTGTTGAAAAGCTCAATCCATTTGACCTGTAGAGTTTCCCACACTCTGGATTTTGCTGGCTGCATACACATGGTGCAGTGTAACACATCCTCTGCCTTCTGTGCCTCCCGCAAATTGGCATCTGGATGCAGAGGCTGGATCAGACTCTGGTTCAATCTTTTCCTTTGGAAAATCTATACGTGGTGTTGTGGCCTTTCACCATGAGAGACATAATTTCCAGCTGTTTCTTTTTGTGATGTTAGCAACCATTGATACTAATTGCTTAGGTTTGTTAATTTATTGGGGATTGCTAAATGGTGGTATTCTGTCATTTTTTCTTCATTTTATGCTTTATTAATGCTACAAAGAGACAGTTCCCTTCATTTACTAGTGAAGAGACACTTCCCTCCACTTACTAGTGGGCTACTTAGTGGTACAGTGGAAAGGCAGGATCAGTGTTTGACCCCCGTCTCTACTAAAAACACAAAAAATTAGCCTTGCGTGGTGGCGTGCGCCTGTAGTCCCAGCTACTCCGGAGGCTGAGGCAGGAGAAGCGCTTGAACCTGGGAGGCGGAGGTTACAGTGAGCCAAGATTGTGCCACTGCACTGCGGCCTGGTGACAGAGCAATACTCCATCTTAAAAAAAAAATCAGTCTTCTCTATATTACTTCTGCATCTCCTTTCTTTTACACCAAGAACTCTGGTTTTCAAGGACACAGGGACAGACACAATTAGAATGTCCATACTTATTTGCTTTTCCTGAGTTAACATAGACAGCAGTCTAAGGATAATAACACTAATACTACAACCACCAAAATGGCTACTGAAAACGGTTGAAATTCTTTTTACCTACATTCTCCCTATTACCTGTGTTCTCCCTTTTTACCTATGTTCTCCCCCGCTTTCTAGTTGAACTATGTCTATATTAGTTGATCCTGTATCATTGCATAGACTACTTACTCCCTTGTTAGTCTTAGTTCTGTGAGTAGAGATATGTTTAATGCTCACCATCATTCCTTATGTTGATATCCCTGTCATGTGGTGGTTTTCAAGGTGTGGTCCATGGATCCCTGGGGGTCCCTGGGACCCTTCAAGGGGCCTATGAAGTCAAGCTATTTTTGTACTAATACTAAGATGTTATTTGCCTTTTTCACTGTATTATTTACATAGTGGTACAGAAATCTATGGTGGTCACATGAAACTGTTAGTGCCTGAGCACAAATCAAGGTGGTGACACCAAGCTGTACAGGTAGGTCATGTTCTTCACTGCCATAAGCTTACAGTTAAAAAAAAAAAAAAAAAAAAAAAGCAAAAGCCAGTGACTTTGATGAAGCAATAAAATCATTAGTTTACTAAATTTTAAACCTCAAACACACATCTGTTTAATAGTCAGTGTAAGAACATAGGCAGCATTTCTGGTGCATACTGATGGAAAGGCAGTTGTCCTGTGGAAAAGCCATTATGTAATTGCATGAGTTGTGAGTGAAGTTAAACATTTTTTTTTTAGTGGGTCATCATTTTCCTTGAAAGAATGACTGAAAGGCACACTGTGATTATTCAGACTTGGGTATTTGGTAGAAATTTTCTCAAAAATAAACAAAATGAGCCTATCCCATCAGAGAAAATAATATTGACAGTGGAAATTGGAATTTCAAGAGAAAATTAAAATTTTGGAAAACTTACGTGTGCCGCAGCTTCTCACTACTTAAAGATGTTTCTGATGAGATTGGTGGTGATATTAACAAATATGGTTTAAAAAATATTGTTTAATAAAATATGTCAACATTTTAAAAAACTGCGTAAACCCATGAATCAATAATTTACAAATAATCAATGCATGATATTGCAAAGTCATGCATAGAGGAAAAGATCCATTTAAAGATAGACTAGTGAATTTTAACACAACAGAATATGAAAAGTTAATTTATAAGGTTTCAGATTCCACACTGCAACTAACCTTTAAGAATCTGCCATTTCTTGAGTTTTGGTGTCTTATCAAGGAAGAACAGTTACAATAGCTGAAATGGTTATTGAAACTTTCCTTCTTTTCCCAACTGTGTATAAGAGTGAGGCCAGATTCTCCTCTTGTACTTTAGCCAAAACAACATATTGTTACAGCTTGAATGTAGAAGAATATATAACCAAGCTAGCTTTATTAAGCCAGACATTAAAGAGATTTTTACAAATGTAAAATAATTCCTTTTTTTTCACTATTTTTTTGTGCTGGAGAAGACAGCTATTTTCCATAAAAGTATGTTGTTTATGTTAACATGTAATGGGTTTGTTATTGTTATTTAATAACAAATAAATTAATATAAATGTCACTTTACATAACCCATGTAAACTAAAGCTTCTTGGTGTTCTCAACAATTTTACGAATAAAAAGGGATCCTGATACCAAAAGAATTATAAGCTACTGATGTAGTCATCATGATTGTTTGAAACTATTTCTCCTAGGTGCCTCAGGAAGACTTAGGAAAGTGTCTTAGTTTGTATGAGCTGCTATAACCAACTACCAGAGACTGGATGGCTTAAAAACAGCAGAAATGTATTTTTCACAGTTCTGGAGGCTGGAGGTCTAAGATCAGTGTGTCAGCCTGGTAGGGATCTGGTGAAGGCCTGCTGGCAGCATCTTCTCACTAAGACTTCATGTGGCAGAAGGAAAGGGAGCTATCTGGAATCTCCCTTATAAGGGCCCTAATGCCATTCATAAGGGCTGCACCCTCATGACCTAATCACCTTCCAAAGGCGTCACCTCCTGGTACTGTCACCTTGGGCGTTACGATTTCATCATATGAATTTTGGGACGGCATATTCAGTCCACACCAGGAAGTTCTTGCACTTCATAGTCGAAAGTCAGTTTTGTGGCTATAAAAATCTTGGTTCCATTTTCCGCTCTTGAGTATCTTAAAAAGTTACTACATTTTCACATAACTGCTATCAAAAAGTCTGATGATAATCTAATTATTAAAAAGTCATTGCTACTTTTGCTGAGTATCCAGATGGTATTTTCTTTTTCTTTAGTATCCACAAGTTTTATTGGAATGTATTTTGGTTGGGGGGAGGGCAAGATCGCTGACTAGATGCAGCCAGGTGAAACAGTTCTCAACGAGGAACCCAGATGACTGGCGTGCTCCTAACAGATGTTCAGACAGAAGGCACCTAGAGTGGACAGAGGGAAGACACAGAAGCTGGACTGAAGTGGGAGAAAGCTGGGAGCCCTACATGGGGCTACAGCACATCCAGACTCATTCCTGTCCTCCAATGGCTCCAGGAAAATGGGTGAGTTGAACTGGCAAGGAACAACCCACTGTCACTATGACCTCTGCAACCATGGCAGGAGGAGACCCATTGACCACCATGGACACTTGAGTTGGCAGGAAGAGCTGCTTAGAGAAGCCATAGGGGCGGCAAGCCAGCGGGTGTGGAGCCTAGAGGATTCAGTGCAGGAGCATCTGCAGTGGAGCATGGCCAGGGATGGCCATTTCCCTAGGCTCAACTTACTCCCATAGGAGACATTAGCCCTAGGGAAACTGTTGGTCCCGAAATCTGTAGGGTGGTCTTGCCCATCAGATGAGTCTGGTTCTACCTGAGCAACCGTTGGTCTTCTGGCCTCTCCTGGGGCCCCGGCCTGGCCACATCTGCTTTCAAAGCAGCCTCAGGTGCCCTGTGGGCCTGCACCATAGCTTCTACACTGGCAGACCATGACTGACCAGTAAGTGGAGAGCTCCAATGAGGAGGCCCCTATGGCCAGGCACCAGCCTCCATGCTCCCTCCCCACACTGCAGCTTCCTCTGGGCCCACAGCAACTCCCCACATCATTTTGCTGGTACATGTCTGCTGGGTGGGTTTTGTTTTCCTTGCCTCACCAGCATAGGAGTGTAATTCACCCCCCACCAATTCCCTCCTGACAGCCATTGCAGACAGAGCCTTGGTGGGCACAGAGCCAGCCAGCCCCACTCCCTCCATCATCCCACCCTGTGCTAACACTGAGCAGAGAACAGCTGATCCTCCCCCACCCTGAGTGACCACTCCTGCACAGAAAAGGCACGCAGACCTGCACCTGCCAATGCCTTGCCCCTAAGCCAACACCACTTCCTGTGTGACCACACACACAGTTGCCAGCAGGGGACCCCCTTCCTTTCCTGCAGTTGCATTGCCTCTGCCACTGTGGTGGATGCCTGCAGGGAGGTGGGCACCCCGGCACCTGCTAGTACTCTGCTACAGCTTCAACTACCACTGCTGCTGGTACACTCAAACAAGGACAGATCCTGCTGTCACTGTACTATGAAACACTTTGGCTGACAACACTCATTGGAGTGTAGTGACCAGTGGTCTGGGAGCACTTCGGACTGCACCACTCCTGCCACCTCCCCCACCCCCCGCCCATCACAGCGGATTCCTAATTCTGAGGAAACAGAGAACAAAGTCAGGGTCCCATACAAGTCCCAAAGAATTACAGCATGCAGTCCAGGAGTTGGGAGTGGAATACTGGCCAAATAAAATTGTCCAGAAATGAAGTCAGTTGGCTGAATCCACCTTATACCACAATCAAACCCTCAAAGTCATCAAATAGGATAAATAGGATAAATAAAAAAGGTTGGATGATCTTTGCTGTCCAAAGGTCAGCAGTCTCAAAGATTAAAGGAAAATAAGCCCACAAAGATGAGAAAGAATCAGGCAAGAACCTTGACAACTCAAAAAGCCAGAGTGTCTTCTGTTCTCCAAACGACCACATCACCTCTCGAGCAAGGATTCTGAACTGGGCTGAGATGGCTGAAATGACAGATATGTAATTCAGAATAAGGATAGAAATGAAGATCATTGAGCTACAGAAGTACACTGAAACCCAATCCAAGGTAGCTAAAAATTATGATAAAACAATGCAGGAGCTGATAGATAAAATAGCTAGTATAGATAAGGACATAACCAATTTGATAGAGCTGAAAAACACACTATAAGAATTTCATAATGCAATCACAACTATTAATAGCAGAACTGACCCAGTGGAAAAAAGAATCTCCACACTTCAAGACTGGCTTTCTGAAATAAGATAGTCAGACAAGAATAGAGAAAAAAGAATGAAAAGGAAGGAACAAAACTTCTGAAAAATATGAGATTATGTAAACAGACCAAATCTATGACTCATTGGTGTTCCTGAGAGAGATGGGGAGAATGAAACCAACTTGGAAAACATATTTCAGGGTATCATCCATGAGAATCTCCCCAACCTAGCTGGAGAGGCCAACATTAAAATACAGGAAATGCAGAGAACCCCAGTAAGATACTTCACAAGAAGATCATTCCAAAGGCACATAATTATCAGATTCTCCAAGGTTGAAATGAAAGAAAAACAGTTGGCAGCTAGAGAGAAAGGCCAGGTCACCTACAATGAAAAGTCCATCAGACTAACAGTGGACCTGTCAGAAGAATCTCTACAAGCCAGAAGAGACTGGGGGCCAACATTTATTATTCTTAAAGAAAATAATTTCAACCCAGAATTTCATATCTGGCCAAACTAATCTTCAAAAGTGAAGGAGAAATAAGAACCTTTTCAGAGAAGGAAATGCTGAGGGAATTTCATTACCACTAGACTTGTCTTACAAGAGCTCCTGAAGGAAGCACTAAATATGGAAAGGAAAGACTTACTAGCCACTACAAAAACACACTGAAGTACACAGACCAGTGACACTATAAAGCAACCACATAAACAAGTCTGCAAAATAACCAGCTAACATCATGATGACAGGATGAAATCCACACATATCAATACTAATCTTAAATGTAAATGGGGCCGGGCACGGTGGCTCACGCCTGTAATCCCAGCACTTTGGGAGGCCGAGGCGGGCGGATCACGAGGTCAGGAGATCGAGACCATCCCGGCTAAAACGGTGAAACCCCGTCTCTACTAAAAATACAAAAAATTAGCCGGGCGTAGTGGCAGGCGCCTGTAGTCCCAGCTACTTGGGAGGCTGAGGCAGGAGAATGGCGTGAACCCGGGAGGCGGAGCTTGCAGTGAGCCGAGATCCCGCCACTGCACTCCAGCCTGGGCGACAGAGCAAGACTCCGTCTCAAAAAAAAAAAAAAAAAAAAAAAAAAGTAAATGGCTAGTGCCCCAATTAAAAGGCACAGAGTGGTAATCTGGATAAAGAACCAAGGCCTATTAGTATGCTGTCTTCAAAAGACTCATCTCACATGCAGTGACACACATAGGATCAAAATAAACAGATGGAGAAAAATCTACCAAGCAAATGGAAAACAGAAAAAAGCAGGGGTTGCAATACTAGTTTCAGACAAAACAGACTTTAAACCAACAAAGATCAAAAAAGATGAAGAAGGGCATTACATAATGGTAAATGGTTCAATTCAACAAAAGATCTAAGTATTCTAAAAATATATACCTCCAAAAGAGGAGCACCCAGATTCATAAAGCAAGTTCTTAACGACCTTCAAAGAGACTTAGACTCCCACACAATGATAGTGGGAGACTTTGACACCCCATTGACAATGTTAGACAGATCATCAAGACAGAAAATTAACAAAGATACCCAGGACCTGAACTTAGCTCTGGATCAAATGAACCTGATAGACATCTTATAGAACTTTCCACCCCAAAAAGACAGAATATACATTTTTCTCATTGTCACATGGCACATACTCTAAAATCGATCACATAATTAGAAGTAAAACACTCCTCAGCAAATGCAAAAGAACTGATCATAAGAAAAAATCTCTTGGACCACAGCACAATCAAATTAGAAACCAAGACAAAAAAGTTCACTCAAAACCGTACAATTACATGGAAATTAAATAACCTGCTCCTGAATGACTTTTGGGAAAATAATGAAATTCAGGCAGAAATCAAGAAACTTTTTGACATGAGTGAGAACAAAGATACAACACACTAGAAGCTCTGGGACACAACTAAAGCAGTGTTAAGAAGGAAATTTATAGCACTAAATGCCCACATCAAAAAGTTAGAAATATCTCAATTTAACAACCTAACATAATAACTAAAAGAACTAGAGTATCAAGAGCCAACCAATCTCAAGGCTAGCAGAAGACAAGAAATAACCAAAATCCAGAACTGAATGGAAGGAGATTGAGACACAAAAATGATTCAAAAGATCAATGAATACAGGAGCTGGTTTTATGAAATAATTAATAAAATAGATGGACTTCTAGCTAGACTAATAAAGAAGAAAAGAGAGAAGATTCAAATAAACACAATTAGGAATGACAAAGGAGGTATTACCACTGACCCCACAGAAATACAGACAACCATCAGAGAATATTATGAATACTTCTATGACATAAAGTAGAAAATCTAGAAGAAATGGATAAATTCCTGGGCACATACACCCCCTAAGACTGAACTAGGAAGAAATTGAATCTATGAACAGACTAATAATGAGCTCTGAAATTGAGTCAGTAGTAAATAGCCTACCAAAAAAAACAAAACAAAACAAAACAAAACCCAGGACCAAATGGATTCACAGCTGAATTCTATCAGGTGTACAAAGAAGAAATGGTACAATTCCTGCTGAAACTATTTCAAAAAATTGAGGAGAAGAGACTCCTACCTAACTCATTCTATGAAGCTAGCATCATCTAAATACCAAAACCTGGCAGAGACACAACAAAAGAAGAAAACTTCAGGCCAATATCCTTGATAAACATTGATGCAAAAAAATCCTCAACAAAATACCAGCAAACCGAATCCAGCAGCACATCCAAAAGCCAATCTACCATGATCAAGTAGGCTTTATCCCTGGGATATGAGGTTTGTTCAACATATAAAAATCAGTAAATGTGATTCATCACATAAACAGAACTAAAGACAAAACCCACATGATTATCTCAATAGATGCAGAAAAGTCTTCTGATAAAATTCAACACTCCTTCATGTTAAAAACTCTTGATAAACTAGCTATTGAAGGAACATACGTCAAAATAGTAAGAGCCATCTATGACAAACCCACAGCCAACATCATACTGAATGGGCAAAAGCTGGAAGCATTCCCCTTGAAAACTGGCAGAAGACAAGAATGCCCCCTCTCATTACTCCTATTCAACATAGTACTGAAGTCCTTGCCAGGGCAATCAGGCAAGAGAAAAGAATAAAGAGCAGCCAAATAGGAAAAGAGGAAGTCAAAGTATTCCTGTTTGCAGATGACATGATCATCTATCTAGAAAACCCTATCGTCTCAGCCCAAAAACTTCTTAAGTTGATAAACAACTTCAGCAAGGTCTCAGGATACAAAATCAATGTGCAAAAATTACTAATATTTCTATACACCAACAACAGTCAAGCCTAGAGCAAAATCAGGAATGCAGTCCTATTCACAATTGCCACAAACAGAATAAAATACCTAGGAATACAGCTAACCAGGGAGGTGAAAGATCTCCACAAGAAGAACTAAAAAGCACTGCTCAATGAAATCAGAAATGACACAAACAAATGGAAAAACATTGCATGCTCATGGATAGGAAGAAACAATATCATTAAAATGGCCATACTGCCCAAAGCAATTTATAATTCAATGTTATTCCTATCAAACTACAATTGAGATGCTTCACAGAACTAGTAAAAACTATTTTAAAATGCATATGGAACCAAAAAAGATACATAGATACAAAATAAGGACATGAAAACATGTGCAATGTCATTAGCCATTAGAGAATTACAAATTAAAACCACAATAAGATATTACTATATACCTATCATGATAGCTAAAAATAAAAAGTAGGCACAATACCAAATCCTGGTGAGGATGCAGAGAAAATAGATCACTCACATTTGGCTGCTGGGAATGTAATATAGTACAGCCACACTGGAAAATAGTTTGGCATTTTCTTTAAAAGCAAAACATGCAACCACCATACAACCCAGCAATTGCACTCCTGAGCATTTATCCCAGAGAAATGAAGACTTATGTTCAGAGAAAAATCTGCACATGTATGCTCATAGCAGCTTTATTCAGACAAAAACTGGAAACAAACTGTGGTATATCCATACTAGGAAATACTACTTAGCAATAAAAACGAACAAACTGGATACAGGCACCACGACCTGGATGAATCACCAGGGAATTATGCTGAGTGAAAAAAAAAATTGCAAAATGTTGTCTACTAAATGATTCCACTTATATAACACTCCTGGAATGCCAAAACTATAGAGATGGAAATTAATAATTGCTGTGTTAATGAAGAAGTGGAAATGGGAGGGAAGTGGCTGTGGCTACAAAAGGGCAAAATGAGGGATATTATAGTGATGAAAGTGTTCTTTATTTTAATTATATCAATGTCAATATCCAGACTGTGATAATTTACTGTAGTTTACAAGATGTTATCCTTGGAGGAAACTGGGTAAAATGTACATGAGATATCTCTGTAACATTTCTTAAAAGTGTCCGTGAATCAACAATTATATCAAAATAAAAAGTATAATTTAATACAGCATCTTAACATTTTCAACAAAACTAAGTGTCAAAGTATCCCCATAAACCTCAAATACAAATTGGTGAGGACAAACCACTAGTAGTTGCACGTTATTAATTTTTCCTGTTATGGATTATGCCTTTGGTGTCAAGTCTAAAAGCTTTTTGCTTAACCCTAGATCCTGAAGATTTTCTCCTGAGAGTTTTGTGACTTTATGTTTTACATATTAGACTTTGATCCATTTTTATTTCTTCCTTTGAAATCTGCACGCCTTTTTTTTTTCTCGCCCATTACATTATCTAGAACTTCCAACGCCATGTTGAATAAGCATGGCGAGAGTGGACATCATTGCTTTGTTCCCGATCTTTGGGGGAAAAATTTCAGTCTTTCACCGCTGTGTTAGCTGTGAGATTTTTTTGCAGATGCTCTTTATCAAGTTGAGGCAGTTCCTCTCTATTTGCATTTTCTGAGCATTTTATCATGAATGGCCATTGAATTACGTATTCTAATACCTCATATATGTATATCATTAACTTGGATTACGCTTCTTTAAATAGCTGCCTTTTCTACTGGTTGTCAAATGAGCTGTATCCTTTCTATTTAATGCCTACATGAAGTTTTTAAATATGGACTCTATGTCATATATTTAGTCCCTTTCAGGTTTCCAACATAAAGTGATACTATTTCAGCTACTTAAGCACTTATTTAGGCTTTATGCCTCATGTAGTTTAGATTTATTATGAGTTTGCACTTACATTTGATTCCTTTTTATACTCCTAATGTCTTTTTTTCTTAAACAAGTGGCCTATATATTTGGACTCACAATATTTATACATCCTCTGTCACCAGGGGTACATGTCCTTATACCTTAAAGCACGTGCTTCTGGAGTCCTGTTGTGTTACATGTTTCCTCTAAAACAAACCCTCCATGTTATTTGAGAGCCAACCCCACTTTTCAAATTATTTAGGCTGCTGTAACCTCCATTAATAAAGGATTCAAAAGTCATAATTGTGTGATTCTTTAGGAATTATCCAAAAAGGCAATCTGATTTATTTTCCAAATATCCTGGATCTGAAATAATCTATCAGAGTTTATTTCTATGCTTGGAAAGCTTCCTTTGATGTCAGCATTTGCGATTTTCTTACTTAGCTTATGTAGCTAAGTAAGAAATGAATTGCTTTTGTTGGTTTCTTAGTACATTCTGTCCATCAAGTACATTGAGTTGTTTAGAATTGTTTTGAGTCAACAGTGTAACAAGCATCCAAAATCTTGTATAGTCAATTTTGTTTGACTATTGTGCTAGAAGATCAATTTCTATTTCCTCTGTTGACAATATCCTGAGCATTTTGAAGTTACACAATTGCAGTGGTAATTTAGTGGAAGAGTGTTAACATTTTAACCTAAATAATTGATTTTGTATTAAACAAATTCTGATGTAGGAATGTATTTAGTATTAACTATATGGAATTCTCTATAAATCTCATAAACAGAGTAGTTGCTTTTTTGAAGGGGATTAAAAATTAAATATCAACATTTTCATTTTAGAAAATAAAAAATGTGGCTCACGCCTATAATCCCAGCACTTTGGGAGGCTGAGGTGAGCAGATCACTAGGTCAGGAGATCAAGACCATCCTGGCTAACACAGTGAAACCCTGTCTCTACTAAAAAATATGAAAAATTAGCTGGGCATGGTGGTAGGTGCCTGTAGTCCCAGCTACACGGGAGGCTGAGGCAGGAGAATGGTGTGAACCCAGGAGGTGGAGCTTGCAGTGAGCCAAGATCACGCCACTGCACTCCAGCCTGGGTGACAGAACAAGACTCTGCCTAAAAAAAAAAAAAAAAAGAAAAGAAAAAGAAAAGAAAAAATGTCTTTTTTCTTTTTAAAATTTTCCTATTTTAATATTTAAAATTATTTTATCTTTTTTTTTAAAAAGTTATACATGACATGGTTTAAAACATCAAATACAGATGGTTCCTGACTTATGATGGTTCCACTTAAGATTGTTCAGCTGTGATGGCGTGAAAGCAGTACACATTCTGGAAGAAATGTACTTCAAATTTGAAATGTCAGTCTTTCTCTGGGCTAGTGATATGTGGTATAACACTCTCACCTGACGCTGAGCAGCAGTAGTGAGCCACAGCTCCCAGTCAGCCACGCTAATGTAAGTGTTCTGAGCATGTTGAGGGTAGGCTGGGCTAAACTATGATGTTTGATAGGTTAGGGGTATTGAATGCATTTTCAACTTGCAGTTTATCAGGACACAAACCCACCTGAAGTCAAGGAGCATCTGTATTTCTACAGGGCTTGTTATGCAAAACAGCTGACCACACTGCCTCCCCATTCCTCTTTCCAGACAGAAATTCTAGTAGATAGTCCCATTTTACAAATGAGAAAGTGGAGGCTTAGGGAGGTTAATTAAGACACGCAAGTTCATATGGGTAGGAAGCGATGGAGCTATGATAAGAACTCAAATCCATATGGTCCCCAAGCCTGAGGTTTGAGCTATATTGCTTCGTGATTACAGGATATATTAGTTTCCTATTGGTGCTGTAACAAATTACCACAATTTAGTGTTTTAAAACAACAAAAATTTATTGTTGGACAGTTCTGGAAATTATAAGCCTAAAATGGGTCCTGTTAAATTAAATTAAATTTGGCTTAAAGCGGCCTCTGTACTTTGAATTCCTACGTAGTATACTGAAATCTAACTTAATGTGTAAGAAAATTGTACCCTAACTTAAGAGCATATTCTTGTAATAAATAGCTGAGTCTCAGGCAAACACAGCAGCCAAGCTTCAGGCAATCACAGGTTGCCAACTGATCAGACCATGATCAAATAAGGCAAATACTGAGCTGTAAACAAGCTGCTTCTGTATACCACTTCCTTTTTCTCTCTATAAATATTGCCTGCCCCTATTGCTCAGTGGAGCTCTCTGTACCTCTTCTGGTCCTGGATGCTGCCCAATTCATGAATTGTGCTTTGCTCAAATAAATCAAAATAAATTTAATTTGTTCAAAGTTTTTCTTTTAACACTTGTACAGGGCTAATCAAGGTGTTAGCTTGTCTGTGTTCCCCTTCTGAAGGCTTTAGCGGATAATCTGTTTTTTGCCTCTTCCAGCTTGCAGCGACCAGCTGCATTCCTCGGCTTGTAGCCCCCTTCCAGCAATCACTTTCCTCTGATTTTTGCTTCTAATATCACATCTCCTTCTTCTATTCTCTTGCCTCTTTCTTTCACTTAGAAGGACCCATGTAATTATATCAGGACCACTTGGCTAATCCAGAATAATCTCCCCATCTCAAGATCCTTAATCTAATCACTAATGCAAAGTCCCTTTTGCCATGTAAGGTAACAGATTCACAGGTTTCATAGATTCAGATCTTTCAGGGGTGGCAGTTGGGGGCATTATTCCATCTACCACACAGAGTAAAGTTTCATCTGGATGACCCACAGGCCCTACAAATACAAAATGTCTAATATGGAATGTTCTCTTAAACTGTCCTTTCTTGATGACTGGAATTACTAACCACTTGGTCTCCCAAGCATCTTCTGCTCTCGCCTTCTCCTCTCTCCCATATACAATGGATGACGACACATCATGTTGCATCTGCTCCCTCACATGTCTCTGACCCTCTCTCTAGATCCCTGATCCTACTTTAATTCGAGCCCCATCATGTCTGGTCTGTGTTACTCTAACAGTTACCCACGCTGCTTTCTCTGCTTTCAATTTTATGCTCCTCTAACCCACTCTTCCCATCAGAGTAGTCTTTCTAAAACGTGAAGCTGCCCATGACCCTTCCCTTACTATCAGTCTGCATACTGGTCCTACTGACTGCAGATCAAAGACCCAAGTCCTTAGCCTGGTGTGTGAGGCATCCATCCCTAGCCCTCTGCTTCATCTGTCACCCACCCATTTTACCAATTCCGAAAGACTTTCACTTCCCTCGAAGCCTGTCCAAGTGTCCAAGCCGCTCATGCTTTGTTAGACTTGGAAGCCATTCTCCATATACCCTCGATCAGCTTGAATGTCATTTCCACTAGAAAATTTTCCTAATTGTTTGTGACTTCAATGTCCTAATTTTACACACATTTCTGCTGTGCCCCTTTGTTTGCTAATATGTCTCCTGGGTGGTAAGCAGGACTCCGTGTCTTATTAATATTTTCCGTCTCCAGAATTCAGCCACTGTCTGCCACACAAGTGCATAATGAGTTACTATACTAATATTATGCAGCCATGTCCCCTGTACAGCAGTTCCCTGGATCTCATGGCTTCTTTTTTGATTTGCCTTGTTTGTTACCAACTTCCATCAGTAAGACAATCTATCCAATCCTTGTCCCCTTTGCCACATCACATCCTCAGGGCAATAACAAAGTTGTTAAGTTTATGCACCTTCTCCACTTGGAGCAAGGCCTCACCATGTCAGGCCTCCGCCTGATTCTCCTCCCTGCCTGGGATGGCAGATTTTGCTCTAGTGGGTCTCCAGGCCGTGAGGTCTCCTGTCTTTTATGTTCTGATCCGGGTGGTGAGCTGCAGCTCACTACAAGTCCTTACTTGTCTCTGCTGGCCTTTAGAGACTTTGTACTCAATTTGGAGGAACTACTCTTGATGGATTGTAAGTGAGAGGATTTCCTGGTCTCCCTCTGGAGTCCGCCAGAAAACCACATTCTCTGCTTTTCAGCGTTGACTGCTCATGCTTACGTAATTTCTAAGAGTAAGATCCTATGGACTGTCCTGGCAGCAAAGAATTCGCTCAGGATTTTGCCTGAAGCTGCACTTCCGGGGTCTCGCTTCATCAGAATACTTCTTCATTTTCATCATCGGCCCAGCGATGCATGGGTACCTCTTAGGGTTTAGCCCCAGAATGTACTGGGGGAGGGGAGGGTAAAGTAGGTGGGGAAGGAGTCAGAGTCGTAGGTCATCTGTGGCTGGAGTTTTGCATCCCTAATAAACGGGAAATGAACTGAAGGAAGGCTGGGTTTTCACGTCAACACGAAGGACACCATTACGATGCTAGACTAATCATCAAATAAAATTCCAGATGGAAAAAATTCAGAAACTTAATTTGGAATTTGAGCCCCGCTCTATTATGCAACGTTCCCAGCCATTGCTCCGCGGATGTAATGTGGACTTCCACCGCCAGATGGCGATCGAGACCGTAATTTAAGTTGGTTTTCTCAACTTCCTCTGGACTGAGTCCCCGTGAAAATCCCAAGTTTAACGAGGGGCTTTCCTCGCGTAACCTTCGCTTCTGCTTCCTCTCTCACATCACCTCAACCTGCGAGACTCTGAAAGGGATAATGAGGGTTGGGGGGAATATGGAAATTCAGGGAAGGGAGAGGGGGGTGGTGTGAAGCTTTCCAGACCAGCCACACAGAAATAGCATACCAATAGTGGTTTAGAGCACAGACCCCCAGCCAGAATGAGTAATTTAAACAGCCCTACGATGTAATCGTTGTGTGCATATGCATCTCTATGCCTCTCTCTCTCTCTGTCTTTCTTTCATCTGAGACAGGGTCTCACTCCCTCTGTCCCACAGGCTGGAGTGCAGTGGTGCAATAATGGCTCGCTGCAGTCTTGACCTCCTGGGCTCCAGTGGTCTTCCCACCTCAGCCTCTGAAACCACAGGGTCTTGAACTTCTGGGCTCAAGTGATCTTCCTGCCTCGGCCTCCTAAAGTGCTGGGGTTACAGGTGTCGGCCACCATGCCTGTCTGCTATTTAAGTGCATAGAAGAATGCCTGGCACTCAGTTAGTGTTAAATATTTATAAAATAAATTAAAATTTTATAACACTACACACATGTTGTTGAGTATGTCATAAATAGAGACATATTTAATGAGATGTCAACATATATCATGTTAATGAATTAAGTAAGTTTGAGAATATTAGAGAAGAATGATAATAGATTAACGGAGGAGGCTGGGCGCAGTGGCCCACACGTGTATTCCAGCACTTTGGGAAGCCGAGGCAGGCAGATCACATGAGGTCAGGAGTTCGAGACCAGCCTGGCCAACATGGTGAAACTCCTTCTCTACTAAAAATACAAAAAAAAAAAAATTAGCCAGGTGTGGTGGTGTGCGACTGTAATCCCTGCTAATGGGGAGGCGGAGGTTGCAGTGAGAGGAGATCGCGCCACTGCACTGCAGCCTGGGCGACAAAGCAAGACTCCATCTCAAAACAAACAAACAAACAAACAAACAAAAAACAGACGAAATAGGGTTTGAGTATGTAGTCTGCTCTCAACATGAGATAGTAAAGTCTTTGCTTCCCTTATATTCTGCTAGTTAACTCATTTGATGCACATCGATGTATAAAGCCTTTAACTTCTATTTATTCTTTTCCTTGAAAAGCATGCGGAATGCCTTCTCAGGACTCTCCCATTTTTTATTTGTGAACACCCACTGGCATTCCCGGATACGAAGCTTGCAAGAAGGTGTGAACCGCCCTATACTCGTGAGCCCCTGGGACTCTGTACTCTTTCCAGCCCACATTTGACCTCAGTCAATTTTTAAATGATTCCAGCTAAATTCTTCTTACCAGTGCCCAGCTGTACCTGCCTTAGGTAAGCAAGCACTCAGGCGACAACTCTCCTAGATTTCAAGCTAGTTGGAAGCTCAATCCCAGCTCTGTGATGGGTTGAAAAAAATTGCGACCTTGCAATTTGTGTGATTTCTTTCATGTTGCAAGGAAGCATCACTGTTTCCAGTTCTCTGCATCCCCAAGCAGAAACCAGAACTCTATATAAACGTTTTTAAATGGAGACATTGAGAAAAAGTACCCGAGAAACCAATGAGATACAGGAAGAATGCTTCCAGCACTAACATGAATGGGGCTTGGCCATACAGATAGAAGGGTTGGAAACTCTTACGCCTTGATTTAAACTCTCTATGCATATTCTGAGCACGCTGGGGAATGTACTACTACTAGGCTTGATTTGGATTCATGGCTACTACCTCCCACAAAATGATAGGTCTTCTGTTTTAGTACGTGAGATAATTCCTCAATCGATCTTATTGCTGCTATTTCTGTTAAGCATAAACAATGATTTGGGTCACAAATTTTAATGGGGTTTAAATTCCTTTGTGCATCCCAACAGGTAATCCTCTTACTCTGGGCTATGAACTTGCTACTGCCAAGATGGATGCCATGAAAAAAAGAGATCTCATCAAAATGGTCACAGAGAGATGGAGGGCCTCTGTGTAGATGGCAGGGTGGTGGTGGCCGTGTAACTAGCTGCCCGGTGAGGAGCAGCCCTTGGGGAGAGCCCAGGTAGGACCAGGAGAAGCAGAAATAGAGAAAAGTGAAAGATCGAGGTGGAAAGAACATGAGGGACAAGAGCTCTGCATGGCCACATCACCAGCAGTCTTGTTATTACAATGAGGATGAAGGGACTGAAAAGAGGGGAAGAGATGGAATTCATCAAACAACAGTGCTCATTCATACAAGGCAAGTATACATGTGGCCTTTTCTCTCTCTATCTGAAGACGTGGCTTACTGTAACAGGAACTATCATGGGCATTGGACGGCTGTCTCATGGTGATCCCATCCTCCTCTACATCCTAAACTTTTTTTTTGAATGCATTTCTGTATTTTGACTTCCTCTCTCCCCAAAGTTCTTCTTAACTTCTGAGTATGACTTAGCTTCCTTATTCTTTGAAATATTTGAAACCCCTAACTTCCTCTCCTCTGTGGTGTAACTCACATGGCTTCTCGATACCAGGAGGCACTGTCTGCATACAACCTCATATTATGAGGATGAAATGCCCATGAATCCTACCAATCTGAGGAACAACACGTTTGTCTTCTCTGACAAAATACGGGTGCCACATATTCTGTAGGAAAAGGTGGTGTTGAGGTCAGAACTTCTCTGTTTCTCCGTCTCTCTCTCTCTGGTTCTGGAAATGTTGAGAATATGAGTGAAGGGAAAAAGATGGGCACCACGTGGAGGCAATTTCATGGTGGCATGAAACAATTTTGGGGGCATGAATGCCATGGGCAGGACATCAGGGCCCCAAAAGGGAAATACACAGTACTTTCTTTGGACTTCAGTGCTCTCTTTTATAGTAATGGAAACCACAAGCGCAGAGGAAGGGGAGCTGATTCTATAAAAAGAAGTTTATTTCCTACTTTAAAAGATGATTTTTTGACTATCTTCCCACAATACAGCCAGAGGATCACAGGGGAAAGCTACGATCCTCAATTATAGAAAATGATGTTGGGTGCATCTAGCATCACAGAAGCTTTAGAGGACACAGTCATCTCAGGTACCTACAGATGAGGAAGAAGTACCAATGAGAGTACCTACTCGTATTCTTATTCATGGAAGTGAATCCCTTCAGGAACCAAATCATTTAGCTGCTGGTAGATGTTTCTTTTGGCTCCTCTCTCTCCTGAGCTCTCAAACACAGACTTGTTTTTCTGTGTGCCTGTGCTTTTGGCAACTCTGTTCCAAGAATAAGAATATTTGTTTGTAGATGAGCTTGCTAGGTCGGGGATCTCTTGTATAGGGAGATGGTGAATCACTGAGCAGGACACAGAGGCATGAGTTGAAACAGTGAGATGTACCTTAGTTTAAAGAGAGGTCACAAGAGCTCACGGACCATTATTAGATAAACTCTAAATTAGAAAAAAGAACCATATTTCTCTTTTGATAGTCACATAAAAATTGAAGCCATACTCATTCTAATAAAAAGTAACATGCATATCTCTTCATTGCAAAGCTCATCTATTATTCATAACAGGCATATAGGGTCTATATCATTTTTACAGAAGTGGAAATAGCATGCAATTACTAATTTAGTTTATTCATTAGTTTTCCAAAAGTGAAATAAAGAATTTTCCCTTTGACTTCCTACCTGGTAATTTGAAAGAAATAAATTTGTGACTAAAAAGAGTACTTCACATCATACACAAATAATTAATGCAACTGATTGACCCAAGCTAGTGTGTGTGATATTGTGATATAATAGGAAGTATATATTTGGTTTCTGACCCTGGTTCCTGCCCTTCAGCTCCTAAAACTCTTGGAATCTCCAGAGTGATAAGAGTGTCTTTTGCATGCTAATGAGGTGACTGGTGGCTGGGGCTGGTCACCAGAAAGACCAAGGCAGGATTAGAGGGTTGGGATTTTCAGCCCATTCACAATCTCTGGGGAGAAGGGAGGGGCTGAAGGTTGAGTTGACTGCCAATGGCCAATGGTTTAATCAACTCACCATGCTGACATAACAAAGCCTCCATTAAAACCCAAAAGGGCAGAGTTTGGAGAGTTTCCAGATAGCAGAACACGGAAAGATGCCTGGAGGATAGGCTCTTGAAGAAGGTGTGGAAGCTCCGCACTCTTTCCCCCATACTTTGTCCTATGTGTTTTGTTTTTCTTTATTAATCTGTTCGTCTGTATCCTTTGTCTTATCCTATGTAATAAACCAGTGTATGTAAGTAAGTGTTTCCCTGAATTCTTTGGGCTGCTCTAGCAAATTAATTGAACCTGAGGAAAGGTTTGTGGGAACCTCCAATCTATAATTGGATGGTCAGAAGTACAGGTGATAGCAACTGGCATCTGAAGTGGGAGGGGGGCAGTTTTGCATGACTGATCCCTCAATCTGTGGGATCTGATGCTATTTTTAGGTAAATAGTATCAGAATTGAATTGATTTAGAGGAACCCGGTGTCTGCTGGAGAATTGCTTGGTGTGGGGGAAAAATCTCCACATACCTGATGTCAGAAGTAACTGTGTAAGACAGAAGGAAAAATGCTTTGGAGTTTTTTTGTTTTTTCCCCCCATCTCTATTTACATAGGTTAAAAATGTGGCTGGGTGCATGCCCATGATCTGAGCACTTTGGAAGGCCCAGGCGGGAGGATCACTAGAGGTCAGGAGTTCAAGACCAGCCTAGGCAACACAGTGAGACCCCCCGCATCTCTAAAAAACAAACAGAGACAAATACATAAATAAATCAGTACAAGTACAAGCCTCATAATCCATTATGAAAGTGTCAGAGTGATGAATGCCATGGGCATAGTAACAGTTAATAAAGAAAATAATGTGTTGGAGGAATATTTAAGATAACTGAGGCTGCTACAAGCAAAACTACAGAATAATTTCATCATATACATTTTTTTTTGTTTCCAAATTAGATACAAGATTAAGCCTTGGGTCTCCCTGGCAGTGGAGGGCGATTCTGATATTCACATATAACTACCCACAGGGCATGGATTCTGAGAGATGCTGATAAAAGAAGTTGGTGTCTTCTTGGCATTTGTCCCCAAGGATCTTCCAATACCCAGAGAATCTGCATTTACACAGATCATGCTCCCTTGGGAGCTTCTCTTGACTGCCCCTCACACCCTCATTCGTGGCTTTTCCTCTTTGATCTCCCACTTCAGTCCTCACACCTGTCAACACTGTGCTTATTACCATGTGGAGTGGTTAGAAGATCTTCCCAGAGTCAAGACATTTCCAGGGTCACCCTTCTCTTAGGCATTTCTTGGCACGACTGTCCTGAATAAAGGAAAGGAGATGAAGGTGATGTTGAGAAGCATCTAGAGGGCTGGAGTCAGGGGGAACCGGCTGAGGCTGTTGGATCAAGTTTTAGCCACTGGTAAAAGACCTCCAAGCTGCGAATGCTATTGCCATCTGTGTAAAGTCGCCTCCGAGATTAGAACATGCCAAAGACTGAAGAAAGAGGTCTAGGTAGCATAAAGCCATCATGTAATTGAAGTTTCTTCCGTTTCCAAGGACAGGAAGCGTGCAAATGGCTCTGCGTTCTCAGTAGGGGTGGGGCTAAGAAGTGAGCCTGCAAATGGTAGTTTGGGCGAAGACTTGTGTGATGCATGCAGGGACTCAAATTTAGTGTCCTCGGAACACAAACACCCTCTATGATCCGGGTTAGGTATCGCTCCTGTGAACGTTCAAAGAACACCTTTATATTCTGAGGGGACACCGTTCATCATCAGATCACTGTTGACGGAAGCCAGGTGACAGCTTTGTATTTCGTGTTTTCCCCTTTAGTAATGTAAAAATAGAAGTTATTTCTCCTTTCTTCCAATGTAGGATTTTTTTTTTTGAGAGGGTCTCTGTCACCCAGGCTGGAGTGCAGTGACACAAACACAGCTCACTACATCCTTGACCTCTTGGGTTCAGATGGTCCTCCCGCCTCAGCCTCCTTAGTAGCTGGGACGACAGGCACATTCCACCGGCCCGGCTAATTTCTTTTTAAAGTTTTTGTAGAGATAGGGCTCTCACTATGTTGCCCAGACTGGTCTTGAACTCCTGAGCTCAAGCGATTCTCTCACCTTGGCCTCCCAGAGTGTTGGGATTACAAGCGCGAGCCACCACACCCAGCCCAGTGTAGGAATGTTTAATTCCTCCACTTGCTATCAAAGAAAACTGCTAACTTTCTTATTTCCTAATTTCTCTTTTTCTATTTGCTTCTCCTTAGGTTCTGCTCTTGGGTGCTATCTCCTTAGTTTTGAGAATATGAAGGTTTGTTTAGAAAAAAAAAAGCAGAAAAAATTCACTGGAAGATTTCACATTTGTATATATCTTTATGAAATGTGACAGTGAAGTGTTAGGGTAGAGATATTTGATCTGATTACCATTAGGATAAAATCAAATCTCCTTACCATGTCTTACATGTGTACTTGTCCAATCTTGTCTCCTATAATTGTCCAACCAACCCGTTCTGTTCCAGCCTCACTGGCCTTCTTATTCTTTCACGAAGCTCACACTGTCCTCCAGAGCCTTGCACTCTCTTTTGCCTGGAATGCTCTCCCAGATCTTAACATGATAGGAAAACAAAAGACAACTGTTTGTCATGTCTACTACAGTCTCAGCCCCATGAGGCAGAGTCCATGCCCATTTTCCTTCCATGCAACATTCCTGGCACCTAGAGAGTGACTGATGCATAATGGCTGGTAAAATATTTGATTAAAAAATATTTTAGTGTATTTCCTCCCCCAAAATATACATACACAACAGAGGCAGTTATTTTGTCTATATCTTTAGCACATTTTAGGCATTTAGTAAATTTCTGTTGAATCCATATGGAATTCTTCAGATTGATCTGTGAACACTTTAGATTTGAAAAAGGAGAAAATCATAAAACTAAGGGTAATGGGGAGAGAGCAAAACCAAAGGCAGACATGGGAAGATTCTCCTTATACAAAATACTTTTTCCATGTCTATAATGAACCCCCAAATTATCTGGATACTTACAACAGTGGTAGCAAGGGAATGTCTCGTTAATGCAGGTTCTCTATTCTCCTCAATTAATTTCAGGTCCTTAATTGTGCATGACATATGAAACATAAAGGGTGTTTATTTGCTAATCACCAGCATTAATTAATTCAAAGACTTACCTGAGATTCTGTTTGCGCAATAAAAATTAAAAAGATTACTCAGTAATACATTGGGAGAGGTGTAACTGGGGCATTAAAATACGAATGTGTGTCTAATTTTCAAACATCATAAGTATTTTGAAAGCACTTATACATAATCAATTAATATATGTTGTTAACTAAATTCATATGAATAATATGTGATATAAATTAGTGTTTTGTATTAATTTCAAGACAATTAGAAAGAGAATGTCACCATCACTCTTTTGATTCAATCAACAGTCCTTAGACTGGTTCCTTGTAATGAATTTAATGGGTTAGTAAAAGCTGTGTTATTTGAAATTATGTAATTTTGTTTTTTTAATATTTTGCTCAAATACTTTTCTTATTAGTGTAAATGACTGAAGTATTATGTAAATTTTAATACTGATTATCTAAGGTATATCATTAAAACAAATTATGAGCTGTGATCTTGGGCAAGGTACTCAAACTGAAAGATGTTTTCCTTATCTGAAAATTTAGATAATAATAATTACCTCATAGTCTGTTAAGAAAAGCACATGTGATAATATATTTTAATGTACAATATGTCTGGCACATATTAAGGTCTAAAAAGGATAACTGTTACTGTTATACCAATAAATATAATAATTTTGATAAATATAATAGTAATTTAAATATATTTTTTCCAACATTTATTTTAAGTTCAGGGGTACATGTGCAGGATGTGCAGGTTTGTTACATAGGTAAATGTGTGCCATGGTGGTTTGCTGCACAGATCATCCCATCACCTAGTTATTAAGCCCAGCATCTGTTAGCTATTCTTCCTGATGCTCTCCCTCCTCCCATCCCCTACCTCCGACAGGCCCCAGTGTGTGTTGTTCCCCTCCATGTGTCCAAGAGTTCTCATCATTCATCTCCCACCTATAATGAGAACTATAAACTCATAATTCAGCTCCCACCTATAAATGAGAACATATGATATTTGGTTTTCTGTTCCTGTGTTAATTTGCTAAGGATGGCCTCCAGCTCCATCCATGTCCCTGCAAAGAACATGATCTTATTCCTTTTCATGGCTACATAATGCACCACATTTTCTTTATTTAGTCTACCATTGATGGGCATTTGGGTTGATTCCATGTCTTTGCTATTGTGAATAGTGCTGCAATGAACATATGCATGCATATGTCTTTTATAATAGAGTAATTTATATTCTTTTGGTTATATACCCAGTAATGAGATTGCTGGGTCAAACAGTATTTCTGTCTCTAGGTCTCTGAGGAATTGCCACACTGTCTTCCACAATGGTTGAACTAGTTTACACTCCCACCAACACAACCTCTCCAGCATCTGTTGTTTTTTCACTTTTTAATGATAACCATTCTTACTGGTGTGAGATGGTATCTCATTACGGTTTTGGTTTGCATTTCTCTAATGATCAGTGATATTGAGCTTTTTTTCATATGTTTCATGGCCACATGTATGTTTTCTTTTGAGAAGTATGTGTTCATGTCCTTTGCCCATTTTTTAATGGGTTTTTTCTTGTAAATTTAAGTTCCTTATAGATGCTGAATTGTAGATCTTTGTCAGACGCATAGATTGAAAAATTTTCTCCCATTCTGTGGGTTGTCTTTTTACTGTGTTGGTAGTTTCTTTTGCTGTGTAGAAGCTCTTTACTTTAATTAGATCCCATTTGTCAATTTTTGCTTTTGTTGCAATTGTTTTTGGCCTCTTCATCATGAAATCTTTGCCCATGCCTATGTCCTGAATGGTATTGCCTAGGTTTTCTTCTAGGGTCTTTATAGTTTTGGGTTTTACATTTAAGTGTTTAATCCAACTTGAGTTGATTTTTGTATATGGTGTAAGGAAGAGGTCCAGTTTCAATCTTCTGCATATGGCTAGCCAGTTCTCCCAGCACCATTTATTAAAGAGGGAATCCTTTCCCCATTGCTTGTTTTTGTCAGATTTGTTGAATATCAGATGCTAGTAGGTGTGTGGTCTTATTTCTGGGTTCTGTATTCTGTTCCATTGGTCTATATGTCTGTTCTTGTACCAGTACCATGCTGTTTTAGTTACTGTAGCCCTGTAGTATAGTTTGAAGTTGGGTAATGTGATGCCTTCAGCTTTGTTCTTTTTGCTTAGGATTGCCTTGGCTCTTCGAGCTCTTTTTTTGGTTCCATGTGAATTTTAAAATAGTTTTTTAAAAATTCTTTGAAGAATGTCAATGGTAGTTTAATAAGAATAGCATTAAATCTATAAATTGCTTTGGGTAGTATGGCCATTTTCATGATATTGATTCTTCCTATCCATGAGTATGGAATGTTTTTCACTTTGTTTGTGTCATCTCTGATTTCTTTGAAGAGTGATTTGCAGTTTTCCTTGAAGAGGTTCTTCACTTACCTTGTTAGCTATATTCCTAGGTATTTTATTCTATTTGTGGCAATTGTGAATGGGAGATCATTTGTGGGTAATTTAAATTTTTAAAATCAAATATTTTATCACTCATTATGCATTATTCTTCTCTGGGATAGATAGAGATTTCCCAGAACTCCGATAAGCTTTATTTTAACCTATTTACCTCTGATTAATCTGTTTCACCTCCCGGTTGTTACTGTAGTAACTGGGGTTATTAATAGCCTCAGAGCTACCAAGACTTCTCTGTAAAACTGATTATCTTTTTCAGGATAGCATCCTCTAAATGGTTATGCAAGATTTATGGTTAAGAATGGAAGTAGCTGATTAAATAATTCAATGAGCTTTACTCAACTATCTACTTTTCACAGCCTCTATTTTGTCCCCTGTGGAAGCACATAACAGGGCTTAGCTTTGGTGTTGTAGCTCTCTGTCAGAATACGCAATTAGTAGGTCTCATATATAAAATTTCATTTCATCTTAATATTAATCCCACCAAATGGAAGCTATCTAAACTTTAAAGTTAAAATGACTGAGGCTAACAGAGAATATGTGATTTGTTGAGGGTCACAAACTTAACGAATTCTCCAACTACGGGACAAATGCATTTTTCTCAAAATCTGTTACCTTTTATATTATATCCCAGTGTCTCATAGTGCCAAGACAAGGAAAAAATGAACAATTCTTAGACAATTATCTTCTTTTCCAGGGAATATCTTTCCATTTTCTTTTTCCCATCCCTCTCCTACCCTCCCCAGCTACAGTCAAACCTCAAATATAAGAACCAGAGAATTTAAATAAATGTCACAAGAAGAAACATCCTGAATCGTGTTCTTCTTCTGGTTCCTGAAACTTCCAAACATATCTTCAGCGTTATCACAAAGTTCAGTGATACTTAGGAATAACCTAGTGCTGGACACCAAGTAGATGACCAATGAATAATTTTTGTATTTTTAGTAGAGACGGGGTTTCACGATGTTGGCCAGTCTGGTCTCGAACTCCTGACCTCAGGTGATCCACCCGCCTTGGCCTCCCAAAGTGCTGGGATTACAGGCATGAGCCACCGCACCCGGCCCAGAAACAGATTTCTTATCTGAAATATCAGAAGGCAGAAAACAACAAGAGGGAAAAAAGGCTGCTAACTTAACGCATGGGGAAGCAGGGTGTGGGCAGGAAATGCAGTGTAAGAGAGGAGATTTGTACAGGGCGATGGAAGAGACAATGGAGAGAAGACAATCTGAGCAGAAGCTGTGAGGAGTAGATAGATGCTGGGGAAAGGGACTGCTAATTATGGTGTTATTTTAAAACTAGCTTTGTGTTTAAAATTCTCATTGCAACACCCTCAGAGACCTCCACTGCACTGCAAAAATCTTGGATTTATATTTTGTTTATCTTCTGGTGTAAAACTGAGCTGAAGCACACTGATTCTACTAGAAGAAGTCAATGTCCTAGGAAGACATTGACAGCTGTAGGGATGTTAACTGGGTCATCTTCACCAGTAGGTGGGGACATTGCACTTTAAAAATTCAAGGGAGCTGCTGCTTTCCCTTCTCTCCTGGCCCCTTGGCAGGTCTAGATTTGAGGGATCAGCATTTCTTGAGGGTGGTAACCCAGCCACTCTTTTTTCCCTTACTCTTCCTTCCATGTGTTCAAAATATGATGCAATCTGAGATGTGGTTATGGGTGTTTGAGAAGCAAAGAAGCATGACTGGAGCAGGAGTTAAAGTCTGCTTTTGTTTGAGAACTGAAGAGCTCAGTCTTTTACACGCTTTCACAGATAAGAGATTGGTACTATAAAATTACATGCTTAAAACAAACTTCGCTGCTGTCATTCTAATGCAAGCCACTATCCTTTTTCACATTGAGCATCCTGCCACCATCTGCAGCATTCTTGATATTTCAGTAAGAATTAAATTTTATTTTGCAATCAGTATTTTAAATTTATCAGGATACCTGTATATAGTTTGAGGATTAAACAATAAAGATGTATTTTAATGAAAACAAGAGCCCTTCATGCCATTCCTTTCCTCCACTAGCATTATCCCCAGGTCAATGACTTTTAATGGTAATATGTGTATCTTTGTGTATGTGGGGTATTAATTTAGACATCAGTTATCTAATTATCTGAAAGCAGATAATTTAGACCACCAACAATTTTATGTCTCTGGCATCCTTCTTGCAATTTTATTATATTACTATGTTTAGTTCCTCTGTAGGTAATCCCTGTATTTAAAAAAAAAACAAAGAAAACCTACACCTAAGTATATTGTATTTAAACTGTAAAAAAAGTTGAAATACATAAATACTGCTTAGAAAAGCAAAGTGGGATGGGAAAAGTACAAGTTATTACATTTTAGTATATTTCTTAAAAATGAATATAACAGGTAGATATTTGTTAGTATGCATTACAAAATTTGGGCAACATAGTTATGAAGTATATTTGGATATTTTTCAATACATATATTACACAAAGGAAGAAATAAAGTACTGCTCAAATCAATGGATTAAATAACCTAGTTGAAATATTGGAAAGTAGATGAACAGTAATTCACAGAAGAAACTCAAATGGAAAACAGCATATGCAAAGATGGCCAACTTTCTCTATAATATTTGACACAGTAATATTATGTCATTTCAGTTTAAATAAAATTATACATTGATAAAAATGTGAAATCACGTCTTTGAGGGGTTACTAAGAAACTGTCTAGAAGCATTGTTCTAGAAGCTGATGTGGTTTTGGAAGATCAAGTGTGAATGTCCAAAGGCACTTCTGTTGAATAAAACGCCAAGTGGAGGAATTGAAGATCCCTGATTGTGGAAGTATCCAACTGTTTAGAACTCAACTGAAATCCTGAATGATAGTTCTCTACATGTAGCAGGAGGAGCAAGTGACTCATGGAAATAACGGGTTTATTTAAATAAAGATAGCCTTTATGTGGACATCAAATTCATCAATGAATGTATCCATTTATTTGTCAAATAATTATTTAGCTCCTACTAAGTGCTACATGCTATTCCAGATAACTTAGTCAAAAAGGCAAATGTGTCCCTACCTTTATGAGCTTTAATTCTAGCAGGAACTAAAAAAAGTCACATAATAAACAGACATAAAATGCAGTGTTAGGTTGTGATTCTTGCTATGAAGCTACAAAAGAGGAAAGCTGAGTAAGGGAATAAAGAAACAAAGTGCTTATCAGTAGTGAACTTCCATGCAGGCCATGACAGGCTCATTTCAAAAGAAGCAGAAATATTTTATTATTTTTCCTTGGGTTATTAGTGTCACATGTAAGAATAGTGCACTAGATTTACTACCACAGATTTTTGTACTTATACTTATTTTGAACAAAATAACAACGTCTAGATAGTTCCTTTCCTCCTGCAAGAACTAAGTGTATGTAAGTCCTCTCTTTTGTAATCTAGTTTATTTTTTTCACATGTGAGGATCCCAGATACTATTAGGATGCCTTCATTGCTAATTGGATCTTGGAAAATATACTTTCTTGCTTTACAAAATATATTTCCTTTTAAGCCTCAGAGTAAATTTTGAAATGATCTACCCATGGATTAGTCCTCTGATTTTAACTAGTATCATTATTCTAGCTGTAAAGGACATCTATTCAAACTGTGTACAGGTAAGATTATCCAGGGGGTATAGTTTAGAGCACCCATATAATTTTCAATAGATTATGTGATTTTACAAGAATCTATCAAGTTAATGTTTCAAGAATATTGATAATTACTTTTAGACGTTTTGCTGAAAAAATACAAATAGACAGGGAGTCCATAGTAATAGGGTGGGTCTAAAGTTATGTAGTCTGAGTGAGGACATGGGATGTTAAGTCCAGAGACAGGCCATATGCAGACAGCCAGAACAATGTCTCAAAATCTACAAATGGCTGGGCCTGGATCAGTAATTCTTATGTGAAGGATGCCAGAAATGAGCAACGTAAACCTTAACAGAGTCTGAAAACACATCTCAAGGTAGAGGTTAGAATGAATCCACCTGCCATCCCAGCCTGATACACATGCTAGAATGGGTTATAGAAATGGGCTAACAGGAAAAAAGTCATTGAAATCATGGAAAAGACCGAAATGAAAAATGTGAGATAATATAAAGGTCCATATATGTTATTTATTTCAGTAAAATGCAAATAGACTTGACTTGTGATCAAAAGACAGAGATTGACAAATTGAATGCAAAAATACAAATTCAGATTATACTGTTTACAAGACATATGTCTAAAGCATAAAAGTCATTTCAGAGATTGAGTGTAAAAGACAGAAAGGATATATCATGCAAATACTAATTTTGAAAAATGATATCAATTTATTAATGTAAAAAACAAATTTTAAGGAAAAAAGGCATTGTAGATTTTTCTTCATCTCTTTATTTTGAGCCTGTGTGTCATTGCATGTGAGATGAGTCTCTTGAAGACAGCATACCAATACATCTTGGTTCTTTATCCAGCTTGTCACTCTGTGTCTTTTAATTGGGGTATTTAGCTCATTTACATTTAAGGTTAGTATTGATATGTGTGGATTTGCTCCTGTCATCATGATGTTAGCTGGTTAATTTGCAGACTTGTTTATGTGGTTGCTTTATAGTGTCACTGGTCTGTGTACTTCAGTGTGTTTTTGTAGTGGCTGGTAACAGTCTTTCCTTTTCATATTTAGTGCTTCCTTCAGAAGCTCTTGTAAGGTAGGTTTGGTGGTAATGAATTTGCTCAGCATTTGCCTGTCTGAAAAGGATCTTATTTCTCCTTCAATATGAGGCTTCATTTGGCCAATTATGAAACTCTGAGTTGGAATTTCTTTTCTTTATGAATATTGAATATTGGCCTCCAATCTCTTCTGCTTGTAGGGTTTTAGCTGAGAGGTCTGCTGTTAGTCTGATGGACTTCCCTTTGTAGGTGACCTGATCTTTCTCTCTAGTTGTTTTTATTTTTTATTTTTTAACATTTTTTCTTTCATTTTGACCTTGGGGAAGCTGATAATTGTGTGTCTTGGGGATAAAAGTCTTGTGAAGTATCTTATTGGGGTTCTCTACATTTCCTGAATTTGAATGTTGGCCTCTCTAGCTAGATTGGGGAAGTTCTCATGGATGATATCCTGAACTATGTTTTCCAAGTTGGTTCCATTCTCTCCATCTCTTTCAGGGACACCAATCAGTCATAGATTTGGTCTCTTTACATAACCCCATATTTCTCAGAGGTTTTGTTCATCATTGGGGAAGACAGTGTGGAGATTCTTCAAAGACCTAAAGACAGAAATACCATTCAGCCCAGCAATCTTATTACTGGGTATATACCCAAAGGAATATAAATCTTTCTGTTATAAAGGCACATGCATGTATATGTTCATTGCAGCATATTCACAATAGCAAAGACATGGAATCAACCTAAATGCCCATCAATGATAGACTAGATAAATAAAATGTGGTACATATACACCATGGAATACTATGCAGCCATAAAGAAACAAAATCATGTCCTTTGCAGAGACATGGATGAAGCTGAAAGTCATTATCCCTAGCAAACTAATGGGGGAACAGAAAACCGAATACTGTATGTCCTCACTTATAAATAGGAGCTAAATTATGAGAACACATGAATTCATAAAGGAAAACAACACACACTGGGGCCTATCAGAGGGTGGAGAGTGGGAAGAGGGAGAGGATCAGGAAAAATAACTAATAAGTACTAGGCTTAATAACTGTTTGACAAAATAATCTGTACAACAAACCTCCATGACACAGGTTACCTATGTAACAAAACTGCACATGTACCCCGAACTTAAAATAATAGTTAAGAAAAGAAAACAGGCCGGGCACGGTGGCTCACGCCTGTAATCCCAGCACTTTGGGAGGCCGAGACGGGCGGATCACGAGGTCAGGAGATCGAGACTATCCTGGCTGACACAGTGAAACCCCGTCTCTACTAAAAATACAAAAAATTAGCCGGGCATGGTGGTGCCCGCCTGTAGTCCCAGCTACTCGGGAGGCTGAGGCAGGAGAATGGCGTGAACCCGGGAGGCGGAGCTTGCAGTGAGCCGAGATCGCGCCACTGCGCTCCAGCCTGGGCGACAGAGCGAAACTCCGTCTCAAAAAAAAAAAAAAAAAAAAAAAGAAAACAAACAAACAAAAAGCAAATTAAAAATAAAAGCTATGGTTGAATCAATGATGACATTGAGGAATAAAACAAGCATTAGGATCATGACATTAGCACAAAGCCATTCATGAGGGATCTGCCCCCATGGTCTAAACATCTCCCATTAGGCCCTGCCTCCAACATTGGGGATCAAATTTCAACATGAGATTTGGAGTGGACAAATATCCAAACTGTGGATGGGAATGCATGTGGAAGAAATACTTAATACAATTGCATTTAAAAAGTAGAGAGGGTAAAATATGCTAATGGTACTAGAGATACGGACTGTATCCTTCACTCAAAGTGGTAAAACATCAATACCAGTAGACTGTGATAAGTTATATGTATATATTGTAATAAGTACAACCACCACCAAGAAAGCTATATGAAGCAATGTACTAAAAAGGATTAAAAAGTATGAGTGTAGATACAAAAGTTCTTCCTGAGAACTTCAAATAAGATAGATATGCATATGGTGAGTAGGGCTGAAGTCTTGACTTCTATGCCTGAAAGTAGGCATTATTGGCTGGGAATTTAATTCCTAAGTGGGAAAGAAACCAAAAGTGCTCTATGGAGGAAAGACAGCCAAATTTTGACTTTCTGCTTCTGGCTAGGAGCTGAGGTTGGGCTCCCCATGATTTTAAAGGAGGTTGAGGAGAATGTTTTCAAACACTTGTATGCTATAGATATAAGGAAGTGAGAAGACACAGAATAACTTTCTCAAAAGGAACTGAAGCAAATAAAAAACAACTGTCCTGAGAAGATTGTTATTGTTCCAGATATTACAACAGGACAATAAATCTGAATGATCACTGAAGAACTGGGATTTTGATTGGAAGCCTGATGGGCTGAGGTGGAGTGGCTAAATAAAACCTCTGGACAGGGACAGTGGAGTACAGAAAAGAAGAGGAGGGAGGAGAGTAAAAGAGATGGGCAATGCTATGGTTTGAATGTTTATTTTCTCTGAAACTCATATTGAAACTTAATCCCCATAGTAATAGTATTAAGAGGGCTGTAAATCCAACTATGGTATTTGAGAGGTGGCACCTTTGGGAAGTAATTAGGATTAGATGAGGTCTTGAGGGTGGGGCATTGAGAGGAGAAACAGAGACCTTGAGCCATACCCCTTTGCCCTCTTGTCACATGATGCTCTGCACCTCATCAGAACTCAGCAGAGGGCCCACCAATAAGAAGACTCTCACCAGATGCTGGCACCATGCTCTGGGACTTCTCATCCTCCAGAATCATAAGAGATACATTTTGTTTCTTCATAAATTACCCAATTTTTGGCATTCTGTTACAAGCAACAAGAAACAGACTAAGGCAGAAAATTGGTACTAAAAAGTTGGGCTGTTGCTAATAACAAATATCTGAAAATGTGGAAGCAGCTGTGGAACTGGGTAATGGGTAGAGGTTAAAAGAACTCAAAAAGGCAGGCGAGAAAAAGCCTGTATTGCCTTAAATGTCAATTCTGGTGATAAAGGGTGATTTTGGTGAGGGCTTAGAAGAAGTCAAGAAGACTAGGAAAAGTCTGGAACTCCTTTGTGATGATTTGAGTGGTCAGGACCAGAATGTCAATAGAAATATGGACAGTAAGGGCTGTTCTGCTGAGGTCTCAGGTCTGAGGAACAAGGAATTGGAAACTGGAGTAAAGGCCATCCTTGTAATAAATGGGTGAAAAACTTGGCTCTGAATTGTGTCTATATCTGATGGTTTTATTAGGCTATATGGCAGAAGAAATATCTAAGCAGCAAAGCAGTCAGGCAGCTGCATGGCTACTTTTAACTGCTTACATTAAAGCTGTGAGAGGTAAAAAATAACTTAAAGGTGGAATTTATAATTAAAAGGGAAGCTAAGTGGAAAGATTAGGAAATTTTGCAGCCTGGCCCTGAAAGAGCATTTTCAACAGAGGAAACCAAGGGTGTGTCTGAAGGAATGATTGTTAAGGAGGGACTGATTGATAAGGAGAATTGTATGAATAGAATAAAGCCAGAAGCTATTCATCAAGACAATGGGAGACAAACACTGAATGCACTTTAGAGATCTTCAAGTCTACCCCTGCCATCACAGGCCCAGAGCTCTAGGAGGAAAGAATGGTTTCAGGAGACAGGCCTGGGGTGTCCTCCATGGGCTTGCTGCCCAATGCCACCTCAGGGCAGTGCTTCCCTCATCCTGGTTGCTCCAGCCATAGCTCAAGTGGCCCCAGATGTGACTCATATTGTAGCTGCAGAAGGCACAAGCAGTAAGCCTTGGCAATGTCCACATGCATGTGGTGCTATTTCTGCAGGTCTTCAGAATGCAAGACTAGTGGGAAGGCATAGAAATCTCCACCTAGATTTCAAAGGATGTATCAGACTGCCTGGGAACCCAAGGAGAAAACTGCCACAGGGGCAGGGCCACCACTGTGGGGAAAAGCAAGAGGGATCAGATTGTTACTGTGTCTGTGTAGAAAGAAGTAGACATAGGAGACTCCATTTTGTTCTGCACTAAGAAAAATTCTTCTGCCTTGAGATGCTGTTAATCTATGACCTTACCCCCAACACCGTGCTCTCTGAAACATGTGCTGTGTCGAACTCAGGGTTAAATGGATTAAGGGTTGTGCAAGATGTGCTTTGTTAAACAGATGCTTGAAGGCAGCATGCTCCTTAAGAGTCATCACCACTCCCTAATCTCAAGTACCCAGGGACACAAACACTGCGGAAGGCTGCAGGGACCTCTGCCTAGGAAAGCCAGGTATTGTCCAAGGTTTCTCCCCATGGGATAGTCTGAAATATGGCCTCGTGGGAAGGGAAAGACCTGACTGTCCCCCAGCCCGACACCCGTAAAGGGTCTGTGCTGAGGAGGATTAGTATAAGAGGAAGACATGCCTCTTGCAGTTGAGACAAGAGGAAGGCATCTGTCTCCTGCCCATCCCTGGGCAATGGAATGTCTCGGTATAAAACCCGATTGTACGTTCCATCTACTGAGATAGGGAAAAACCGCCTTAAGACTGGAGGTGAGACATGCAGGCAGCAATACTGCTTTGTAAAGCATTGAGATGTTTATGTGTATGCATATCTAGAGCACAGCACTTGATTCTTTACCTTGTCTATGATGCAAAGACCTTTGTTCACGTGTTTGTCTGCTGACCCTCTCCCCACTATTGTCTTGTGACCCTGACACATCCCCCTCTCTGAGAAACACCCACGAATGATCAATAAATATGAAGGGAACTCAGAAGCCGGCGGGATCCTCCATATGCTGAACGCTGGTCCCCTGGGTCCCCTTATTTCTTTCTCTATACTTTGTCTCTGTGTCTTTTTCTTTTCCAAGTCTCTCGTTCCACCTAACGAGAAACACCCACAGGTGTGGAGGGGCGACCCACCCCTTCAACCACCAAGAGCCTCTGCTAGGGCAATGCTGAGAGGAACTGTGGGGTTGGAACTGCTACAGGGAGTCCTCCCCAGGGAAATATCTAGTGGTGCTGTGACAGTGGGACTGCCACCAAGACTCCAAAACTGTAGAGCTACCAGCATGCAGTCCCAGCTTCGAAAACCCAAGGCACCTGACTCCAACCCATGAGAACAGCCATATATGGGCTGCAACCAGCAAAGCCATGAGGGCAGGGTTGCCTGAGGTCTTGGGGGCCCAACTTCTGCCCCTGTGTGCTCAGGATGAGGAACATGGAGTCAAAAGACATTATTTCCAGCTTTAAAATTTAATGTCTTTCCCTGTTGAGTTTCAGACTTCCTTGAGGCCTGTTACTTCTTTCTTCTGGCCCATTTCTCCTGTCCCAGCATTGTATCTTGGAGGTAGATAATTGGCTTTAGTATCTCAGGCTCACAGATAAGGACTTTGGACTTTTGGACTTTTGAGTTGGTACTAGAGAAAGTTAAGACTTTGGGGCTCTGGAGATAAAATGAATGTATTTGAATGTGAGAAGAATATGAGTTTTGAGGCTGCAGGGGTGAAATGCTATGGTTTGAAAGTTTGCTCCTCTAAATCTTATGTAGAAACTTAATCCCTATTGTAACAGTATAAAAGGGTAAGAAAACAGACCATGATATTTTAGGGGTGGGAGATGTGAGAAGTAATTAGTATTAGATGAGGTCATGAGGATGGGGTGATGGGGCACTAAGGGTTTGATAAGAGGAGAAAGAGATACTTGAGGTAGCCCTCTCAGCCTGCTTGCTATGTGATGCCTTGCACCACAATGGGACTCTGCAGAGGGTCCCCACTAGCAAGGAGGCTCTCACCAGATGCTGGCACCATGCTCTTGGACTTCCCAGCCTCCAGAAATAAATTTTGATTCTTTATAAATTACCCAGTTTCAGGTATTCTATTGCAATCATCAGGAAATTAATTAACACAGCAAAATCGACATCTAGAATACAAAATAATCCCAGCACTTTGGGAGGCCGAGGCAGGCGGATTACCTGAGTTCAGGAGTTTGAGACCAGCCTGGCCAACATGGGGAAACCCTGTCTCTACTAAAAATACAAAAATTAGCCGGGTGTGGTGGTACATGCCTGTAATCCCAGCTACTCAGGAGGCTGAGGCAGGAGAATCGCTTCAACCCAGGAGATGGAAGTTGCAGAGTGAGCCAAGATTGTGCCACTGCACTCCAGCCTGGGCAATGGAGTAAGACTCTGTCTCAAAAAAAATAATAATAATATACAGTAATTGGAGATGAAATTAATTTAAGTGTTCTGGTATATACTATGTAAGTATATGAAGTATAAATAAGTAGAGTGCAGATGACACCAATAACAATGACTTCATTGCTATTCTGTCTCAGTGAAGAAGGGGTCCTGTAGGTATGATTAATTATTCTCTTAGGTGTGTCTTCTCAATGCCAGCAAAGCTAGGTGTGGGTGAAAAAAATACCACCTAGTCTTTTTTGTTAAGTGACTATAAATATCATCAGATCCCTGTGCTTCCCTGTCTCTATCCCCAGGGATTCAATGACATTTATACACTTGGTTCCCAGGTGAGATTTTAATTAATAAACTAATCTCATGACTGTTAGCAATTATAATTAGATATTCTGTCAAGTTCCTAATTCTCACATCTTCAAGTCCTGTAATTTGGTATGAAGGCACTGCGAATTTGGACTTTGAGCTAACAAGATTTAGACAGGATATTGGCCTTGATCTGAGGCTGTAATGGAATGAGACTTTGGGGGGCCCTTGAGAAGGGATTAATGTATTTTACATTTGAGAGGGACATGAATTACAGGTGGCCAGAGGGCTGAAGAGGTGAGAAGGAAAGCAGAATTCTAAGATGGCCCCCAGGAATATCTATCACCCCCTGTTGTACATACCTTATAAAATTATTTTCCTTTAAATGTGGGTGGAACCTACCGAGACCAGCTTCGTCAGGGAGACCCTAACCCAGCAGCACTAGAGGAATTAAAGACACACACACAGAAATGTAGAGGTGTGAAGTGGGAAATCAGGGATCTCACAGCCTTCAGAGCTGAGAGCCCTGAACAGAGATTTACTCACATATTTATTAATAGCAAACCAGTCATTAGCATTGTTTCTATAGATATTAAATTAACTAAAAGTATTCCTATGGGAAACGAAGGGATGGGCTGAATTAATTGCAGCAGGAACATGCTCTTAAGACATAGATTGCTCATGCTTTTGTTTGTGGCTTAAGAATGCCTTTAAGTGGTTTTCTGCCTTGGGCAGGCCAGGTGTTCCTTGCCCTCATTCCCGTAAACCCACAACCTTCCAGCTTGGGCGTTAAGGCCATTATGGACATGTTACAGTGCTGCAGAGATTTTATTTATGGCCAGTTTATGGCCATAAACTGGGCCATAAATTTGGGGCCAGTTTATGGCCAGATTTTGGGGGGCTTGCTCCCAATAGTAACCAGTAAATTTAATGGTATGATCACTACTGTGATTGGGTTATGTTTTGACTGCAATTAGCCTTATGAAAAGGAAATTATTGTAGGTGAGCATGAACTAATTAGGTGAGCCCTTGAAAGGGACTGAACTTTTCTTGAAGAGGGAGATTAAACATGAGAAAGACTCTGTATTACTGACTTTGAAGATGTAGAGGGCCATGTGGCAAGGAACTGAGAGTGGTCACTGGGAGCTGATACTGATCCCTGGCTGATAGCCAGCTTGAAAACATGGACCTCAGTCATACGTGGAAATAAATTCTGTCAACAGGCAGTGAGCTTGGAAGAGGACTCCATATTCAAATGAGAATTATAAGGTCAGCTTGTGACTTCAGTCTTGTGAGATCCTAAGCAGAGAGCCCAGTTGAGCTTTGCCTAGACTTCTGACCTAGAAAACTGAGATAATAAATGGGTGTTGTTTTAAGCTGCAAAGTTTCTACTAATTTGTTATGACAGTGGCTAGAAAATTAATACAATATGCTTTGTTTATTTAAATTTTACATACTGCACCATAAGCACCTTTGACATAAACAGAATGCTTAAAATTGATATACCTTTCACATATTAATTCTTTACTTTTTCTTAGTATAGTCTAAGAATACTTTCCTGTACGGTTTCTTTCTTTGTTTTGTTATTTAAACTCATCTCACCACTTTTTAATAAAATAAATATTTACTTTTTTTTTCTATATTTTTGTTGATGGCTTTCATGAAACTTCGGTTCTTGTCTTCTTAGTTTAAAAGAATTTAAACAACAGACACACAGCAAAGGAGATACAACATAGAGCAATTTCTTGCAAAGGAGAAAGGATACTCTGAAAGTTAGGTGCAGAATCAACAGTACACCCCAAGAGACAATTCAGGGCAGGTTGCTTGTGCGGGTGAGACAGTGTTGAATGTTACTGGGGAAACTCCCTTTATGGGAGTCTTACATGATTATTCATAAGGGGGTGGGAAGATGTGTTACTAGCAAGCATGTTCTGGGTGGTTCCTCCTCAGTTCTGAGTTCCTTCTCATTTAAACTTTTAATCTGCCTCAGTATAATCTCTGTATGTGTGTATGTATGGGCTCTTTTTACTATCCCACTAACTCACTAATTGACCCAACACTATTTTTAGTAATTTTTCCTATTCCACTGGATTAAAAGTTTGCTTTATTATGCACTACATTCTTAATTTATCCAACATAAATGCAGGATAACTTGTTCTATCCTTGAAAGCAGTCCCAGTATGATGTTCTTTAGAGAGGCCAGAGCAAATTTCCCCATACTCCATTTCAAATACTTCAAATTATATTGCAACCTCTTGAAAAATATCAAATTAGGATTGTATTTCTAACACCAAGAAAAATGATTTAAAATTCTTTTAAAATAGCTTCTTGTCCTAAAAATCTCACCATAATTTCCTCATCACTATGCTGCTTTCTCTTTCATTCCATATTGGTGTCATGACAATCAAGTATATTTCAAAAAACTTGTTTCCGGACCCCTTACATCCCACTGAGTTCCATTCCTCATTAGCTACAGCCCATTACCCTACAAATTTGGATAGACTCCAGAAGAGTAGAGTGGGCCCTTATGTACTTTGAAGAAGTGAAGAATATAACCTGTAACATTGAAGGCTTCTTAGAAATATGTTTGTCTCCCATCCCAAAATTTTCTCAAAGGGTTTGCGACTTCCTAGAAATGTAATACAGTGGTCCTCCCTTATCGATGGTTTCACTTTCCACAGTTTCAGTTACTGGTGGTCAATCAATCACAGTGTGAAAATATAGGTGTTTAGTACAATAAGATATTTTGAGAAGAGGGGAGAGAGAAAGAGACAGAGAAAGAGAGAGAGAGATCTCATTTACATAACTTTTATTACAGTATATTGTTATAATTGTTCTATTTTATTATTAGTTATTGTTGTTAACCTATGACTGCACAATTTGTAAATTAAACTATATCATATGTTTGTATGTGTAGAAAAACATAGCATATACAGAGTTTGGTACATGCCTTCAGGCATCCTTTGGGGTGCCTTGCAACATATCTCCCATGGATAAGAGGGGGCTATTGTAAACAAAATTTTCAATTTCATTAATTGTGGCATAAATTAGGTTCTGTTTATGTGCAGCCAATATCATTCCACAGTTGTCCTTTTTTTGGGGCACTATGAACATGTTTTAATTGTTTAGCTTTATAATCATTTGTAAACATCTATTAGAGTACCTCTCCTTATTTTTATCAATAGTTGTTTTTGTATACCGCTCTTGAAAGTTAGAAACATTTTGTTAATAAAACTGTCTTATTACTATTTAGATTAAAGCATCACCAAATCCATGTATTTTGTCTGGAAAAGTGACACAAATTGCCCTGTCCAAGAAAGTGGTATCATTGTTTACTAAACTTCTTTCTGTCCTTAAGTAAATTTCTATTCTTTTCTGTGGATTGCACACATGACTGCTTTGATATTTTGTATATTTATTGCTCTTTTCAATAATTTTTTTTCTGGAATGGATTCATTGACCTAATCTGCCAGAGAGAATTAATGAGGCCCCACATCTTCTCATTAGTTGGAGAAGAAAGTATTTAATGGTTTAACTTGAACGTGACTTTTGTGAATCTTTTTTTTTTTTTTTTTTAAAGCAGAATCCTGTATTTGGTTACATTCTGGTCTAGTGACCACTTCCTTCAGGTAAAGCAAGCTTCCCTGTCTGGAACAGCCAGGCATGTGATAAAAAATTTCCTTTGTGGTCACTTAGTTATTATTCCTCTTGTCTTGAGTGTCTGGGCTGCTATTTTCATGTATTTACATCCAAATGAAGTCTTTCTTTCCAACTTTTTATAGTATGTTTTGATTCACAAAATATTTTAGCCTTATCTACAATATAATAATTTCTCACAAATGCAAAGAATATAGGTTTGTACAGTTTTGAAGTAATATTGGCAAAAGAGTATGAAGCAGAGTGCCCATATTTAAATATAACTTTCAACATGTTAGTCTTTCTATAGGTGTTTTCAGGATAATAAAAATTAATTTGATTGATATAGACTTGGGGGCAATATATGAGAAACAGGCTCTGCTCTAAAGGATAGGATGAGAGGTGGGCAGGGAGGATTTGTATGGTTTGAATTCCAGGCACACACGCTAACTGCTAATTTGGCATCATCCACCAGGTTGAATATTTTCATGAAATTCTGTCTTACATCTCTGCTAATCCTAAAACAAAGAATGAGGATCATTTCAGGTGAGTCTAAGTCAGGAGAAACTATTAAAATTGTTATATTCTTCATTTAATTTTTTTCTATGATTATTTTTTCTTCTTTTTATACTAATTAGAATAGGCCAAACTGCTGCAACAAATAGACTAAAATGTGTATTGTGGCTGAAATATAGTAGAAGTTTATAACTCACTAATGTAGCAGAAGGAGGATATTGAAGATTTGTGAGTCACTTTTCTCCAGGTGGTGATTCAGAATTCCAAGCTCCCATAGTCCAATATGGTGCCTTTCATTTTTTTTCCTGAGAAAATTAACACATTTTAATTTTTCCTCAAGAAGGGAGGTACAAGAGTGATCAATTGTGATCTAGAAGATTAAGGCAAGAAAGTTAGTGAAATTTGCTACAGTGTCTACTATTATAGTTGTCATTATGACTGTAACTAATATTTGTTTCCCTCCTTCACAAGCCATTCTTGATTCCCCTCATCCTCTGAATTTAGTCTAGTTTGTTTTTCTGTTTTGGTGACAGAGACAACTATTCCAGAAGGGTCTATGTTACTATTTACTCTGTTCTTGAATTATGATTGTTTTAGTGTCTACTGACAGACATGACCATGCATAGAAGCACTAAAAGACTATTGTATTTTCATCTGGGATAGTAGTCTCTGTCACTAAACCAGAAGAACAACCTAGTTTTTAGACCTGTTCAAGCTTGGTTCCAAAGGAACCACTTCTGCTGCAGATGGATTGTGGTTGGTATCCCCAAACTTACGACTCCATGGATTTATAGCTCTTCGCATCATATGGACAATTTAAGGCACATGGTCAGTGTGCTAAGTGCCTATCAGGAAGAAATGAACACTTGGTCATAGTTTTAGAACTATGAAAGGAAATTAAATCTTGGGACTCCAACTCATTAAGCCTAAGGGAAAAGTTAATCTGGGAACGGGGTTGCGAAAACCCGCCTCCCCCTTTTTGGTTCCTAAATAAGATGGCTACAAAATGAAAAGCTACATGCCTCCCTCATATTTTGTCCACAAGGAAAGTCCTTGTGAGCTGCAAGATCTTTACTCTAAGGTGTTTCTGTTAAAATTTTACCATGGCAATGTAAATTGGTAGCTTATCTTTACAGGTGTAGTCACGCCCCTGCCCAGAAGACACAAATGCATATCTTTTTTTTTTTTCTTTTTTTTTTTTTGAGACGGAGTCTCGCTTTGTCATGCTGGCTGGAGTGCAGTGGCGCGATCTTGGCTCACTGCAACCTCCACCTCCCGGGTTCAAGTGATTCTCCTGCCTCAGCCTCCCAAGTAGCTGAGATTACAGGCATCTGCCACCATGCCTGGCTAATTTTTTTTTTTTGTACTTTTAGTAGAGACAGGGTTTCACCATGTTGGCCAGGCCTGTTTCAAACTCCTGACCCCAAGTGATCTGCCTGCCTCAGCATCCCCAAATGCTAGGATTACAGGCATGAGCCACCGCGCCCGGCCACAAACGCATATCTAATTGTTCCCCTTCCCCCGTTTTGTCTATGTCATCTTATGTAAAAAAAATGCAGATTAACTGAGCCAGACAAAGGCATGAATGACTATTTTTCCTTACCCTCCTCTTACATGAAAATTGTGTACTTCTCAATATCCCTACCCTTTCCCCTTAAATTTAGAGCCCTCAAAATTATCTTCGGAGAAAGGTATAGACCTGTCTCCTGGGTGCTTATTCTTAACTTTGGCAAATAAACCTCCTAAAATGATTGAGACTTGCCATTTTTCTCGATTGACAGAACACATGAGTTCATGCAAAGTTACTGTTGGAGAAGTTTTCCTGTGGTTGTTTTTTGGAACATGTAATATGAATGAAGTGATCAAGAGTTTGAGCTGTGACTTACACTTTAGGCTATAATAGAGTAATTGGTGCGGTTAAGACTTCATCTCTCCTGGGCAGCTTTCTTGAGCTTTAGGAGACTGACTCACAATGGAGCTGAGGCTTCTTCTGTCCCTTGCTACTGATCTGTAAGTAATAAAACTGCTTCACATAATTTGTGTGTGAGTGTGTTCTGTTTCACCAGACTCAGATAAACAGGTAGCCAGTGCATGGTGGACATAAACAGTAGCTCAGAATGCAGTGGGAAGAAGTATCTGGACCTCTTTTCCTGGTGGTTGGCATAGTGATGATCTTTTCTATTCTCCATGCAGTGGAAGTCCTCCCTTTCCTCCCTTGGTATTGGTAATTAGTAAACCTGCTTCATAAACTGTGATTAATATACTAAAATCTCTAATGGAAAAGGTAGACAACATGCAAGATTAGACAGTTTCAGCAGAGATATGAAAGCTTTAAGGATGAATGAAATGGAAATAAAATAAAAATAAATTAACAAAAATAAAGAATGCATTTGACAAGCTCATCAGCAAATGTGGTACAGCCCTGGGAAGAATCAGTGAGTTTGAAATAGATCAATAAAAATTACCCAGAGTGAAACACAAAGAGAGAAAGAGAGTAAAAGTACATTAAAAAAATAAGCCTGGCACAATGTTTCACATCTGTAATCTCAGCACTTTGGGAGGCTGAGGTGGGAGGAATGCTTGAACCTAAAGAGCAGCCTGGGCAACATAAGGAGACCTTGTCTACAAAGAGAGAAAAATTAAGTGGGCAAGCATGGTGCTGGTATTCCCAGCTACTCAAGAGGCTAAGACGGGAGGACTGCCTGAGTTGGGGGCGAGGGTGGGGGATGAAGTGAGCTGTGATCGCACCACTGCATTCCAGCCTGGGCAACAGAGTGACACCCTGTCTCAAAACAAACAAACAAACAAACAAACAAACAAACAAACAAAGGTGATGTAACCATTCAATACAGCACTGCAGCTCTTGGATGCTCTGTTTTGTTTTTCCCCTGCTCTTCTTTTCTCTTTGTATTTCACATTGGGTAATTTTTATTAGGTATCTTATTGAATTAGTTTGTTAAAAGATAAACACATTATTTCGGTTGGCTTTGCTTTTTTAACATTATATTTTGAAATAATTGTAGATTCAAAGGGAGTTACCAAGATAGAACAAAAAGATTCTGTATAGCCTTCATCCAGTTTTCCCCAATTGTAACATCTTACATAACTAAAGTGCAATATCAAAACCAGGAAATTATCCTGACATATATAGTCAAACGATTTTCAACAGGAGTGCCAGGGCCATTAAATGCGGAAAGGACAGCCTTTTCAACAATGGTGCTGGGAAAACTGGAAGTCCACATACAAAAGAATGAAACTGGACTCTTACCCTACATTATAGACAAAATGAACTCAAAATGAATCAAAGACCTAAATGTGAAAACTAAAACCATAAAACTCTTAGAAAAAAAATAGGGAAAATCTTCATGATATTTGATTAGGCAATGATTTCTTGGATATAACACCGAGGGCATAGGCAAGAAATGAAAAAAATATATATAAATTGGACTCCATCAAAATTTACAACTTCTAATTGAGGCATGGAAAACTAAATACCATATGTTTTGATTTGTAAGTAGGAGCTAAGTGGGTACTAAGCTATGGGTACTCAAAGGCATACAGAATGGTATAAAGGACAATGGAGAGTAAGAAATTGGGGAGGATGGGAAGGAGGGTGAAGGATAAAAAACTACATATTGAGTACAATGCACACTACTCAGGTAACAGGTTCACTAAAATTCCAGGCTTCACCACTATACAATTCATCCATATAACAAAAAACCACTTGTAACCTAAAAGCTATTGAATTAAAATTATATTAAAAATTAAAAAAAATTATTATTGAGCATCTACTATGTGTTCAAAACTATTTTAGATGCTATATATTTGCCACTTCATTTAATCCTTGGCATTACTCTATGGAATAGATAATATTCTCATTTTGCAGTTAAAGAAACTCATACTCAGAGAGATTAACTTGGATTTATGAGCAATGTTGACATTATAAAGTAGAGGCAGGAAGACCAGTTAGGATGCTTTTGCAGAAATTAACTTGAGTGGAATTGTCGGTCTGTGAGAATAGAAAATGAATCTTTTGGGAAGATTCTACAATGTTATTGTTTTTGCATAAGTGACTTTTTCCTCTACTCCCTCTTTTCACATGTAAAATGTAGATTTACTGAGGCTAATCAGACTCACAAGAATGTAACCACTTGTGTCATTGCCTACCTTCCCTCCTTTTTTTTTTTTTTTCCTCTCTCTTTCCCTTCCTGCTTACTCTTTCTTTTTAAACATTGAAGTTCTCAAAACCCTCTTTGGAATAAGCATTGATCACAGATGCTCCTGTGATTCGTGTTTTTCCCAGGTGCATCCTGAACCTTGGCAAAATAAACCTCTAATTGATTGAGACCTGCCTCAGTCACTTTTCGGCTTACACCAGGATTTCTTTCTTTTTAAAGCCTGAATAGAATTCCATTGTGTATACATACATTATCTTTACCCATTCATCTGCTGAATGACACAGGTTGATTTCATACCTTGACTATTGTGCATAATGCTGCAATGAACATGGGAGTGTGGATATATTTTCAACCTACTGATTTAAAATCCTTTGTCTGTATCCTGGAAGTGGGATTGCTACATCATATGGCAGTTCTATTTTAACTTTTTGAAGAACCTTCATAATGTTTTCCCTAGTGGCCATACTAATTTACATTCCCACCAACAGTGTGCAAATGTTCCCTTATCTCCACGTCCTTGTTAACACTTGTTATTTTTTGTCTTTTTGATAATAGTCATCCTGAAAAGCATGGATTGATATGTCATTGAGGTTTAAATTGAATATCTTAAGTTTTCCTATTTGAGGATATGAGTAGTCTCCCCAAAATATTACTGCTAATGTTGCTTTTTTGCATGAACCATGACCTTGAGCTGAGCTGGACACTTGAATTCTTGAGTACTTGGACATGAGCTTAAATAGGACTGAAATATTTTTTACATACCTGAATATTAGTTCTTCTCTCTACTGGTAAGAACTTGTAGAAGAAGACATTATAAAGATCTCATAGAGAGATATTTAAGGTTTGTCTGGGAATGAAGGCACATGATGACTACAAATCTAGAAGCTGGGGAAGAGTTGTCTCTGGAAATATCCCAGGCATTACTAGGGAACCAGAAGTAGAGACGAACAGATATGTTGCAAAGAGTGACATGTGTAGGTTAGCTCTGGGTGATGAAATCGTCAGTGGTCCAGCTGAGGTGATGCATGGATGAGATTGACTGGAAGAAGAAACCTGTAGAAACAGATCAGGAAACAAAGCTCCGTTGTACACACGTCCATAGCAGGCAGCCTGGGTTTTCGTCCCAGTCTTCTTCTGTTTTCAAGGGCCATTTCCATACTGCATGAGAAGCCATGAGACTGGTGGGCTCTGGACTCCTGTGCCAGAGATCACTCACCTTCCCCATTTCCCCCAAGTGTCCCAAATGCCTTGTATCATCTGATTTTCTATCTTCCTGCTAAAGCTTTTCCCATACTCCTAGTCCTTCACCCTGCGGTATCCTCCAAGTCCTTACCTGACTTCCACTATGGAGTCTCCCCATGGTTACTTGCTTGAAGGAGGCACTGTTTGAGCACAGCCTCTGAATGCTACAGACTCTCTCTTCAGACTTTCTAAATTGTCATTTTAAAGAGATAACTGTTTAAAGAGAAAAGGCCTACCTTATATGTGTCATGAAAAATTCATGTAACCGGTTACCTAAAAGTTGATATAAGAGAAATATGTAAGTAGCTTCACAAGGTTTTGAAAAATTTGGAGATAATTACTTGATAAATTTTTATTAAAGGAAAATGATATTCTGGGGCCGTATTTCTAATTATGTTACCACTGGCATTAAGGAGGCCACAGAACCTTTCTGACTCTACAGTGTTTCTTGATTCTGGAAGTAATTGCAGGACAGAGTCCTGGATAACCCTTCTGGTGACAGGATGACTCCTGTGTTTACATTCAACTGCACTGACCAGGCACAGATTCTAAGAGATGCTGACCAGGGAAGATGATTTCTCCCTTGATTCCACAAAGAAGGAGTCCACAACCTTTTTCTGCCCTGAAAGAAGAGACAATGTGCCCTGGGGAGAGTCTCCCTAGTGTAACCTTGACCCATAATAACAGCAGTGTCTTTATCCCATCTTCCCACATGGGGTGCGTGTGGTCTCATCCTAAGCGCTCTGTCCCCACAGAGGCCGGGTGGGTGATTTGGGCGAGGCATTCAGAATCAGGATGCTTGTCTGAGTTGCCTTCCTCTGGCCAGGCCAATAGTGGCTGCCCTGAGTAATGGAGCAGGGATAGGAACATTGCAAAGAACTGTAGAGAAGGCTGGATCAGGGGGACACAACTGGCAGAAGCCCCAAACCAAAGCCTTTTAGATTAGGTGTTTTTTTTTTGTTTTGTTTTGTTTTGAGACAGAGTTTTGCTCTTGTCCCCCAGGCTGGAGTGCAATGGAGTGCAGTGGTGCGAACTCAGCTCACTGCAACCTCTGCCTCCTGGGTTCAAGCGATTCGCCTGCCTCAGCCTACTGAGTAATTGAGATTACAGGCATGCACCACCACACTTGGCTAATTTTTTTTATTTTTGGTAGAGACGGGTTTCACCATGTTGGCCAGGCTGGTCTCAAATTCCTGACCTCAAGTGATCTGCCTGCCTTGGCCTCCCGAAGCGCTAGAAAATTACAGGGGTGAGCCACTGCACCTGGCCTCAGATGAGGTTTTAGCCAGTCAGAAAATGGCTCTAAGCTGACACTTTCGTTGCTAGTTGAAAAGTCTGTGTGGCCAGGTGTGGTGGCTCACACCTATAATCCCAGTGCTTTGGGAGGCCGAGGTGGGAGGATTGCTTGAGGCCAGGACATTGAAACCAACCTGGGCAACATAGCAAAATCCTATTTCTATAAAAAATTTTTAAAAAATTAGACAGAATGGCGGTGTGTGCCTGTACTCCCAGCTACTTGGGAGGCTCAGACAGGAGGATCACTTGAGCCTAAGAGGTTGAGGCTGCAGTGTGCCATGATCATGCCAGTGTACTCCAGCCTAGGTGATAGAGCCAGACCCTGTCCCTAAAAAAGAAAAGAAAAGAAAAAAGGAAAATAAAAAAAAAGGAAAAGAAAAGAAAAAAGTCTGTTTGAAGAGGCCCATGAGACTGGGGAGTCCCTAGGTTTGACGTAGACTTTGCCTCACAGCCCCAGAATAAACCTGAGGGAAGCTTCTCCCTTTGAACAGGAAGAAGGGGTGGGCCAGAGGCCTCTATTCTGAGGGACGCTGAGGTGGGGACTGAGAGGACATTGAGGGCATCTTCAGGTCCCTCTCTGCCTATTCTTTCTTGCCCCCAGTTCCGTTCTAGGTCTGAGTTTGATGTTCCTCCTTTATGCTTCCATCGCACCAGTGGAGACCCTCCTTAGACTGGGGGTTACCCTGATCCTGAGTACACCACTGCTGCTAGAAGCCCAGTAACAACGTTCCCAGTCTCAGGTGATCTAAATCTATGCACAGAATAATACAGAATATTAGAGTGGCTCAATGCTTTCATGTGCCACTATTGCAAACCTCTTGCTACCGTCTCTTCCCTGTTTCTTTTTACCTGGTAAACATATTCTGCTTTTAGATGCTCTCTATCTTCTACTTTACTAATATACAGGGAAGAGTGGGAGGAAGGGAGACAAGAAGAGAGGTGGAGATATTTATTGTCTTGGTTAGGATTACCAGTAATGTTTGTCAGGCATTGTTTTAATTGCTTTATAACCATTAGTACTATCCCTAGCCATGGGCAACGTAAGCCTGATAAGTAAGAAATTTATTTATAAAAACACATTGGTACCTCTGCCATTTTGGATTTGATGTTTAGGGCTGGCCCAATATGACCTGTAACTCTAAACATTTGCTCCATCATTAATACGATTCAGCCCCCAGGAAATTCTTCTTCACAGCTTTTGCTCTCTATCTTCAAAACTAAATGTGACTGTGTCTGAATACTGTAAAATTTGTGTATTGTGCCTTTGCTCATATCAGATGCACCTGTTTCATGGTTCAGGGAGGATTTAAGCAGCTGAAGAACTTACAAGAGAAAAGTCAACAAATACTTTCACTCGAAGAGCATGAATGCAATACCTTCTTGCATAATAAAGAATCACTTGCCAGTAGGGCTGGGTGTCAACTTTTTTTTTTCTTGTTCCTCCTATTAGCCTGATAGTTACACATAACAGTGGAGGAGGCTTTTGTAATATTAAACTAGTCATATTAATGTTAAATTTTTATATGTGAAGATCTAGATGTAAAATGCATAAAACATGATCCACATTTTGCAAAGAGAAGCCTGGGGGTGAAAAGGAGTTCAGTAATTTGTTGACTCTCATAAAGCACATTAGTGGTAGAACTGCAACTCACCATCATTTCCTTCTAAGAACTTTGCTCTTCTCACCAAAACTTAAGGCTCTTCAGAGTGTCTAATAGAAGTGAACATTTCTGTGACAATTTTCTGTTCCCTGAAATATGATCCTCACTTAATTTGCCCTACTAAAAATCCCAAGTGTAAGAACAATAGGTTGTAAGATGTCTACTCTTGAATCACATTTGTCTTTTGCTTCTTAAAACCCCTAAGCCATTCAATCTTCAGCTATTCAGAAATCTTCACCTCAAATGTTCATCTAGTGCAATTTGAAGAAGAAACAGTGCCAGGCATTGGAGTGAGAATCTTCACAGAAAAACGTCTGCCCAGAGGCAGATGAGGTCCTTCAGCTCCAGTGCTGATTGGTTCCTTTCCTAGGGACTCCCCAATCCTACCACACATGGAAACATCCAGAGGTTTTTATTCTTTCCGGCAGGTACATAAGATCCATTAGGTTTGAGCTGTGTTGACTACCACTGCTTTTTCCTTGGTCTCACTTACGTCTTGGAAGATGGCTCTGCAGATCCCTGGAGGCTTTTGGGCAGCAGCTGTGACCGTGATGCTGGTGATGCTGAGCACCCCAGTGGCTGAGGCCAGAGACTTTCCCAGTAAGTGCAGGGCAGCTGCTCTCGAGAGCCACCACTGTGGGAACAGGCTCTCCTTGGGTTGGAGTATGGGGGATGGTGATCTCCATGATCTCAGAACACAGTCTTTTATCACCATTTATTCTTTTTGGGAAATAGAGCTATGTTGCATTTTTATTTCCACCTTATAATGGGTGAGGTGAGGATAATCCAACCCCAATCCCACAGGTTTAAGCCTGAAGGAGGAGAGAGGAAAGAGGAGACAAAGTGTGCATTCACTACCTGTGACAGGACAAAATGACCATGGCACTCCACGGTTATGCATTTCCCCAAAGATATGCATTTCCCCAAAGACACAGTAGGATTTTTCTGCACTGGGAAAATGTAAGGCAGCAATGGTGTCTGTAGTCTCTGTATTGGAGGTAAAGGAGTCTATACTACTGACTCGAGTGGAGAGTTTGTGGAGGCAAACTCTTAGTACTGAGGGAAGGTGACTGGATGACCACAGACAGGGAGTCTTACTTTGGGTTTCACTGATTTATGGGCAAAAGGTGACTTGAGTGGGATTCAGGGACCTGAGTTGATGGTGGACTGAATTTAGTATGATAGGAAGGAGGAAGTAAAGAAGGGAAATAATACATATTGAGAAACCACTCCATTCAGACACAGGACAGTACTTTCTATAAATCCTCTCTCACTCCTCCTAACATCCTATGTGTAGGTATCATGATTTTCCTTTTATGTAATTATACTTGTGATATGGATATTCTGTTAAGTAACCTGCCCAAGCTGGTGATTGACTCAGTTTAATTGGACCCTATAGAATTCAAAAGCTTGGGCTCTTTCCATGAATAAATGTTTCCTTCTAGGACTCCGGAGGTGTAGGTCCTTTCTAACACAGAAGTGAGTGAACCTCACAGGGCACTTGGGCGGGTATAGCAGAAAGAGAGTAAATCCAGGCATGGGTTTACTTGGTCTCTTGCCCAGGGACCAAGAGAATACTTACATCAGGATGAGAACAAGCTTAATTCCTGAACCTTTCTCGTTATTCCCTTGAACTCTCAAATTTATGTGGATAACTCTGTCTCCGAGATTCCCAAGAGCTCCATGGAAAATGGGATTTCATACGAGAACGCCCTGATCTAAGAGCAGAGGTCAATGTTGAATCGGTCCGACTGCCCTCTTCACTTGGTTCACAGGCTCAGGCAGGGACTGGGCTTTCCCTCTTACCTCCCTAAAGGAAGGCAGATTCCCGAGGCCCTCAGAGAGGGCGGGCAGGGCTGGGGCAGAGATGCCTCGAGGATCCCAGGTCCGGAGCACGAGGCACGGGCCCAGCCAAGAACTCAATTTCGCGTGGACGGGTTTCGCAGCTGCTGGCCGGGTCAGGGCAGCGGCTGAAGGGTGCGGTCCGGCTGGGGGCTGGGGCTAGGGCCGTGCTGGGGCCTGACTGACCCGCCGTGATTCTCCGCAGAGGATTTCTTGGTCCAGTTTAAGGGCATGTGCTACTTCACCAACGGGACAGAGCGCGTGCGCGGTGTGGCCAGATACATCTATAACCGCGAGGAGTACGGGCGCTTCGACAGCGACGTTGGGGAGTTCCAGGCGGTGACCGAGCTGGGGCGGAGCATCGAGGACTGGAACAACTATAAGGACTTCTTGGAGCAGGAGCGGGCCGCGGTGGACAAGGTGTGCAGACACAACTACGAGGCGGAGCTGCGCACGACCTTGCAGCGGCAAGGTGAGCGTCGTCGTCCTTCCGCGGGGCTCACCCTTGGCCGGGGCCCGAGTCTCTTGCGCACAGAGGGGCGAGGACGGCGCGGCCTCAAGGACCGAGCCCTGATCCATCCCAGGGTACAGGAAGGTGGCGGGGATTTGGAGGCTGGGGTAGTATCGGAGGGGCGGGGATCTAGGGCAGAGCAGGGGGATGCACAAAAGCATCCCTTAGTTCCCTGCAGGGTTGGGTTAGGCTGCCCAGTGTGTCCCCAGCCTCCCCGTCCATCGGCCTTGTCCTCTGCTCTGCATGTTCTTGCCTTGTGCCTTATGCGTTTGCCTCCTCGTGCCTTACCTTCGCTAAGCAGTTCTTTCTGCCCGAATGCCCGCCCTCTTCCCCTGCCCGTCCGCCCCACTAGCACTGCCCCACCCAGCAAGGCCCACTTGCACAGCTCGCGCCGCAGGAAGCTTCAGGCTTGGCCTGGTGGAGTTAGGGCTGCTCCACAACTGCGCGCAGGGCATCCAGCAATTACAGTTGTGAAATAAGATATTTTAACTTTTGGCTTCAAATTATTATTCATCGTAATTCTGTTTTCTTAAACGGCTCTCATTCATGGCGGAGCTCTTTGAGGTGAGAGTGTTTTAATCATTGCATGCCTAGTACCTGACTCGTGGACCGGCATGTGGTATGAGCTCAATGATCTTCTGTTAAATTAATGAATAAATGTACTCAGCTGCCCATCCACTTAGGCTCAAGGGAAAGCAGAGGATAAATAGAGCCTTAAAGATGGACTTTATCAATTATTTTCTATTATTTTGCTTAATGCTGTAAACTCTTATTGACTTGGATCTTAGTAAGGTTTGTGAATGCAGTCTGGGGAAAAAGGTGTTTGCTGAAAATAAAAACAACGCTTGAATGGTGTTATAAGGCAGTTTTAATTTCTTAGAAAAGCTGAACAAATGGCACAATGAAAAGAGCAGAAGCTTTGGAATACATAGATTGAAGCCACTAAATTATTGAATAAAAATAGTTTCAGGTTGCTTTTGGAGTAGATTTTCTCCCTCCCCCCATCACTATCCACTTCAGGCATAAACATTCTGAACGTCAATTTTACCCACTTAGTGAGCACTTATTTCTAGACAATTGCCTTAGCAAACACCATCTAAGTTATGTCATTTAATAGCACAGTTACCTGTGCATTAGAGATTAGCATTGCCACTTTATATATCGTAATATTGGTACATGATAAACACTTTAAGTAATCAACCCACAGTTATGCACCAGGACCTGAAGCCTCCCCCAAATACACAGCATTCTTTTATGTTCTTCAATACTCGTCTACACAGCCTAAGGGAAGTAAAGCCTTGTTAAAGCCAATTTTGACAAGAAGCAGCAATGGGTCTATTCCTGCCTGTTTTCACTGTTAATGGGACAAAATGATACTTTCAAGGCATTGAAAATTCACTGATTAATCAATCCCTAGTCTGACCCCAGTGTTATCTATGCAGGTTCACAAAACTTCCTTGCCTTCTTCTGACCCACATCCTAATGCTGTCAATTATTTATATTTTTGCCATTTCAAGTCTATTTCTATAAAAGTTATTCTATCATTTTTTTCTCATGAATTTGTGCCCTCTATTTTTACTTTCAGTCTTTTTAAGATGAACAAATCTTGTAAGTCCCCACATAGCTGACTGTTATTTCAGTCAGACTCCAGGAAGGAGGGCCTAAAGAAAAGTTCAAGTCCAAGCAGAAACCAAGATTCCTTCCAGACAATGGCTCATGAGTGCCATTTAATTGGGGTGCTACCTGCTGACCTCAGCAAATCCCAGCTATATGTATATGTTTGCATTACAGGCACATTCACCCAGGCCAACCTCTGCATGGATCTCAGAATATTTCCTATGGAGAACGTACATGATAATGTCTGATTTCAGAACAAGAAAGTAATTCTCAATAGCAAGGGGATGGAGTAGGGTAGGCAGCTAGTAATTACACTATCTTGAGGGTTAAAAGGAAATTAAGAAAAAGCAGGAAAATGAGAGAACATATTACCAAGTAAATAAAGCATACATTAAATATTTACTATAATTTTACACTAAAGAAATAAAGGAAATGCAGTAAAATGGCCAGAGAGGTAAAGGTTAAGATGTATAAAATATGCAGGGAAAGGTGTGTCATTTTTGACCATGAGCAGCGCTCTGAGAAGATAAAGGAATTGAGTTATGGGCAAACATGATGTTTGATCAGTGTTAGTTTTTTTCAAGGCCTGCCTACTTTTCCTTCAAATATTACAAACTTTTGAAATAACATTCAATTTTTTGGTCTCTGTTACTAGATTGCAAGTTCTATAAAGGCAGGAACCAGGGTTTGTTGTTTATTTTTGGATTCTCAGTGATTGTCAAATTTATATTTGTTGAAGGAACCTTAATCCAAGACTTGGACTCCAGGTATCTTTCTATTCTGGTTCCAAGGAGGGACCTTCCTCACAGCAGGCGTGCTGTGTGGTCTCACATCTCACTCCTATATCTTTCCCTGTCTGTTACTGCCCTCAGTGGAGCCCACAGTGACCATCTCCCCATCCAGGACAGAGGCCCTCAACCACCACAACCTGCTGGTCTGCTCGGTGACAGATTTCTATCCAGCCCAGATCAAAGTCCGGTGGTTTCGGAATGACCAGGAGGAGACAGCCGGTGTTGTGTCCACCTCCCTCATTAGGAATGGTGACTGGACCTTCCAGATTCTGGTGATGCTGGAAATAACTCCCCAGCGTGGAGACATCTACACCTGCCAAGTGGAGCACCCCAGCCTCCAGAGCCCCATCACCGTGGAGTGGCGTAAGGGGAAACTGGTTTCCTTTTACTGTGGGCCCCACAAGACAAAGGGCAGAGCTCCCGCTGATCCTTCCCATCCCATCTCTTGTCCCTGACATCACTACTGAGCTGGGAATCACAGGAGACTAGAGCACCTGTTGCCCCATGGCAAGCACATCAGATGAATCCTGATCTCTTTGTCTTTCCAGATACCAGGGAGATCACTTTCCACATTTGTGTTAGTCCATTCTTGTACTGCTACAAAGAAATCTCTGAGACTGAGTAATTTATAAAGAAAAGAGGTTTAATTGGCTCTTCTCACTCCACTATAAAGAAATACCTGAGAATGGGTAATTTATAAAGAGAAGAGGTTTAATTGGCTTATGATTCTGAGGCTGTAGGGGAAGCATAGTGGCTTCTGCTTATGGGGAGACATATGGAAGCTCCTAATCATGGCAGAAGGAAAAGAGGGAGTGAGGTGTCTCACAGGGCAGGGGCAGGAGCATGAGAGAGAGGGGGTTGGTGCTACGCAGTTTTACATAACCAGATCTCATGAGAACTCACTATTGTAATGACAGTACTAAGGGAGATGGTGACAAGAATCTGGTCTAATGATCCAGTCACCTCCCACCAGGCTCTACCTCCAACATTGTTAATTACAATTGAACATGAAATTTGGGTGGGGCCACAGAATCAAACCATATCAACACTACTAAAGCCCCAGAACCAGCTCTGACAGCTATGAGAGACTGACTTAGGGCTGGTGACTGGGGCCTTAGGGTTTAAGGTTATGGATGAAGTCCTGAGGGGCAGGGGTGTGCTTCTTCCTCTCCCTCACCCACCTATTGTGTCCAAAGACCTACTGGCTGGTCTTTCTCTTCCCTAGGGTGGTCAGACTGGAGAACTAGTGTCCCCTGACATCTCCACCTCCTGTACCAAGGACATTATGGGGTGTGGGGACAAACACTCACACTCAGTTCTGCTCCTTAGGGGCTCAGTCTGAATCTGCCCAGAGCAAGATGCTGAGTGGCATTGGAGGCTTCGTGCTGGGGCTGATCTTCCTCGGGCTGGGCCTTATCATCCGTCACAGGGGTCAGAAAGGTGAGGAACCCAAGGGGGAAATGGGGAAGATGAGCTGTGACCCAGACCCTCTATTCAGAGAGGTTCTGTCTCTAGATGTAGCTCTTTCCTCCTTACCCTGAGAGGAAGTGCGAGGAGACAGGACAAGATTGGAGGAGGCATTGGAATCTGATTTTACTGGGTGAATGGTAGCGCTGCCAGAGCTGACTGATAGAGCTTATTCCAGGGCGTCCTTACCGTTCATCATCGTCTCACTGGCTCCTTTCTAAAAGCTTCCTCCATTATGAGGGTCAGAGCCTCGGCCTCCTTGTCTTCTAGTGACAATTTCCTTTGTTTTGGGGGATTTTAACTTAGGGTGCTTAAGGACTTAAAGAACATGGGAGGGAAGAGGATATAACCCCAATTAAACTACATGTGTCATTTTCCTTTGGGGTAAGATAGTGGTTGTTTGTTTAACAAGACCTTTCTCTGTATAACTTCCTTTTGTAGGACCTCGAGGGCCTCCACCAGCAGGTAATATTTCAGCCATGATCCAGTCAGGGGAGAGGGCACAGGCATAAGAGGGAAGAGCCATGGTGAAACCGCATCTCTACTAAAAATACAAAAATTAGCTGGACGTGGTGGTGTGCATCTGTAATCCCGGCTACTTGGGAGGTTGAGGCAAGAGAATCACTTGAACCCAGGAGGCAGAGGTTGCAGTGAGCCAAGATGGCGCCACTGCACTCCAGTCTGGGCGATAGAGCTAGAGTCTGTCTCAAAAAAAAAAAAGAAGAGCATGAGCGGAGTGTTCCAGGGCACAGTGGTCTCTGTTCATGGCCTGTTTGCTGCTATGAGGGTTAAGACTTAGGGGAAAAGTTTGCCAGTTTCTACGAATCTCCAGAGATTGTTTCCTAGAACCAGGCCTTAACTTTGGTGGCATCTTTTTGTGAAATGTGGGGACAGAGCCACATCTTGAATGTGAGATAGTAGGGTGATGCCCACTTTGTGCCACATTTTGTTAGCTACTGCCTGTAGGCATTTTCAGTGACTAAAAGAGGCTGCTAGTGGTGGAGATGAAGTGTCACCCAATTTACTAAAAAAATCAAACTCTTCATATTACCCAGAAGGGTAACTGCTGTTCCCCCACCTCCACATATCTGCATCAAGCTGAAGTTCTGTGTCCTCATGAGCTGATTTTACCTTTACACAGATATTGGGGAACGTGATGATGATATGCCCTGGACCTCAGCATCCTCTGTTTGATGCTACAGAGGGAACTGAGGACTAGGGGAGAGGGTGTGTCCCTCAGGGTACCCTGTGCTGATCATGCCTCGTCTCTCTTCTCCAGGACTCCTGCACTGACTCCTGAGGACTTTTGTCTGGGATTGGTCATCACTCTTCTGTAATGCCCACCTGCCCCTGCCCAGAATTCCTAGCTGCCTGTGTCACCCTGTCCCACTGAGGTCAGAGTCCTACAGTGGCTCATGCAGCCACAGGTCACCTTCTGTGATCCCCATCCCAAGGCACTGGTGGTGACTCTGCTTCCTGCACTGACCCAGAGCCTCTGCCTGTGCACTGCAAGCTGTGTCTACTCAGGCCCCAAGGGGCATCTCTGTTTCCATTCTCCCCCCACAGACCTGTCAAGAGAAGCATGACAAACAAAATCATTTACCTGACTTTAGTGCTTTTTCCCATAATTAAACCTGATTCTGAGTTATCTGTATTCGGAACTTCCTTAACTAAGCAGAGGTAGGAAACCACTGCCAAGTGAAGGAACATACCTTGAGGTGACCCAGCCAAACCGTGGCTAGAAAGAGGGTTGTACTTTGAAAAGACACTGAAAGCATCTTGGGGTGCAAAGTAAGGGTAGGCAGAGGAGGTAGAAAATCAATTCAGTCATCACATCATTCATGGTTCTTTAATATTGATGTTCAGTGCAATGGCCTTAGGACATCCCAGCCTCTCTTCTGGTTTGGCGAGTGTTGTCTAAGTAAGCATGGTGGAATTGTTTGGGGACAACTATAGTGACTGATGTTTCAAATATATTCTGGCTGGCAAGTCACATCAATCAAGACTAATTTTTATTTTTAAGAAAGCATAACCAGCAATGAAAGTACTATTTTTGGTTCCAAATGATAGACACCCAACCCAAAGATATTTGATTCATGTTACAAGGAATGTTGGTTTCAGAAGTGACTAGTTCCAGATATTCAATGAGATCTTCATCTCTCTTCTCTTTCTGTTATAGTTTCATCTGTGCATCCTCCTCTCCTCTCCGTGTGTCTCTTTGTCCCTGTGTAGTTCTTTCTGTGTGTCTCTCTCCAGTTTTGTCTTTGTTCCCTTCTTGTGTCTCTTTCACTGCATTGTTGCCTTTCTCTATGTTTGTAATCCTTTGTCACTATTTATCTGCATTTCTTTCTCTTTTTCTTTTTGCATCTCTTTATTTTCTGCATCTCTCTTATCACCTCACACCTTATCTCATCTCTCTCTTCGTGTGAGTGTGTGTACGTGCGTGTGTGTGTGTCTGTCTTTGTTGTATATGTTTCTGAAGTGTCTACCAGAGTTTTAATAATTTGGGGAAAGATTCTGATTGTCCAAGCCTGGGTAACATGCACACCTCCCAAACACACCATCCTGTGCACAGGATGCTGCCAGCCAGCGTGCTCATCCCTCTTATTAGGAAGGAGGACTGGGTTTTCCAGATCCTTCTGATGCTGGAAATGACTTCCAGTGTGCAGATGTCTACACCAGCCATGTGGAGCACCTCAGCCTCCAGAGCCTCCTCACAGTAGAGTGGTGTAGGGGAAGTTTGTTTCTTGTGGAGGACACAGGTCAAACGGCAGAGCTTCCTCTGGTTCTAGGGTCCCTCAGTGGGGGTACCTGTTCACAGCCATCTCATTCCTTGTCTGAGCTCCCTTTGTCATTGACATCGTAACCTGTTCATTCCTGATGACACCCTCTTCCCGATTATGAGGGATGTTACTACACACTGTGACCCCTTTGATGTGGGCTCAGCCCTGAAGATGGTCTACATGTCAGTCTCTGGGTTTGTCATTAAGTCAGACAAGCTTTTCCAACCCTCAGCCCGCGGGCTGCATGCAGCCTATGACCGTATTTAATGCAGTCCAACACAGATTCTAGAACATTCAGTTCAACATTGTCACACTGAACACATCCTGGTTATGAGAGGATCAAAGTCTTTTTCCCTTTCTTCCACTGACAGTTTCATAGAAACAATTATTTTTTGCACCCAGATTTCATTGGGTAGTATAATCTTTAATTGATAATTAAAGTAACAAGTACATTTTTTATAAATAAGTTTGCTAACAAGAAGAATTGAGTCTTAGTCGGCATATAACTTGGAGGAAAGTATGTGGGTGTTCTAGAGAACAACCTGCCAGTTGTGAGCATTTGTCCTTACCTTAGGAAATATCAGCATATCTTTCAGAGACAATGGTGCTCGTCAATATGCCATAAGGTTCTTTACATCTCCCAGTCTTTTCTGCTGTTAGGTTGGGATCATTTGACTAATACTAGCCAATGGAACTTGCAAGTAGATGCACGATGAGACGATGGAAACTCCATATAACCTGAGTCACTGGAGAAACTGTGGAATTAAGTCTCTTTATTGAGTGACATCACTGAGATTTGTTTTTTACTGTGGGCTAAGATCTTACTGCACATTAACTTTACCCTTCTCAATAATCATGGAATGTTTAACTTCAGAGGAGAGTTCATAAGTTAATAGGGTGAATCAATTGAGTTAATAGAAATTGAGATGATTGAGATGATATTTTTAAACAAAAAAGTTTTTGAAAATAAAGAACAGAAAACTTTATTTGAACAAGAAAAAGTTAAGAATGTTACATTTCAAAAAATTTAAATTATTTTTAATTTACAAATAATTGAGTACTTATAAGGTACAATTGACATTTCGATATATGTATACACTATGAAATGATTAAATCAAGCTAATTAACATATCCATCACTTCACATACTTATTTTTTTATGTGGTGTGAATATTTAAAATCTGTCTTAGCAATTTTCAAATATACAATACAGCTGGCCCTGTATTTGTGTGTTTTGCCTCCTCTGATTCAGTCAACCATGGATTGAAAATATTTGGAAAAAATGATAAAATACAACAATACAACATAAAAATAATACAACTTAAAAGACAATACAGTATAACAACTACTTACATAGCATTTACATTGCGTTAAGTATTATAAGTAATCCAAAGATGATTTAAAGTATATGGGAAAACATACTTAGGTGATGTACAAAAACTAAGCCATTTTTAATAAGAGACTTGAGCATTCTTATATTTTGGTATCCAGGAAGGGTCCTAGAACCAATCCCTCATGGATGCCAAGGGACAACTGTATGATATTGTTAACTAGTCACCATGCTGCACAATTGATCTTCAGTACTTATTCCTCCTCTCTAACTGAAACTTATACCTTTTGACCAACATCTCATTCCTTTTTCTCCCTCTCCCCACACCCCACCCCCTCCATGACTTTGACTTTTTAAGATTCTGCATATAAGTTAGGTCATGTCGTATTTGTCTTTCTGTGCCTGGCTTATTTCACTTAGCATACTGTCCAATGGGTTCGTCCATGCTATAAATGACAAGATTTCCTTCTTTTATACGGCTGAATAGTATTCCATTGTGTATATGCACCACATTTTTTTTATCCATTCATCTGCTGATGGATAGTTAGGTTGATTCCATCTCTTGGCCATTGTGAATAGTGCTGCAATAAACACGGGAGTGCAGATATCTCTTTGATACAGATTTCATTTTCTTTGCATATGTACCCAGAAGTGGAACTGCTGGATCATGTGGTAGTTTTATTTTTAATTTTTAAATAGATGCTGAATTTTATCTGTTTGTTTTCTTCCACATGAATGTATATGTACTCCCAGGAACTAGAACAGTGTTTCTGCCGTCAGTGCTGTTCCACTGTACCTAAACTCCTCCCTTTGAGACTGAACGATTTATTCTGTCATTGCTGGGAATGTTGCTGGCTGACTGCCCTCAGCTTTCAGTCACGCCCCGGAATTGCCTTAGGTGATGAAAGCTGCCTCATCGGATTTTGATCCACTTCCCAGGAGGAACTCGCCTATAATGATTGGTCAGTATAGGAGTATAAAACCTGCTCTAATTTGGGCCGACTCTGAGGGGCTCTTGCAGCTTCTGAATAGCTTAGGCCGAAGAATAACAGTCCATTTTTTTTGTAACTGAAATAATAGTCCAATTTCTAAAACCTTGCTCTAATTCATGAGTCATTTTACATACTTTTTCCAGTTGTGATTGTAATTTAAATATATTGATCTTTGTGACTTCTGTAAGTATGGGCAATGCCTCTTCCCCTCCTTCTTGGAAGATGAAGTTATTGGCATTTTCACCCTCCCTTTCCCCTCTCCTTTACACTTCCAGTTGCCATAATGAAGTATCTACATCTTTTTTTTCCCCCCAATATTGTCAAAGCTGAAAATATTGACATTCTGCTGTAGCAATAAGATTCCTTGGGCTTTGCTCACAGATTAATTCTAAATTTGAAAAAAAAAGTTTATCACTTTCTAAATATCACTTATGTAGTCAGGTATTCTTTGCTTGCCAAGAAACTGCTGTAGTAGGATCCGTTTTCAGTGAGATCCTGGGTTAGACCCAGTTTCCTGGATTCCTTACCTTCCTATATCCTGATTAACAATCTCAATTGGTCATATCCTTAGTCAATTTCTAGTAAAACTCTGCGTGGTAGGTAAATTTTATGTTCTTTCACATTCACAGGTATTTTTATTCTTTCTCCATGCCTGATTGTGACTTTGAAAAGATCTACATTTATTAATAAAAAATAATTTTCCTTTAGAACTTCAAGGACTTTCTCATTATCTTAATAATAGAAGTATTTTTTTTGTTGTCAGTTTGTTTCATTTTGGTTTCCGCCACTGGAATATTTTATGACTTTTCTATAACACCTGAAGTTCTGAAATTTTGAAAATGAGATATTTAGAAGTGAGTCTGTTAATTTTGCTAAATACCTGACAAGACTATTCCATGGAAGAATTAAATCCTTTATATCTGGAACATTTTCCCTTATTATTTGTTCTGATCATTTTCTCCCTTCATCTTCCCTGTTGGTCTCTCTAGCTTTGTCACTTGATGTTTGACTTCCTTGGTCTGTTCTCCATCTTATTTTTTCTACCATATATTACATTTTTTTTTTGCCTTTTAAATTACTGTGAGATTTTCTTGATTTAATTTTCCAATCTTTCTATTAAATTTTCCAATTGTTTTTAGCATTCTATTATTACTTTTACAGATCAAGAATTCTAATTAGAATGACTTTAAACTTGTTTGCTGTTACATGAACTTTCTCTATTAAATCTGTGATAATTTTCATGTTATTTTATTCTCATCTTCTCTTTCATATTGTAAGAGTTTCTCAAACATTTGCTCTGGCCTCTTCAACCTTGTCCTTTACCTACTGTATACCACCTTATTTCATCTCAAGATACATTTCTTCAAGCCACTTCTAAACTGCCCCAAACCATACCTGGTCCCTGTGCAACACTCTCTCATTTTACCTCATTCTTTTTCTTTATAAATGTTTCAGACCTTGTAACTATGTTTGTGGAATTATGTAATATATGTATTTTCCTCCCACTGGAGTGTAAGTTCTATGAAGATAATGAATGTAATTGTTTTCACATTATTTTAATAACATTCAACAAACTATGAGTACTTATTGTAGCACTGGTACTCAATGACCATTTTTGCATTTTTGATGAATTAGTGAATATATAAACAAGTCTGGGGGCTTAGTCCAGCCAATAATAAAGCAAGCATTACTTTGCTTTCCTTTGTTATTATTAGTTCCTGCATACACATTCTTTATAGTTGCATTCCTGAGAGGTTCTTACAGTCTTGGGCAGGCCTTGGACAGGGTTTCCTAAATGTGATAAAAATGAGAAAAACTGAAAAACTAACATAACTTCAAACAGAATGCTTGTCTGCCTATGTTTATGGGACTTTCCTGAATACATTTAAAAAAAAAACCTTTGTATTACAGAAAATTTCAACTGTGTGCAATAGTACAGAGAAGAATTCCATGTATCAACAGCCTTGCTTTAACAATAATCAATTCATGAGCAATTTTGTAAACCCACCCAGTTATCATACAGGCACATACTGGATTATTTTGAAGATATTTTTAGGTATCATATTTCATTTATACATTTTTATTATGAAAATCTAAAATATAATGGCTTTTTAGAAACATAACAGCAATGCCACTAACACATTTAAAACGAGATAAATAATTCCTTAATACACTCAGTGTCAATTTTTCTGATTGCCTCATATAAATTTTTTAACAGATGTTTTGTTTGAATATGAATCTAGACAAAGCTCAGCGTTTGGTTACTATATTTCTTCAGTCTTTTTCAAGTGTATAGCTTTTCTTTTCTCTATTTTTAACTTTTTTTGCAAATTGTTTGCTGGAGAAATCTTTTTATTTAATCTAGTAGAACTTCTCATATTCTGAATTTTGTTGCTTACATCCTTGTGGTGTCATTCATCATGGGATTTTGTCTTGGACTCCAGAAAATAACAATAACACAAATTTGTTAACTTCTATAAACTGCTTACTATGGGCCAGACTGTGTGTGAAGTGCTTTATTTGTAATGTTTAATTCTTCATATCTCTAGTTTGTATGTGGTAAGTACAAACCTGAAATATTTTACGTGATTTTTACGTTTTGTAATTTTTATTTATTTATTCATTTATTTATTTATTTTTAGAGACGGGGTCTCGCTGTGTTGCCCAGGCTGGAGCGAGTGCAGTGGTGCAGTCAGTCCTAGCTCACTGCAGCCTCGAACTCCTGGGCTCAAGCAGCAATCCTCCTGCCTCAGCCTCCCTACTAGCTGGGACTACAGACTGGTCTCCATCTCCTGGGCTTTAAGGGACCCTCACCTTGTGCTGAGATTACAGGCATGAACCATTGTGACTGGAAATTTTGTAAAATTTAAACAATGTGATATTACCTATTAATGAAGTCATACTTTATGTATGTAATCTGAAATAATTCAGATAACAATTTTTAAGAATCATTTAATTTAAAATCATGCAGCCTGATTTATAACTGTTTATAATAATAATATAATAATATAATAATGATGATTTCACTTTGAACTTTTAGCTGATAAAAAGATATATTTGCTCTATTTTATAAAACTAATTTTAGCTATGCTATTTTAACATTATATAAATACTTTTTGAATACATTCTTTCAGTAAAATCCAACTACCATTATATTTGCTTTCCTCAGTATTTCTTGGGGAAGGATTCTAAATAGGGGAGCATTTGTGTATTTCTGTATGACTCTGGTTATAATGCCATTCAATGTAAGCCTTACACACACACACACACACACACACACACACACACACACAAATGCACACACCTCCAGAATGCTGGGTTCTTGGCTCATGAATCATTGAAATTTATATAAAATTTATTTTAAATCCTATTGCAGAAAAGTTCTTAGCACATTCATGCATTTTCATGTGACCATTTTTATACTACAGTTTTAATTTTATATATTTGGGATCATTATTGTTGACCTTTTCTTTTCTTTTTTTTTAATAGAGTTTATTTTAGAGAAGTTTTAGGTTCCCAGAAAAATTGTAGAGTACAGATAGATGTATCCCATATGCTCTCTGTTCCCACACATGCATAGCCTCCCCCACTAGTAACATCCTTCATGACAGAGGTACATTTGCTACAACTTATGAACTTACACTGACACATCATTATCACCCAAAGTCCATAGTTTATATTAAGGTTCATTCTTGGTGTTGTACATTCTATGGATTTGGGCAAGCGCATAATGATATTTATTCACCATTGTGGTATCAAATAGAGTAGTTTCATTGCCCTAAAAATCCTCTGTGTTCTGTGATGGACGTTTTCATGATCACCACTGGTTCAGATTCCCTGCACTTACTAATTCCCAGTCTGCATTTATAATTATTTTCTCCCGGAGTCTCCCCACCTCCTCCCCAAAGTAAATATGGATAAACTGCTGTTGCATATAATTCACCTTGACTTAAAATTTATGGGACATAAGGAGGGAATATACCCCTTAGAGAGTTAAAAACCGAAGTCAAATATTACAACTTCTTGTCCTAAGAGTTCTCTTAGCAACCCAATCTCAGCCTCTCAAGAAAGAAAAAAATCCTCCAGTTAACATATGAAAAGAAACTCACTTTTACGTCTACGCTTGAATCTCCTAAATCACTAAAGGGCTAAGGAAAACAAATGTACTTTTCATATAATATGATCCATTCTTTTTAATAAATCCATTATAAACATAACTGCAGTGTTTTCTTATATATTTATATACTACGTGTAAGGCACTGTCTATATACCAAGATTATTCAAATTCTGTCAATAACTCTGCAAGGAAAATATTATCACTCCCACATTGTGGATGAGAAAAATAAGGTTCAGAAATGTCAATCAGATACTTTACCCAGTAAAGTTTAAAATACTAGCTTCAAAATACTGAGTCAAGTATTTGGATTTAGGTTTCTTTGTACAAAACTATGCTGTATCAATTATTATGTTAATGTTTTGTCTCTTTTTTTTCTCCTATTACATTTTAAACTCACTGATGCAGATAGCATGGACAGAAATATCCTGGCAGATTTCATAGCTGTTTAGAGCTCTCAGGTCCCTGTGGACCCATTTCCTCTGAGAGATTTTCTATTAGGAGACCACGAATCCAGTGTAGGACACAGCACCCACTACTGCTGCTACATTGTCTCAACTGTCTTGTTCTTCCTAGGATTTCTCTCTCATAGGCTCATGCTTTCCTTAGCCAGGAAGGGGGAGGAGCAGGGGGCTGGGGCCCCTAAATGGGTCTGTAGCTTCTACTTCTATCTGTTTTCCATTGTCACTAACCCTAAGTAAGGAACAAGCATTTGTTCCTTTTCAGATACCCCCTTATATTATTGCCTTATTTTAATATTTTTCTTTTTTAAAAAATTTATTTATATGTATTTATTTATTTTTGAGATGGAGTTTCATTCTGTTGCCCAGGCTGGAGTGCAGTGGCACAATCTTATTGCAACCTCCACCTCCCAGGTTCAAGCGATTTTCCTGCTTCAGCCTCCTGAGTAGCTGGGATTACAGGTGCCCAGCACCATGCCCAGCTAATTTTTGTATTTTTAGTAGAGACAGGGTGTAACCACGTTGGCCAGGCTGGTCTCGAAGTCCTGACCACAAGTGATCTGCCCACTTTGGCCTCCCAAAGTGTTGGGATTATAGGTGTGAGCCACCGTGCCTGGCCTTATTTCAATGTTTTTCTAACTGGCTTCCATTTCTTTTCCTGCCTAGAGAATTTTTATCTCCTCAAGGTGAGAAGGGGAGAGGAAAGCTTCTACTGTTGTCATTCTTCACAAATTTAAAGTTTTGAGAATGCAGTTTGACTTTTGGTAACAAAATTTTTTACTTTTGATAACTTTTGAGATTCAAAATTCTTGTATCCTATTTCTCTGTCATTCCTTTTAAGAGCCATATTGAAATTAGTACAGACTTTTTTTTTTTTTTTTGTATTTCTGCTATAACCATTCTGAGCCAAGGGCAGAGGGTTCGTTGGTACCTGAATTGAGGGGTGGCTGGCAGTGGCCAAGGGTAGGAACAAAAGGAAGAAAGAAATATTAACACCAGTTAAGAAATCAACAAATTATCAGGATACACTGTACTTGGTTGCTCCTGTGTTACTGGACTTGAAATATGATCTGGGGAATGATATGAAATTGGCCTAAAACATAAGAGTCGCCCATTCTAAGTTATGCTCTCAGTCAGCCCTGAGATGAAAGATGGGAAAAATTCAATAGAGGCATCAAAAGGGAATTTATTGCTTCCATGGAGATTTTAGATAAAGGTCATTGAGGAATTAGGTAGCTGAGTGGCTTACCCAGGCATCCCTTAGTAGGTAACATTTGAGAAAATAAAAAAATTCAGGAAAGGAGGTCAGGGAAAGAATTGAAAGGCATTTGTGAGCTCTGAGGGAATATAGCACCTTAAGTCCCAGAGAAGAGGTGAGAGAAGAAACATTTGGAGGAGAAAAGGGATATGATAAATCAGGCCAGAGAATAGTGCTAGGTCATTTAGCAAGTCCATTCTTCTTCTCCTGTAGATGGTGATGCACCTGCAACAGGACAGACATGAGATCGATGGGTCTGAGGGGCCTCCTGTGTGATCATCATGCCACTTCCCAATTCGCCTACAACTTTCAACCACATTCATGTCCACAACCCCCTCCCACTTTCCTCCCTCTCATACTGAGGTTTCAGCTCCAACAAATCTCAATCTTACCTTCCTTTTCAGGATGGGATTCATAAGAGCCCTTGGTGTCTGGAAGCACCAACTGAACGCAGGCCTTGGATGATGAAGACAGTGCCCACCACAATGCCCATGAGGCCCACAGACAACCCCAGGGCGCAGACCAAAGTCTCTGTGAGCTCTGACATAGGGGCTGGAATCTCAGGCTCTGTGAAAGTGGAGCTGTTGAGGTCAGAATGTGCAGTGTGCTCATGTGCATGTGTGTGGGATGGGATGGGGTGGAGGGCTGGCTCTGCAAGACTCAAGGCCCCAGGCTTAGGGAGAAGAGTGAAGTCTATTATTAGAAACCCATGAAGTGGTGGAACTCATCCTTACCCCAGTGTTTCAGAAGAGGCTCGTCCAGGCCCCAGTGCTCCACCTTGCAGTCATAAATCTCATCAGCAGAAGGGAGGAAGGTGAGGTAACTGATCTTGAAGAAGGAATGATCACTCTTGGAGAGGAAGCTGGTCTCAGAAACACCTTCTGTGACTGAGTGCCCATTGCTCAGCCAGGTGATGTTGACCACAGGAGGAAAGATGTTGTCCACAAGACAGATGAGGGTGTTGGGCTGACCCAGCGTCACAGGAAACTTGGAAAACACTGTGACCTCAGGAACCTCTGTGGTGAGGAAACAGCACTGATGTGAAGTGTGAATAGCTCTGCCATGAGCTTCTGCATTACATCCTGGAAGAGCCCTCCTACCAGCATTTCACCACCTGATAGTCAAAGAGGTCTTATTTACCTTCTGCTTGGGAGCAACGACACATTGCCTCTGCTTTATTCCTGTGCCCTTCTCTCTGTGGGCATGTTTAATAAAGTAGGAATTAATACATAATGGAAAGACCCTTGTATTACATGGGAATATGTGATTTTAGAGATGGGAGATGATAAAATTTCAGCAATTACCATGAGAAGATCTGGAAATCTCTTGAGAAGAAGGGAGTAAAACTTGGTATGAAAGATTAGTTTCAGTAAAGAGAGGCGGAATGGTGGACACGTACCATTGGTGGCAGCGGTAGAGTTGGACTGTCCCATCATGAATTCCAAGGTGTGTTTTCCCACAGCCATATTTCTCAGTGCACTCTGCGGGTCAAAACTTATAAATTTGCTAAACATAGGCAACTGCCAGACAGTCTCTTTCGTCTCCAGGTCCACATAGAACTCCTCGTCTCCATCAAATTCATGGGTGTACTGGCCAGAGGGACCGTGAGACTGGTAGAAGTTCACACCATAGGAGGCAACATGGTCAGCTGACGAGTGAAGGTGACAAGCAGGAGGGTGGAACACAGGGAGAAAGAACCTTAATACAGAAAGTGATTGAAGAAACTCACTTTCAAATATTATGGGCTTCATCTTTGGCACAGTCCCTGAACAATCTTCCTAACACCTGCTTCCTCCTTGCCTAACGTTGGTAGTCATCAGGTTAGAACTGATTCTGTCTTTCTCACTATAACATATGCTCCACAAAGGCAGAACGTCACACGTCTGTTATTTCCTGAGTGCCTACTTAGTGCCTGGCACATCATAAGCTTATGATGAATATTGCAATAAACAAAGGAAGGAATGAATGAGTTATCATAGGATTTAGTTTTCTTACTCAGAGATTCAGTTTATTTCCCTCTGCTTCCTAAGTTTTCTCTCTCAGTTAATAACAAGTTGATTATACTTCGTTTCCTGTCAGGACTAGATCAGAACAGGACACTTTCTACACAGAGTTTCCTTTTTTTTTTTTTTTAAACCAAAGAAAAGCATGTAGGAACGTATTAACTTAAAATAATTTCTTCTAACAATTATAGGGTACAAGAAAGACTATTACAAGAATAGCAACATTATACATTTATAACAAATAAACAATTCTTCTAAGGTCTCTGTTTTGTTAATAGTAGTGGTCCTTAGAGGAGAGCACCTGATTTCTTCTGAAATGAAAAGTGGAAGCTCAACTGGTTTTTTAATTTCTGTCATTGCCCCCACTTTTTTTTTTCCTCTGAAGGAGGTTACTAAATATCTATAGTGTTCTGATTCAACAATTACATTCACTCGAGGACTCAGGTAAATTAAACCCTTTTTCCTCTAATGGGCAGCGAGCTTATCCGAGGATGCCAGGGCAGAGCAGCAGCCATGAAGTATAGCCAAATGAGCCGAACTGGACATTTTTGTTAAGACATGTGTGAGCCCTTTACCATTTTATCTTTCCTTCCTTCCTTCCTCATTTACTGAGCATCCAAAAGTGTCAGACAGAGCAGGGGTTGCTTAAAACAGCATCAAGGAATGAACTGAATAGTGGGAGAATCAGGTCGGTAAGGGAGCAAATACAATGTACTTTGGGGAATTCTGTGAGGAGGATATCGACAGCCTTACAGTCCGACATTCTTCACAACTATCTGCCAATCAAACCAAACTACATTTCCTTTCATGTCTTTGCAAGGGTCTGTTTTTTCTCCCTGAAAGAAGTTATCTTTTAGGATTTCCTGGAGAAATCCTAAAATTCATCCTTGAGGTTTCTACTTAGTTAACAACTTTGCAGCTAAGTCCTCTCAACATGTTTTTGACCGCGTTGTGACCTCCAACGCCTCAATGGAATCTCAATGTCTGGCTCTCCAAGTTTGTCTTTTCCTCCTCCAGCTCACCTTCTTCCCTACCCAGCATGACTGCCCTGGTTGGTTACTTAACAGGCCACCAACAAAGACTCCTTATCCTTACAATAAACTTTGACTCCTTGTTCAAACATGAATATATGTGGAATACATGCAATCCTTCTTTTCATCTGGTACTTGTCCTGGGTGCTAAGTGTTGCTGGAGGACATCACTCTACTGGCCCAGCTGGAACCAAGTCATTTTTATAGTTTCAGCCTCTGCTGGGCCAGTGTCCTGCTCAGCAGGGCCTTCTGCTTTCCTGTGCCCCATACTGTTTCCATCACTGGTTTGTGCACCCTCTGCAAGGCAGACAGCATGATTTTTTATCTTTGAATTCCCAAAAGTTAGCTCATTGTGTGCTCAAACATGTGTATTGAATGACAATTGCAATTTTTGACAATTACATAGATTTTGGGGAAGACTGACAGGCACCCAGGTAGCAGAACCACGCAAAGCCCAGGATCAGGGATGCCCAGGGCTGAATTCTGACTTGTGAGCCCCGAGCACTGTTGCTTTTGTGGGCGCCTTCCTCCATAAAAATACGGAAAATTACAGCTTCTGATTGTATTGGTATAAAGACAAATACAATCCAGGCTACATTAAAAGTTAAGGCCGGGCGCGGTGGATCACGCCTGTAATCCCAGCACTTTGGGAGGTTGAGACGGGCGGATCATGAGGTCAGGAGATCGAGACCATCCTGGCTAACACGGTGAAACCCCGTCTCTACTAAAAATACAAAAAATTAGCCGTGCACAGTGGCGGGCGCCTGTAGTCCCAGCTACTCGGGAGGCTGAGGCAGGAGAATGGCGTGAACCTGGGAGGCGGAGCTTGCAGTGAGCCGAGATCGTGCCACTGCACTCCAGCCTGGGCGACAGAGCGAGACTCCGTCAAAAAAAAAAAAAAAAGTTAAAACATTTTCATAGACTGTAAAACTTCATTTTTCTTCTAATTTTAAAAGGAGTTAAAACGTTCTCTTGTAGCTTTACAGTTTGGAGGGTCCCCTTCACTGCCCACACTGTTCCTAATGGATAAGTCGAGCCTGACCGGGGCACTCTGGTGTGAGGTTGAAGAAAGGAAATTTGAAACAAAAAAGCCAAGTGCTCTGGAGAAGCAGGTGAAACTTCCACTGCCAAACAAAATCAGAATGGGAGCAGCCATGGTTAATAAGGTTGTGAAAGTTTAGAGTAGCTTCCAGTTCACTTCCCCTTTTAACTATTTGACTTTCCAACTTTTGTTTTACAAACCCACTGCCCATGTCTGTAAAGGAGCAGGGAGTCAGAGATGGATCCTGAAAGGGAAGAGGGAGAAAGGGATGCATGAAGAGAGGTGGGAAGAGATGGACGACAAAGGCAGAGGGGACTAAGGGACCAAATAATTATCTGTGCCTGCCCATTTTTCTCTTTATAAGACTTCATTAGATAAGGTGAAGAACTAGTAATTTGGGTTGACAATTTGAGAATAAAATAATTTAATTTACCAAGCATTTTATCATAAAGTTCTCAGTTTTAAAATATATTCCTTACTTTGCTAAAGAAAAAATACGAAGTTATACCTGTAATAGGAATAAGTTAAAAAAAGTTGACATTCATGTTTTTACTATTCATAAAGCATATCTACATGCCCATTTTATTTGATCATAAGCGAGGTGACATATATGAGGTAGCAGAGAGTAAGTACCACATTTACCACGTGGTAAAATGATTGTTGAAGGCATTCAGCCTGCTGGGCTCTTTCACCTACTCCCCACCTGTGCCAATTCCCATGTGGAAATGTAAGTCTGAGAGAAAGAAAAGAACCTCTTTCTTTATATCTATAGAGTGTACATACTTCATGGAACTATCTACCCCAACATATGCTATAGGAGGCATATGAAAAGCTTCAAAAGTTGTTCAGAGAAATTTGGGAGTAACAGTTCAGAAATTTTTAATAACAAAAAAATACTCCATTCATGGAAACATCCCTAGTCTTTGAGGCAATCATGATGGAATGCCACACAGACCTCCAGGCTATAGTCTCTGGATATAATATAAACAGAACAACGTCCTTGGTAAACTCCAATAGCACAGGTAGCAAAGAGAGTCGGTTGGAGCTCTGGTTTCCTAAAGGAGGAACTGCCATAATTTTAAAATTTCTTAATATTGAAAAGACCCTTGGGAAATTTCTACTATTTCTTAGCAAATTACACTCTCTCTTTTCCTTTAATTTACTGTTTTTCAGCTCCAGAGAACATTCCTCACTCATGTACTCACCCACAATGTCTTCACCTCCACAGGGGCTCATCACGGCAGTCAGGGCGAGGGCCCCCAGCAGCAGAGCTTTGTTTAGGATCATCTTCTTCCCAAGGCAGCCTCAGCAGTTGCTGCTCTGAGCTGTAGAGCAATTGTGAGGACCTCGAGACAAGCAAATCTGAAGACACCCAAACCAAACCCTGCCAGGTCAGGTTTTGGCCAATCAGAAAAATCCCCTATGGTGACATATTGTTTGCCAGTTGCAGAGTTTATATTAAGAGCCCTGGAAGAAGACAGGGACATCCTCTGGTTCTGACACATCCTCCACACAGCATGGTCTTGAGGAAATTTTCTATAAATAAAGGGAAGATACTAAATCTGAATCTTCTGTCATGTGTGCATGTCTGCTAGTGTCAAGAGGGGCGGGAATTTCTGAGCAGCCGCTTGGATAGGTAAGGTCATCAATAATATGGCATCCTTCAGGGTTTTCTGGGTTACATTCTCCAGGAATTCTTCCCTGAAGTGATTTTCCTCCCTGGCAGTCCCCATTCCCTCCCCTTTCTCTGGCTTCTGTATGTGGGTTAGCTATTTTTCTTTTTGCTTCCATAGTGTATATGGTATTCCCCAAATTTTGACTTGACCCCACCTTCCTAGGGATCTCTGCTGGTGGTAGCCAAGCAATACCTTTGCCTTTTCTACTTGTATAAATCCAGTTGGGTAAGTTCTCAAAAGCTCCAGGTGTTTTTGACCAGGGCAATTAAAGGGGTTAGACTGTCATGCGGTGCTGCCTACAGTAACCGATCTTTTACACAGTTTTTTGTTTTGCTTCTAGTAATCTTTATGCTCTGTGTTTCGGAGCTGCTTGAATATATTTAAAGGAAATTTAGGGACATTGATTACATTAAAAAAGCTTTGGCTGGCTCAATTACTCTAATAATTTATTTTATTTTATTTTATTTATTTATTTATTTTAAGACGGAGTCTCACTCTTTGGCCCAGGCCGGACTGCAGTGGTGCTATCTCGGCTCACTGCAAGCTCTGCCTCCTGGGTTCACGCCATTCTCCTGCCCCAGCCTCCCGAGTAGCTGGGACTACAGGCGCCCGCCACCGCGCCCAGCTAATTTTTTGTATTTTTAGTAGAGATGGGGTTTCACCGTGTGAGCCAGGATGGTCTCGATCTCCTGACCTCGTGATCTGCCTGCCTCAGCCTCCCAAAGTCCTGAGATTACAGATGTGAGCCACCGCGCCCGGCCAGTAATTTTTTTTTTTTAATTTAAGAATGTCAAGTCAAATATTGAGAGTAGAATAAGGAGAATTGCTTTAACTTAGAAAATAGGTTTACTTTTCTTAAACTACTGGATCTTTTCATATTTGTTATCCAACCACATTAAGATTTCAGATATTGCAAGGGACTAGGGAATGAGCTAAAATGTAGTAATCACAGGGAAACTTACCTTTTTTCAGATGAATCTATTTTCTGTATGTTATAGAAACAACAAGTTAGTAATGGAGGTTTCATTTAGAATCACTCTGTCCTTGTTGAATGGCCTTCTGAGATTCTCAGCATGTTGTCTTGCCTCCCAATGGCAGAGACTAAAAAAAGGTAAAATAAAAAGTGTCCTGATACCTGGGGGCTGCCTGGATGCAATTAACAAGGCCTTGGGGTTGCTAGGAGCTAGCCTGGTGTGCACAGCTGGTTTTGATTCTCCTGTTGAAGATAATCAATTTCATAGAACATCAGAATCAGACAGGTACTCTGTGAGTGCGATGGATTGAGACAGAAAATAAGGCCACTCAGTCATCACGTCTGCACCCAGACAAAACATGAATATTGTCCAAACTACAAAAATAACCAGGCACATCTCTCGAAAGAGTGATTGCTGCTTCTTTACCAATCACAGCCGTAGCCTCAGGATAGTCTTCCGTCCCTCTAGGTAGTATTTATGAAGCTACCCAATCATAGCATTGCCATCCCCACTCCCTGCTTTCTGTCAGAATCCAGTTAAAAATGAAGTCCCTCTTTCTTAACTCCTCCTCAAAATTACCTAACACAAGCACAAATCTTACAATTGATTAATGGTCAATTTTATGTGTTGACTGGACTGTGGTCCCCAGTTATTCACACACTAATAATCTAGGTGTTGCTGTGAAGATATTTTGTAGATGTCATTAAAGTTCATAATCAGTTAACTTTAAGTAAGAATTTATCTGAGATAAATTGGGTGAGCTTAGTCTAAGCAGTTGAAAAGTCTTAAGAGCAGAGCTGAGGCTTCTCTGAGGAAACGGAAATTCCACTGTGGACAGCACGTCAGCCAGTGCTAAGAATTTCAACCTGCCTTTCCTGATGACCACCTCCCAGTGGGTCTTAGACTTGCCTAGTCCACCCCCACAGTTGCACAAATTAATTCCTTTCAGTCATTCTCTTAATATATGTGTTCTCCTAGTTCTACTTCTTTGGTTCCAACAATCTCTTACTGAACTGCTGCATGATTCCCCATGGTGACTTTTCTCCATCATTGCAATGAACAATAAAGCCAACTTGTTCATTCAAGGGTATGCTCTTCGTGGTCTTTGGCCGGAGGCACTGATGGTACCTCATTAGGCAGTTGTGAGGAATGTACATATACTGCACTTGGAATGAATTACTCTTTATAAATACTTGTCATACTTTAGTATCATCCACATTTTTCAAGGAGGACATTAAAACTCAGAGAGGTAAAGGACTTTTCCCAGGGTCACATGGCTCGTAAGTAGTAGAGATGGGATGCTACAGGGGCAAGCCATGATTCCTCATGAGGGGTGAGGGGTGTCTCCTTCTGTGTGGATTCAGAGTAAGTGCCCTAGTGCGATTAGGAGAGATATATGACACTGTACGTGGCCTTTTTACTCTTTCTAGCCACTGCCATTGTGAACTAAGAGGGTTTTTGAGGTTGCAGTTGAGCTCTGCTCCCTTCACCGTGCAGCATCCTCTTTGCTGTGTAGTAAATAATACATTTCTATCTTTTTTCCCCTGTATCCAGACTTACCTGCTTTGTATCTGACAGAAATTCCTTAAGATTTTGGCAAATGAACTAAATCTTTCCTGATAGCACTCCAGAATTTCCCCTATTAATATCACAGTTTAAAAAACTCAACTCTAATTAGGAAGTTAGGGTGTTAAATGTGGGATCAGAATTGTATCTTAGAAGGGAAGTCGTGGGTTCAGTCTCAGATCTCACATCCTGTGGGATGGAGGGAAAGTCCAAGCAAGGCCAGGTCATTGACTAAAAGATAATAGATGCTCTTTCTATCTTTAACTGGTTTTGTGTCCCTCTCCTCCTCCTGCTTCATCCAGCCAGAATACAGCGAACCTTGTTCTATTTGCTTCTGTTTTCAGGTCATAATTTTAATGCAAGATAGAATAATCAGTAAATTAGACTCAGAAGAACAGTATACCATTTTAACAGAAACCAATTTCTTACTTTTGTCTTGTAGAAATAGAAAAGGTCCTCAGTACTTTGGGAGGCTGAGGCAGGCAAATCACAAGTTCAAGAGATCGAGACCATCCTGGCCAACATGGTGAAACCCCATCTCTACAAAACAAAAAACAAAAAACAAAAAAAAATTAGCTGGGTGTAGTGGCACGCGCCTGTAGTCCCAGCTACTACTCGGGAGGCTGAGGCAGGAGAATCGCTTGAACGCGGGAGGCGGAGGTTGCAGTGAGCCAAGATCGCACCACTACACTCCACGCACTCCAGTCTGGCGACAGGGCGAGACTCCGTCTCAAAAAAAAAAAAAAAAAAAAAAAAAAGAAAAGAAAAAAGAAAAAGTCCTTTTCATAAAGTAATAGTGGGAATAAAATTTGGAGCTCAAAATACTACTTTGTCTAATAACTTTCTTAGAAAGCACTAATTGACATGCCATTAATTTCGTAACTAAAATATCAATGGGATATGCCATTACAATTGATATTATTAAGGGCCCTCTAAGAAATTAGGCAGAAATTATGTTAGTTCTAAGGAGCAGTTATAACATTCTCTAAGACCCTAACTTTAGGTCTAATTTTATGCATTGATGAAATTTTACTCTGAAGGCCAAGACTTCTATCTTGCAGTAGTTAAAGGTGCTTCACAACAATAACAGAGTCTAGAATAGCAAAATAAAAATATTATAGATTTTGTAATAAAATAAACGTATTCCATGCTGCTTTTGATTTTATCAGCTCCATCACCCTGGGCAAGCCACTCAGAATACCTGAGCCTTAGGGTTATTTTCTATAATGTGGGATGAAAACTATTAGAAGATAATTAATATGATGAAACGATAGATAAGTACAAATTATGCAGTTAAATACAGGCCAGTTTCTGGCACCTAGCAACTATTCCCAAGTGGGAGCTGCTATATAAAGACAAATATTAATAATGATAATGATAGTAACATCACACATTGGGCTGGGACAGACTATTACTTTTTCTTCATTCATTTAAGCTTCTCCCTGTGGCACTCCAGGCATATAGGAGCCTGTGAGCCACAGAAACACTAAGAGATTTCTAGGAAACAGAATTTCTTTGAAGACTGTTGTATCTGTCAGATTTTTCTATGTAACAAACTATTCCAAAACTTAATGACTTCCAACAACGATTTAGTATCTTCGTATGATTTTGTAAGACAGACATTCTAAAATGAGGCCAATAGAAAATTCCTGCAAGTGATGTTTGACAATGTCTGGAGATACTTTTGTTGTCATTACTGGGGAGGGTGCTACTGGCAGGTATTGGGTAGAGGCCAGGGGTGCTGTTACACATCCTGCAATGCACATGGCAGCCTCCTACAAGAAAATAATCACCTGAAACAAAATGCCAACAGTTCTGAGGTTGAGAAGCCTCATTTTAGACCATTTTTTAAATGTGAAAAAATGTTTCATTTCCAGCGTTTATTTCTTTGTATAGATCCAGGTTTCTATGTGATATCATATGGCTACCGTGTGAAGGTCTTCCTTTTACATTTCTTATGGTGCATAAATCCCATGGACACCAATATTCCCACGACTCAAAGATAATAATGAATGCATGACTATCTCAAGTGCATAGGCGCGGAGAGGAGGACAAATGAGAGTGGAAGCATTCCCCTGCCCCCATCTTCTCTCTTTAGTGCCCATTGTAAGCCTTTCAAGCTCCACCATCTCTCAGGTGCAAGATTGTCCTTGCCAATCTTCTTTAGTCAATGGGATACTTTTAGAGAAATACTATAGCAAGAATAATTTTTACTCAACTTGTATCATTGTAAATAATTTATAAAATATTTCTTTTGTTTGAGGTATTTTTCAAAATCCCCAAACATCACACATATCTGGATTCATTTTTCCCTAAAGTTGTCAGTTATTAAAACATTTGAATTATTCTTGTGTTATTATTTCTGTTTTTAATGTTCTGGCAAAATCACAACTTAAAATTTCTAGGTAAAATGCTTTACATATACATGATGACCTTTGGTAAATACATATGAATAATTTCATATAAACACTTGCTTTTAAAGTTTCCATTTAAAATTATTTGTCATTTTAAAATCACTAATGCTAAGTAAAAATAACTGTACAGCTGACTGTGGAGGTGTGTGCCTATACTCCCAGCAATTCAGGTGACTGAGGTAGGAAGATCACTTGAGCCAAGGAGTTTGAGGCCAGCCTGGGAAACATAGTGTTACAGGACTTTTCCTTAGTTCAGCTAATGACAGCGTCCTTGCCACACAGCCACGAGAAATTACGTTCACAGACAACTTGAAGGGTGAGTAGGACAACTTGAAGGTTGAGTATTGGGTGAAAAGGAAGAAAAGGGGAAACAGAGGCTCTTAGCAAAGTGAGAGAATGCATTTTTTTCTGCCAGTGGGCTTCCCACCTCACAGATTGAATTCCACGTTCCACCCAAAGAAGAGGGGTCAGTCTCCTCCCTGCCGCAAATGGTGCAAACTTCTGTGGCTCCATCCCAGTTTGCACTCCTCCCAGTGCTCAGGCTGGCTGGAATTTATCTGGGGACCCCTTCCCACCTGGCTGTCTCAGTAGCAAGACCCCGTCTCTAAAAATAAATAAATGAAAAGATCTATTCAAAGAATGTTCACAATATGTACATTAGGATTGGAGAGTTCCTAGGAAAAGAATCAATTGCTATTAGGCGTGAGGAATATTATCTGTTTCCCAGTAGTCAGTTCTACAACCTGATTCAGATGAATTAAGAATTTCAGTTCAACTCAACAAGTATTTATTGATTACATACTATAGTCTCTGCACAAAGTCTTTATCAAATAACCTATTCTGTTTAGCTGAAGAGCAACCTGGGGCTATGGTGAAAGCAGATCTGCACATGGGAGTAATTTTGCGTGTTTTCCCACAGAAGACTATTAGGCAGCAGTATTTTCCCCGTACTATTTTTTTGTTATTGTGTAGTTTATTTAAGAGAGTTGTTTAAAGCAACTAATTCATTGATATAGGAGTTGTTACTGACAAAGAATTGGTGGGGATGATATTAAATAACAAACAGAATTGTCTTTGCAAGGTTACCTTATAGGTAACAGAGGGTCTACAGCAAAATTAGTAGCAATATATTTTGTGTTTATGGAATATAAAAAAGTATAATATATGATAACAATTGCACAATGAATGAGAGAGAGAGAAATTTGGAGCATACTGAGCTAAGGTATATTTGAAAGTATATTATACATATATGTAAAATCCTAGGGCAAAAACTAATCCAAAAGAAGGCAGAAAAACAATTTTGAAAATGAACAAATGTTTAATAGAATTAACAAAAAATATCTAGCAAAAGTAATCCAACCATGTTGATAATTTCATAGGTATAATTGGCCTAGACACACCAATTAAGTGATAAAGAAGATCAGACAGTAAAAATGGCACAATTGAACTATAATCCATCTACAAGAAACCCATTTTAAATATAAAGTCATACTTACATTAAAAGTAAAATGAATGAAACTGTATACCATGCAAACAAAATCAAAAGAAAATTAATAAAAACTTGCCTTAACTTCATCTCCCCACTTTTTAACTTTTTGTTGTTTCTATTTATATCTTATTGTACTATGTCTTGAAAAGTTGTTGTAGTTATTATTTTTTATTGGTTCATCACGTAGTCTTACTACTTAGAATAAGAGTAGTTTACACACCACAGTTGCAGTGTTATAATATTCTGTGTTTTTTTCTTGATGTTCTCCTCCCTGTGTCCATGTGTTCTCATTGTTCAACTCCCACTTACGAGTGAGAACATGTGGTGTTTGGTTTTCTGTTCCTGTGTTAGTTTGCTGAGAATGATCGTTTCCAGCTTCATTCATTTCCCTGCAAAGGACATGAACTCATTCTCCTTTATGGCTGCATAATATTCCATGGTGTATATGTGCCACATTTTCTTAATCCAGTCTATCATTGATGGGCATTTGCGTTGGTTCCAAGTCTTTTCTATTGTGAACAGTGCTGCAATAAACATACATATGCATGTATCTTTATAGTAGAATGATTTATAATCCTTTGGGTATATAACCAAAAATGGAATTGCTGGGTCAAATGATATTTCTGGTACTATATCCTTGAAGAATCGCCACACTGTCTTCCACAATGGTTGAACTAATTTACACCCCCACCAACAGTGTACAGCGTTCCTACTTCTCCACATCCTCTCCAGCATCTGTTGTTTCCTGACTTTTTAATGATCACCATTCTGACTGGCAAGAGATTGTATATTTAAAAAACCCCATCATCTCAGCCCAAAATCTCCTTAAGCTGACAAGCAATTTCAGCAGTCTCAGAATACAAAATCAATGTGCAAAAAGCACAAGCATTCTTATACACCAATAACAGACAAACAAAGAACCAAATCATGAGTGAACTCCCATTCATAATTGCTAGAAAGAGAATAAAATACCTAGGAATACAACTTACAAGGGATGTGAAGGACCTCTTCAAGGGGAACTACAAACCACTGCTCAAGGAAATAAGAGAGGACACAAACAAATGGAAAAATATTCCATGCTCATGGATAGGAAGAATCAGTATTGTGATAATGGCCATACTGGCCAAAGTAATTTACAGATTCAATGCTATCCTCATCAAGCTACCACTGACTTTCTTCACAGAATTAGAAAAAACTTCTTTAAATTTCACATGGAACCAAAAAAAGAGCCCGTATAGCCAAGACAATCCTAAGCAAAAATAACAAATCTGGAGGCATCACGTTATCTGAATTTGAACTATATTACAAGGCTGCAATAACCAAAACAGCATGGTACTGGCACCAAAACAGATATATAGACCAATGGAACATAACAGAGGCCCCAGAAATAACGCCACACATCTACAACCATCTGATCTTTGACAAACCTGACAAAAACAAGCAATGGGGAAAGGATTCCCTATTTAATAAATGGTGTTGGGAAAACTGGCTAGCCATATGCAGAAACTGAAATTGGACCACTTTCTTAAGTCAAAAGGACTTACTGAGAACTGACCTCCTTTTCTCCCAGGTTTTTATGGTGACCCCTTTGCATCACCTGACTCCCAGGCTGCAGGTCAGACTTGTCAGTGTGCCTTCTGAGGTGTTAAAGTTCTGGGCTTTGACCTTAGGGCTGATGTCTTGGAGGTAGTCTGTGGGGTTATAGAAAGACATACTCCTGAGGAGTTGCCGCCCCTTTTTCTCCTCCTCCTCATCCAAAAATTAACTCAAGATGGATTAAAGACTTACACATAAAACCTAAAACCATAAAAACCCTAGAAGAAAACCTAGGCAATACCAGTCAGGATATAGGCATGGGCAAAGACTTCATGATTACAACATCAAAAACAATGGCAACAGAAGCCAAAATTGACAAATGGGATCTAATTAGACTAAAGATCTTCTGCACAGCAAAAGAAACTATCATCAGAGTGAATAGGCAACCTACAGAATGGGAGAAAAATTTTGCAATCTATCCATTTGACAAAGGGTTAATATCCAGAATCTACAAGGAATTTAAACAAATTTACAAGAAAAAAAACAACCCCATCAAAAAGTGGTGAAAATATATGAACAGACACTTCTCAAAAGGAAGACATTTATGTGGCTAACAAACATATGAAAAAAAGCTCATCATCACTGGTCATTAGAGAAATGCAAATCAAAACCACAATGAGATAATTATGTCATCTAGACAAAGTAGATGTCAGAACAAGGAATATTACCAGGGATAAAGAGGGATATTATTTAATGATAAGGGGTTATTTCTCCAAAGACACAAAACAATCTTAAGTGTGTATGCACCTAAAAACAGAGCTTCGAAATACATGAGACAAAAGCCGATAGAAATGAAAGGAGAAATAGAAAAGTCAAAAATTTTTTGTATAAGGTGTAAGGAAGGGGTCCAGTTTCAGTTTTCTGCATATGGCTAGCCAGTTTTCCCTACAACCTGTGAATAATGGAGCTAAAGATTTATTTAAACATGAAGATCTTTGTTTTATAAAAAATCACACATAGTTACACATTGTCAGACCTTTTTTAATTATTATTTTTACCAGACATAAGAAGGCAAGTACATATACCTACACATATATGTATTTACGCATATTTGAAATATTATCAGTCTATGTTACGAAGAGCTTTCACATGAATGATCTGGTTTAATAAACAAGTGACCACTGAATAAAAATATTTCTTTTCTAAAGAGTAGGCTAACAAGTTAGCTAATTAAAACCTAGATCTGGGATTGGAGTAGAAGACTAATTAATATCTGCTATCTTCTCCACTTTAGTATCAAAGGAAGGATGTAAGCCCATGATGAGGATTTCTTTGCTGCCTTACCCTCTAAGTTTCTTTTCCTGTTGTCATTCCTCCTAGTGGAGCCTGCAGTGACCATCTCCCCAGCTAAGACAGAGGTCAGCCATCACAATTTGCTGGTCTGTTTGGTGACAAATTTCTTTCCTTGCCAAGTGAAACTCAGATGGTTCCAGAAAAAACAGGAGCAGACTGCTGGAGTTGTATCCACACCTATTCAGAATAGGGATTAGACCTACCAGATTCTTGTAATGCTAGAAATAATACCCGAGCATGGAGATGTCTACACCTACCATCTGGAGCACCCCAGCCTCCAGAGCCCCATCACGGTAGAATGACGTAAGGAGCACTTTATTTATATCATAGATTCAATGGAAAAAAGGAAGGGTGGCGGGGGGTCTGGGTCTTGTCGGGGTGAGATCACTACTAACCTCTGCTTGTTATACATTTTCATATCTTCTCTCCTACACAACAGTATCCCCATATAATTTCTGGACTAGTAGTCATGGAAGACTGAGATCCCATTGTCTCAAGTCAAAATGCACTTGCTGAGAACTGAACTCCTTTTCTCCCAGGTTATTATGGTGGCCCCTTTGCATCACCTGACTCCCAGACTATAGGTCAGCCTTGTCGGTGCGCCTTCTGAGGTGTTATAGTTCTAGGTTTTGACCTTAGGGCTGATGTCTTGGAGATGGTCTGTGGGGTTATAGAAGGACATATCCTTGAGGAGTTGTCGTCTCCTTTTTCCCCTCCTCCTCATCCATCCATGCTGCCCCTTGGGGTCTTTGCCTGCCTGTCATCTCCTTTGCTTGGTGACAGACTACCTCTGTCTCTTACATCCTGGATAGGTCTCCAGGCTTCCAGATGAGGACACTGTGGGGTGTGGGGACAGGCTCTGACACACAGGCTTTCACTTCCCAGGGACACTGTCTGAATCTGCCCAGAGGAAGATGCTGAGTGGCCTTCGGGGTCTTGTGCTGGGGCTGATCTCTCTTGGTTTGGGCCTTGTGGCCCAGCCATTTTTGGAATAAGAAAGGTAAGGCACCTTTGAAGAAGATGGAGAGACTGGTGCTGCGACCGAGGCTTTTTGTTGTAACTCGTCCTGTCTGACTCTATAACGGAAAGGCAGCTAAGGTGGGGATGGAAATAGATCACAGAAATTAGGAACACTGAGAGCTCCCTGGCCTGGGTCATGTCTGCATCATTACAGAAGTGAGTGGTGGAGGGTTATTCTTAAATAGACAGGGCTCTGGTCACAGATAAGATCCCTGCTCTCCTTGCCCAGAAATATGACACACATAAGGTGGAAAAAAGAGTTGAGTGGGTTTTTCTGGACACCTGAACATGCTTCAGTTATTTTGCTGTTCCTGAATGAATGTGGCATGAAACAAAATTCTGGAATATTCTGGAAAAAAAATTCTGGAAAAATTCTGGAACATTCTGAAAAGTCTCTGCTCTAAACTTCAGGGATTATTCCTCAGAATAAGATCCAACCTGTGGTATCAGTCATTCAGTGAGGCTTGGATGATGCCCCCATATCCCCAAATTGCAGAGAGTGCTGCTGAACTTGGCGGTAGGTGAGATGAGAGGCAGTTACAGTTGTTACCATTCCAGTTAGTCCACGACCTATGCATCACCAAAGCATTTCAACATCCTCTTCTGCCTTCCACAGGCCCCTTCAAGCTGATGTTTTGTGTTCACTTTAACAGAGTAAAGTGCACTTCAGATATATTGCGATTTTGGTTCCAGAGAGCACTGCAAGAAAGTTAAACGTATCTTTTGGTTTCCCAGTGCATGTAAAAGTCATGTTTACAATATACAGTTGTCTATTAAGTGTGAAATGGCATTATGTCTAAAAAAGTGCATACCTTAATTAAAATATTTTATGGCTAAAAATACTAACAATCCTCTGAGCCTTTAGTGAGTTATAATCTTTTTGCTGATAGAAGGTTCTTTCCTTGATGTTGATGGCTGCTGCTGCAGTTTGAGGTGGCTGTGATAATTTCTTAAAATGAAAGAACAATGAAGTTTGCTGCATAGATTGACTCTTCCTTTCATGAAATATTTTTTTGTAGCATGTGATGATGTTTGATAGCATTTTACCCACAGCAGACCTTCTTTCAAAATTGTAGTCAATCCTCTCAAACCCTGCTACTGCTTTCTCAACTAAGTTATGTAATATTCTAAATCCTTTGTTGCCACTTCAACAACATTCACAGCATCTTCACCAGGGGTAGATTCCATCTCAAGAAACCACTTTCTTTGCTCATCCATAAGCCACAGTTCCTCATCCATTCAAGTTTTATCATAAGATTGCAGCAATTTAGTTACATCTTCCAATTCCACTTCTAATTTGAGTTCTCTTGCTATTTCCATGACATCTACAGTTCCTTCCTCCACTGAAGTCTTAAACATCTCAAAGTCATTCATGAGGGTTGGAATCAGCTTCTCCCAATCTCCTGTTAATGTTGATATTTCGACCTTCTCCCATGAATCATGAATGTTCCCAATGACATCTAGAATGGTGAAGGCTTTTCAGAAGGCTTTCAATTTGCTTTCCCCAGATCCATCAGAGGAATCACTGTCTCTGACAGCAATAGCCTTACATAATGTATTAAATAATAAGACTTGAAAGTTAAAATTACCCCTTGATCCATGAGTTGCAGAATGGATGTTGCATTAGCAGACATGAAAACAACATTCATCTCCTTGTACATCTCCATCAGAGCTCTTGGATGACTAGGTACCTTGTCAATGAGCAGTAGCATTTTGAGAGGAATATTTTTGTCTGGGCAATGGGTCCCAACAATAGGCTTAAAATATTCAGCCAACCATATTTTAAACAGCTGTGCTCTTATCTGGCTTCGTTGTTTCATTTATAGAGCACAGGCAGAGTAGATTTAGTGTAATTCTTAAGGGCCCTAGTATTTTTGAAATGGTAAATTAGCACTAGCTTCAATCTAAAGCCACCAGCTGCATTAGTCCTTAGCAAGAGAGTCAGCCTGATCTTTGAAGTTTTGAAGCCAGCATTGACTTCTCTCTAACTCTGAAAATCCTAGAAGACACCTTCTTCCAATAGAAGGCTGTTTCATCTCTATTGAAAATCTATGATTTAATGTAGCCACCTTCATCAGTGATCTTAACTAGATCTTCTGGATAAATTGCTACAGCTTCTATATCAGCACTTGCTACATCATCTTGTACTTTGGTATTATGAAGGTGGCTTTTTTCCTTAAGCCTCATGAATCAACCTCTGCTAGATTCAGACTTTTTTTCTGCAGCTTCCTCACATCTCTTGGCCTTCATAGAACTAAAGAGAATGAGGGCCTTTCTCTGGATTAGACTTTGGCTTAAGGGAATGTTGTGGCTAGTTTGGTCTATCCAGATCACTCAAACTTTTTCCACATCAGCAATAAGACTGTTTTACTTTCTTATCATTTGTATGTTCACTTGAGTAGCACTTTTAATTTCTTTCCTTCAAGACCTTTTCCTTTGCATTCACAACTTGACTAATTGTTGAAAGCAAGAGACCTAGATTTTAGCCCATCTTGGCTTTTGACATGTCTTCTTCACTACGCTTAATGATGTCTAGCTTTTGATTTAAAGTGAGAGACAAGTGACTTTACTTAGATGCCATTGTAGGGTTACTAATTGGCCAATTTTAATGTTCTTGTGTTCTTAGGGAATAGGGAGGCCTGAGGAGAGGGAGAAAGAGAGGGAGGATGGCTGGTCAGTGGAGCAGTCTAAACATATACAACATCTAACAATAAAGTTCATTGTCTTATATGGGTTCAGCTCATGGTGCCCCAAAACAATTACAACAGTAACATCAAACATTACTGATCATAGATCGGCATGTAATAGTAATGAAAACGTGAAATATTACAAGAATTACCAAAATATGACACAAAGACACAAAGTGAGGACATGCTATTGGTGAAATGGTGCTGATAGACTTGCTTGGTGCAACCCTTCAATTTTTAAAAAACCACAATATTTGAGAAGCACAACAAAACATAGCACAATAAAATGAGGCATTCCTGTTGCCATCTCTACTCAGTTACCAGGAAAGGTAACGAGGAGCAGGTGTTGACATAAACTTAGCCTTAGTGTCCTGACAACTGCAGAGAGGCCGCAAGGGTGGGAGGGACTGTGTTTCTCCAGGGGTTGTTGTATCATGTGATTGTTTCTTCTGTCTCCCAGAGGGCTCACGCATTGGCTGCAAACATTTTTCTTTCTGGAATCTGTTACCTCTTTCTTGTCTTGTCTTGACTTTACTTTTGTCTGTAATTCCCAGCCCCTCTTCTGTCAGGCCTGTGAGCAAGCCATTTCTGCCAGCTGTGTCACCCATCAGGACATGACTCCCACGGTGACTGAGAAGTGGCTGCCAGGTTGTTGCTTGTTCTTGTCTTTCCTAAATTCCTGCCTGCAAGAAATTTCCTAAATGTTTGCTTACTACCATGATAATGAGAGCTCTGCTCTCTGCTGTCTGCTGTCCCTGTTTGGACCATAAATACTTTCATAAGCTTTTACTACCTTCTTCTGTTTCTGAAGACTGATCATGAACTAAATGTCAAACTTCTTATAATTCAATAATTAGTTTTTCAAAATTAAATAGATTTGTGAGTCACTTGTGTTTCTAATTCTGATTGAGTAGGGTAGTGGTGTTGGTGGGAAACATTGAGCTAAGAAAGGGATCAGATTCTAGAACTTTAGTTCAGTTATGACCCCCAAAGAAGACAATGTCCAGGCAAGGACACTCAAAAATCATGAGTCGCCATACTTGGTCTAAGTCAGATGCTACATAAGAAAGTGAAATGAGATACGAAATAAATTTAATTTTCCATCATCAGTGGGGCTTGGAAGTTGGGATTGTGTGCAGCAGTCTTTCCTGACTTCTGCGATAGTCTGATTAGTTTCACTTATTTGTGTAAGTAGAATTGTTTTGCACCACTCATGGTACCTAATACCGTAACTTAACCAAATGGCACCACAAATATCTTCTGGTGAGTACAATGTGTTCTTCAGGGCAAAAGACAATGATTGTTGATTCCATCCAACCTACCCAATTGTATAATTACCAGTGGAGGTTTTATTAGAAAGTAGTATTTTGGTTGCTTGTAATGGAAACTCTATTAGTACCATCTTAAGGGGAAAAATTAATTTTGGGGTTCATGCAATCAGAAAGTTTCTAGGTGAATTTAGCTTCTGAAAAATGCTTAGATACTGGACACAAATGAAACCTTTTTCTCTCTTCTCTTTCAGTTCCCTCCCTCTCTCTCTCTGACCCTTCCCTCCCCCTTCTGCCCTCATTCCCTTCTCTCAGTGCACTTCTGTTTCATTCTACTCTATATTTCTCTCTGTTTGTCTCTTCCTTTCTCTTCAAATCTCTTTTCTATCTCTGTCTGAAAGACCTCCTCCCCATTAATATATTTGATAGTTTTCTGTCTTTCTTCGATTTGCATTTTCCCTTATATCCATTTCTCTGAATTGCTGTTTCTTTTTCTCTCTGTGACTCTCTCTTACATATATATATGTGTGTGCGTATATATATATGTGTGTGTGTGTGTGTGCATATATAATTTATTATCTGTCTCTTGGGTTGTCTCTCTGTCCAACTCTTTTCCTCCCTGCCATCTCTCTACTGGCCTGTGTGCCTCACTGCCATTTTTTCCCTGTCATTCCTTCCGTCCATTGTCTTTTTCTTTGTCTATGTTTTATGTTTATGTTGTTTATTTCCCTGCATCTTTCAGTCTGTTTCTCTTTGTGTGTATGTATTTCTTGGTCTCTTGCTTGTGTTCTCTGTGTAGGTCTCTTTGAGTTCAGCTTTTTTCCTATTTATTACCCTTATTTTTTCCTATGGAAGTCAAACATTTCCTACATGGCTATGAAGATGGACATCTCATATTTTCAGCTCATCATCTGAATAGCAACAGATCAAACATGTCAGCTCCATTTTGATAATTTGAAGAAAGCTTAGCTTGAGTGGCATTCCAGTTTCTCAACCAATCACTTCAGCCATGGGATGTGGGACTCTGATTAGCCAGGCCTTAGATTTGAACCCACTTCTGTGTCAGGAATACAGATTTTCTTTTTCCTAAACAAAGGTGGAAAAAGAACAAGGCTGGATACGTAATAATAATAGTGGAAATAAAAATAATAACTATCATAATCTATTATACAAGGCTTTTATATATGAAGTCTCTCTCTCTCTCTCTCTCTGTTTCTCTGTTCCTTTTCACATTAAAAAATTCAGAAGATGCACCCTTTAAGTAGAATATGTGTAGTTCTTATACAACTGAAGCTTCATTTGTCCCATTCTAAAATGAGAAAATTCCAAATTATAAAAACCTTCAACTCCAGGAACTCTGGTGATATGAATTTCTCCTTAACTGCTTTGAACATGGCTCTCATTGGTCCTACAAACTATGATGAAATAATAGACGAATCTACCTTTAATACAGGTGGAAATAATAACATAACCACAATGAAACCACAATCAACTATCACTTCTGCCCAATGTGATGAGGTATTCGAAAGGCTAGGTGAAATCTGTTGCCCACTGCTCTTTCATGGGGATGTAATCTCTTATGGAGAAAGAACGAGTCACTAGGACACAAATGCAAAAGCAGCTGGAGTTATGTAATAGGGCACTCCTCACAAACCATCCCCAACATGTGTCTGCTACTACTGACTACTTTGGAGGGAGTCATCAAGGAAAATATGGTTGGCAAAATTAGGGCAGATATCAATGTCATTTGAGATTTGTCATGTCCATGTGAGTCTCTTTGGTTATGAACTTTTTCAGGTATAGATCCCCAAGAGGCTCTGTTATTAAGGTTTTCTAGTGAGGAGTCAATAGCAGCTTAGCTCTTGGAGTCCTGCCCCTATTTAAGGTTTAAATAATCAGATTGGACAATTATGAAATACTAGATCCTACCTATCTACAACTTCAAATGTGTGGGAGTATCTTGCCTTTAGCGTCTTCCACACTTTTTAGTTTACATCACTGGTTTTATTTAATAACAGAAATAACAGAAAGCCATCAGGGGAAGGAGGAATTATCCTTGATTTGTCACATTCTCAATTCCACATTCAGCCAGTTGGTGAATTCTATCAATTGAATGATAAAATACTTCTCAACTTAGTCCATTTTATTCATCTTCTTTGTAGCCACTTGACTTTAAGATACTGCCATTTTCCTCCTGAATTGTTGAAATAGCCTCCCACCTCATCACCCTACTTCCTTCTTGATTCCTACAGTTCATTTTCCACACAACTGCTAGAAATGTTTATAAAACTTAATCTATACCACATCTATATCATGATTAAACACCTCACATGTTTTCTTATAGCATCTAGAATTAAACCTAGATTTCTTACCTGGCTAATCAAATCTTCTGCCTGGCTAATGAAATCTTCTGTGATCTGCTCTTTGCCCATAATACTGAGTTCACTGTCTACCTTTTAACTGTTTCATTTTATTAGTTTGGGTAACACCAGCTGCTATACAGAATAAAGATAAAAATTTCAGGGTACTAGCTAAATAGACATTCTCTTCTTATTCACATAACAGTCCATTGCCAGATTGCTAATAGTCTAGGTATTTTTCTCCATATAGTGACTCAGGGACCCAGGCCCTTCACATGTTGTGATTCTGCTCTTTTACTGGACTTTCTGCCCTCTGCTTCCAATGATGAAAGGCAAAAGAGAGAGGGTGGAGAAGGCACACTTATTACTTAATTCCTTGGTGTGCCAGCAACACACTTTACTTTCAGTCACATTTCATGGTGAGCACTAGTGATGTGACCCCATCTAGATGAAAAAGCGTGAAAGTGGAGTCCTTACTTGGACTGCCATTTCTGAGCAATATTGCTAAGCAGGAGGAGGAGTGAACAAATTTTGGTGGAAATCCAGCCATCTCTGCCACTGACCTCATTTCTGTTTTTTTTTAACATTTCAGGTTTGGTCTACATTAGGGTGGTTTCTTCTGCCCGGAATATTTCTCTACCTGATTGTTATACGTACATTATCTTATTTCTAGCTCTTTATGTTATTTATGTTTCAGCTTAAATATAACCTAAGATTTTCCTGATGACCAAATTTGGAGTTGCCACTCAGTTACTCTTTATTAAATATTAATTTTCTTCATATCAGTTATCACATTTGTGAAAGCCATATATTTAATTGTAAGACCTGGTAGTTGAACAATTATTTTTAAAAGTCAGTTGCAGTTGAGAATAATTAGAATGATTTTTAAATATATAATATGGTAAACATTTTATTTTAACTTAAGTAAATACATGTACAAATGTATATTTGTTTGGCAATATGTTGACATAGAACCAAGGCTTCACTTGGTGAATGTGTCTGTTGTTTAGAGTTTTAGGTTATCTTAAATGCCTAAACAACACCCATAACAAACTTTCTATCATATCAAATTTTAGTTTTTTAAAAAGTTTATGAGAATTTAGAGTGAAACATTACAAAGAATTCTGAATTTAGAAACCTTTTAGATTTCACCCCATTTTCTCCATTTAAAAGTTATTTTACCAATTTCTAATTTAATAATTTTATTAAACAACTTATCTTTATTATTTCCAAAGCATTTATTTAAGAACTTAAAATTTCCCTTTTAAAATTCATACTTAATTCATAATGAAATATTTACTTTTTTAAATATATAATTACAATAACCAGTCAATAGAGATGAACAGGTTTGTGAGCAAATGCCAGCAACTTTTGGTAAACATTAAACTCAACTAATGGAAGCAGAAATATACAGGAAGGCCAAAGAACAGCTGTGAGCTATTGGCATGTCATGGGCATCAGCTTGTTTACTGAAGAAATGAAATATGCCAGTTGAACCAATAAATCAATTCAATGAAATTGTCTATTGTATCTGGTCATTTTGTTGTTCACTTAATTGATCATAATATAAACATATCTCTTATTTTTCTGGTTTCTGTCCATCTATTGATCTACAATTATCTATCATTATCATTTATTCATCTATTTATTTAGAGTATAAAATCAAAAGAGACACCTTGTCTATTTTGTTCAGCAATATTCTAAGTACCTAGAACACTGCTTAATAAATAAATATTAAGTAGGTGCTTAATAAATATTTGCTGGTTGACTACATGATGACTTTTGCTTCAGGAATTCACCTGTTTCTGAAATCTTTCCTCCTTTCTTGGGAATGTTTTGGTACTCCTGTGCCAATATCACACATTATTATTTTATAATATACTTTGATGTCTAGGGTGCCCTCTTCCTCGTTCGTGATTTTCCTTTGCAAAATTTTCTTGGCTATTTTTGTCCATTAACACATATATAGTGGTAGTGGTGGTAATATTTTCATAAGGCAGAATTCCATCATCATTATTCAGTATTAACTTTTGTGTTTTCCACATTTCCCTTTTATGAATATGAAATGATGTTATTTAAAATGGTATTTAAAAAATCTTCAATATCGTATTTTCTACAGAAATACAATGCTTTATCACACAAGACCTTCAAATCAACAATCTCGCTACACACTCTTATCAATTGCATAGTCTACCTTTGAAATTATTTTGTGTATTTCCTTTGTACATAGTTACAACATTTGCTAAAAATGATAGCTTTTCATTCTCTTCAAACTTTATAGCTTCTTCTTTTCCTGTCTCTACTGCATTGGAAGGGACATACAATAAACAGCTAGTAGATGTTATAGCTGCCGTTCTTGTTTTGTTTTTGAGCCTACCAGATCTGCCAATATTGAAGTTCTTATTCTAAGGCTTTGTCTTAGGTCTTTTTAAGCAGAAACAAGAGAAAATAATTACTATCTAATTTCTATGAACCAGAGAAAACATGTCAAGAAGACATGGGTTCTCTATGGTATCCTATTCATTACTCAAAATGTAAGTTTCATATGGATTTCAAATATAGCTAACTCTTTGATGTTGCTCAAGTCTTCCATTCTGTTCTGGTTCTCCATGAAAAAATAAAGAGGCAATCAGTTACCCATTGGGACTCAGTGTGCTGAACAAAAATTCCCAAGAAGAAGATCAATTTCAGGGGCAATTGGGAGGAGGGTCTTCATGTCTTGGCCTTGAGGGCAAAGATGCTGAGGACTCTCTCTGATCAAGGTAATAATGATCACTGAAAACAGACACCCAGAATCCATATTCCTACATATAGTGCCAACTAGAGTAGGAGTTCAAGTCTCAATTTATTTATTTATTACAGAAGAGGGTGTTGAGTTACCATCAAAAAGATTTTATATTCTGTCTGTTCAAGTGGTAGACATGGAGTATTGAATAGCTACAGAGAACAAAATTTACCTTAGTTTATTTTGAGCAGAAAGGAGTTTATTACAGACCTTAACATAGCCTAGAGAATCATGAGGACAATAGAAGGAACTGAATCGGGCAACCAAGGAAACCACCTCCTCTTCTACAATCAGGAACTCACGCTGCTCAGAACAGCCGTATTCGGGAAGCTCCTCCATTTAGTAAGCCCCCAAAATCATCTGCTAAAATCTGCACCAGTAACAGACACCCTGCATGCTGCCTCTTTATATCCATGAAGTCAGTTATCAGACATGAAAATCTCTCCTAATTCTGGCACAGAAAATAAGGCACCCCTACACTGGTGCCTTTTCAGGTCAAAAAAGCCCCTCAGCATGTCCAAACTTTACCAGAATGCCTCTGATTGGCTAAATCTAAATGACATCAAATGCTATCCGGGAAACGTTCTTTTCAGTTGCACATCTTTTGCAGTACAGGAGAAATGCACCGGAAGAGGTTGAGAGGTATGTTTCGTGACAATCCACTACATATGGGAATAGGGACACTCAAACCTTCTCCTGCATTTTTCTTAGTAACACAATTTCCAGATCCAATCCTCTGCAATGGAAACTAGGAGGGATGGCATCATTACAGAATAGATAATGTACATGTCAATAATTTTTAGGCCCAATAGACCTTTTCTACTTAATATACCACCACCACCAACAACAAATTTTTGTTAATCCAGTGCCAAGGAGAAATAATTGACATGCCTGTCGCTTATTCCATATTTTAAGCTATTTTTATGGCTTGCTTTCTTTAATGAGTAATAAGCTCATTATCTCTTTTTAATCTTTCAAGACATAGGCTTTGGTTCAGTCTAGAGAAGCCAGCATTACCACAATGTCCCTTTCAGTCTGCTGTGGCCAGGAAGTTTCCAGAAAATCACAGGGCAATCCAAGTAGCTCTTCTACAATGTGTTTTTCTCTATGGTTTTACTTATTCCACAATATAACATTCTTTTTGTCTCTCAATAAACTTAAGTACACTAACTCCCTATCTGTTTCTCTAACATGCAGATTTGTTCCTTCCTTAGCAATTTTCACTTATGTTCTTGCCGTGTGGAGTGGTTTGCTATGGATTTTGAATAGCTGGCTTTTTCTTAGCATTCAGGTCTCTTTTCAAATAGAGTATTTCTAGAATAACCATTTCTAGTCACTCAACCTAAAGAAGTTCCCTCAAATCACTCCCAATTACTTTTGTTTTTCTCCTCAGAGAGCACTCATTATTATATGATAATCTTTCTTCATTTATTTGATTTCTTTGATAGCAGCAACCTTATTTGTCTCATAAAACATTGTCTCTCTAACTTAGATTATTACATAGCTTATATTATATAATAATATAAACAAAACCCATATAAATTAATCATTAGTACATTAATCTCCATTTTAGTCAGATGACACTGAACTAATCATATAGTAATTAATACACATGCTAAATAAGTAACTACTTCTATTTCAAGCTCTATCTCTTCTTTGCCACACTATCATGCCCTAGTTTCAAATTGTGCAGCAGATTTAGCCTCCTTCCTTCCCCAACCATGATCCTAGCTTTCCACACAACCATGACTCAGCCCCAACTCTACCTAATCCTTAGTGCCAAGCAGCCTCGTATCATCCCTACTTGTCCTTCGAACCAACCACACTTGGATAAGAGTTACCTCCATACCAAAGTAAAACCCAGTGTAAATAAGCCCCTTTCAAACACACACACACACACACATACACACACACACACACACACACACACACACACACACACACACACTTGGCTTTACAAACAAGATCCCAAACCTTTTCCTTTCATGGTTGGAAGTTTGAAATAATGTAAATAAGCAATTCTGCTCTAATTTCCCTTCATCCTCAGTATCAAACGGAAACCAAACCAAAACAAGTCAAATTACCATAACAGACAAAAATCTTTACATTAAAAGAGTAATTAATAATAAACACTTTAATATATTCTTTAAATAAGAGAAATCTTCGTTTCATCATGTTGGCAATCCTAGTGAAAAGCTGTACTCAAAGTTTAAAGGAAAATTATTTTTTAAAAGACTTCTTGATTTCAGCATCAAGTGTAAAAGGCAAAACCTTGTAAAATCATAAGATTTTTATTTAAACATGAACAATTAGCCAATAAAAGAATCTTTTCCTTATGAATATGAAATGGGGTACAGATTATTGGAGCAACCCTTTTTCTTTATGATATGAGTCATAATTAAAAAATAAACTGCAGTTTATATGGTTTGGCTGTGTCCGCACCCAAATCTCATCTTGAACTGCAGTTCCCATAATTCCCACGTGACTTGGGAGGGTTCCAGTCAGAAGTAATTGAATCAGGGGAGTGGGACTTTCCCATGCTGTTCTTGTAATAGTCTCACAAGATCTGATGGTTTTGTAAATGGGAGTTCCCCTGAACAAGCTCTCTCTTGCCTGCTGTCATGTAAGATATACTTTTGCTTCTCCTTTGCCTCCCACCATGATTGTGAGGCCTCCCCAGCCATGTGGAACTATGCGTCCATTAAACCTCTTTCCTTTATAATTTACCCAGTATTGGATATGTCTTTATTAGAAGCGTGACAACAGACTAATACAGCAGTTATCTCATGGCAGTTTATTAGGAATATCTTATTAGAATATGTTAAACATCTTCTCACACTATTAGTTCCTGTGAGGTCTGATTGTTAAAAAGAGCCTGGAACCTTCCTCCTCTTTCTCTTCCTTCATCTCTCGCCGTGTGGTATCTGCACATGCTGGCTCCCCTTCTTCCGCCACAAGTGGAAGCACCCTGAGGTCCTCATCAGATGCAGATGCTGGTGCCATGCTTCTTGTACAACCTGAAAATCATTAGCCAAATAAACTTTTCTTTATTAAAAAAGAATATATTGAACATCTAAACTGATGCAATGTAATAAAACATATTTAATTTAATCCTATCATCATTTTTTCTTTTCAATGTGTTCTTTGGGGTTAGCCAATTCCTTACCTTGAATGAGCATTCAGGAAGGCTTCATAACCTCTCTGATAATGTTTAAGTAAAAAAAGAAAGGTATTCAATTAGTCCCATTCAATAGTCAAATTTCTATATTTTATTCAAAACGGAGGCCTCACACTCTTGCCTATTCAAGAGTGTTGCAGATGAGAAGCTCACAAACAGTGAAGGTGCAAAATTAGCTTCTTTTGTTTCTACAGCTTGTGCTTCTATTTCTTCTACCTGATATAGTTTCAGACCCCTGCGAGTTGAGGCATGGAGAGCAGAAGAGGACAGTTTTTACTTGCCTGATATTTCATGAGCTTGAATTGAATGCTCTAGGGAAAACAGATGCATAAGAAGACTCCATTGTGAACATTTTCATGAATTCTTTGAGAATCCACACTCCCCTAGTTCAGAGCCCGGTGAGGGCTACTGCATCTCCATTCTCATGGAATTCTCAGTCACTAGGCACTCTGGAATACTAGCAGCCTCTTTCTTCTATGATCTGTTTCTCTTGGAGGCTGCCTTGAGATACTAAGACAAGCAGACCCCAGACCTTTCCCTTACTTTTGGTCTACGTCGATTGCCAAGGAAAGATGAATCTCTTTCCTTCTGGAAGTCAGGCAAATCCTAGTGTAGCTACTTGTTCTTTTCTCTGCTTGAAAATGGTACGTGAGTGTTAGGAAGGCAAGAGTGTGGTCCCTTTAAATGATAGGGAAGCAGGGAGCAGAAGTGCTGGGTAGAGGAGGGTATGGTCCCTGGCTAGGGCTCCATCCCCACGGACCTAGGTGAGAACAGGCATTCCCTGTCCAAATGTTGCATTTCCCAAGACCACTCTGGCCTGCCATGCCCCATCCTCTGCCTATAAAAACCTGAGACCCTAGCAAGGCAGGGACAGAAGCTGCTGGACGTTGAGAGAGAGCACATCAGCAGAGGAACACACCCACTGGGGCTTCAGGAGCTGTAAACATTCACCCCCAGACACTGCTGTGGGATCAGAGCCTCACAGCCTGACCATCTGTATGCTCCCCTGGAGGTCTGAGCAGCGGGCACTGGAGAAGAGAGCCACATCGCACTCCCTGCAAGGGGAACAAGGGAATTTTTTCTGTTTCAAAAACATGTAGCTAAGTTGACTCTTGGACTTCAGCATTCTTCAGCATACCCCAGGTACCAATCTACTGAATTGTCCAAACTCTGGAATATGTATGTACATTAAACTCTCCAAGAGGTCTTTTCATAAGAAGGTTTTTAAAATTTGAAATTCATTATTTATTAAAAATATTTTTGGCTGGGCATGGTGGCTCACACCTATAATCCCAGCACTTTGGGAGGCTGAGGCGGGCAGATCACCTGAGGTCAGGAGTTCGAGACCAGCCTGGCCAACATGGTGAAACCCTGACTCTACTAAAAATACAAAAATTAGCCAGGTGTTGTGGTGCATGCTTGTAATCCCAGCTACTTGGGAGGCTAAGGCAGGAGAATCACTTGAACCTGGGAGGCAGAGGTTGCAGTGAAATGAGATTGCACCACTGCACTCCAGCCTGGGCAGCAGAATGAGACTCTGTTTAATACACACACACACACACACACACACACATATATATATTTGAGAAAACTGCTTTGTGCCAGAAAGTGTTGGAGGTACTAAAGATACAACAGAAATAAGGCAGAAAAAATTATTCCTGTCCTCATGGGACGTATATTTTAGTGGTGTAGGAACAGATCATAGACAACATTTTAAAAGGTACATTAGTTAGTGTATTAGTCATCTGTTGTCACAACAATGCTGCATTACAAACAACACAAATCACCAGTGGCAGATAACAATATGCTTATATGCCTGGGTCAGCTAGGTGGCACTGCTAACCTTGGCCAAGCTCACTTATGTATCCAAGGTGGACTCTTCTTCGCATGCCTCTCATCCTCTTCTTAGGGCCGGTGGACTTGCCTAGAATTGTCCTTATGGCAACGCAGAAGCAAGCAAAATGTTAGCTCCAATACATACGCCAATTTCAAGGCCCAGAGTGTGTGACATTTGCTAATAACTCCTTGGCTGTAGAGGAACACATGGTTAGGCCTAATGTTGAGAGGCAATTCAAGTCACCCATCCATAATGGGAGAACATAGTAAAGTTAGATTGCAAAGGGCGTGGATATAGGGAGGGATGATGAATTAGGATCATCATCATAATCTATTACAGTCCACTTTTATTGCTACAATTTTTCATATTCTTCCAATATGAAAAATATGCTTACCCCTAATCTGGGATCACCAGAAGTCTCATGCAATCATGGCATCAGCCATCAAGTTCAAAATCTCACAATCAGGATGCAGGTCAGAATGCAGTTCTCCTTAATCCAGAAACATACTGATAGAGCTGGAGCCCTGTCATCTCGGACAAACACCGCCACTTTAAATTCCAGCTCCCTTTCTAGCCTCATGCATTTCAAGGAAATCACTTCTTTTCTAACTACAAGTAGCCAGAAAGAGCAGACAGTAAAACACAGATAAGACAGTTCGGGCACAGAGAAAGGTGGGGGGAAGGTCCCCTGGGTAACTGCCAAACTTCACCCTCATACAACGGGCCCTAAAACAGTGGGCCTTAATAAGCACATTCCTTTCCCTTCAGGTGCACTAAGATAGGGAAGCTAAAAGCAGACTCTGGGGATATGCCTGCAGCTGCAAAAAAGATGTATGGGAACAGACACACAACTCTCCCTCCTAGATAAGCACAACAAAGAGACACAGAAGCAGTCCAAGCCTTGGATAAACTCTCCCACTCTGAATCCTTAAAAAACTTAGTCTATAAGAGAGCGTGCCTCTGACCTAACTCGGCCAGAAGGCACCTCTCAGGTTTGTTTTCTCTAAAATAAGTGTGCCGTGACTGGTGAGCCACCTTTTCATGTGTTTCTTTCCTGTTTCTTTCTTTCTTTCTTTCTCTCTCTCTCTCTCTCTCTTTCTTTCTTTCTTTCTTTCTTTCTTTCTTTCTTTCTTTCTTTCTTTGTTCGTTTTGAGATGGAGTCTCACTCTGTCGACTGGAGTGCAGTGGCGCCACCTCGGCTCACCACAACCTCTGCCTTCTGGGTTCAAGTGATTCTCCTGCCTCAGCCTCCTGAATAGCTGGGACTACAGGCGCGTGCCACCATACCTGGCTTATTTTTTGTATTTTTAGTAGAGACACACGGTTTCACCATGTTAGCCAGGATGGTCTCCATCTCCTGACCTCATGATCCACTCACCTCAGCCTCCCAAAGTGCTGGAATTACAGGCCTGAGCCACTGCACCCGGCCTCCTCTTTCGTTAATTCTAAGACATACAAGCCACAACAATAGCAACAAAGTTGTCTTTCCATCAGCACTCAATACACAGTGCTGAAACTGGGTCAGGATAATGATAGTAAACATGCCCATTCAAAAACGGAAAGAATGGGGGACTGAACAGTCACTGATCCCTGGCAATTCTGAAATTCCACTGAACAAATGCTGCCTTGCACATCCCCTCTAGGGGTGGACAATATTCCTTGGTTAGCCCCTGACTCCTTTCCTTGGGAGTTTCTCATTAGTCTACCTGTCCTCAGAATTCTATGCTCTTCCCTTTGAAAAGTACTTCCTTTTCTGTTTCCCTCCTTGGCCACCTTTAAAGAGCACATAGGATGATCGGCACTTTGAACAACTTTCTCAGCCTGTTTCTTTTACATAGAGAGTTGCAGATCCATTGCCCTTTTACATTTTAAACAACCTCAGTCTCTTTCAGTCCAGACTGGTGGCAGTTTTACCAATACAGCTGAATAAAAAATGTTGTGAGCTTTTTATATATTTAATCCCATGATACTCTGAATGCCAACAGCCTCACCAACAATTTTTTGGGAGACACAAAGCTCTTTCTAGACTTAATCACTTAGCACAAAAGAGCTTTAAATTAACTCTATTTAACCATATATTCATAAATATCAAGGAATATATAGTAAAGAAAAAGATTTACAATCTAAAAAAGAATATGAATGTGGAATCTTTTAGATACGGAATCTAAATAAAAGAAATCAGAGTACATCATCTAAAATTAAAACTTAATGGGTGAATTTAACAGCAGACTGGTCACAGGCAAATGCAGCAGTAGTTAACTTGAAGACAGTTTAATAGAAAGCATCTACTCTGAAGCATAGCACAAGATAAAATGAAGAAGAAAGATATCAGCATCAGAGACATGTAGGCATTATCTAATGGTCAAAGATACTTACAATTGTACATAAAAATAAGGGATAAAGAGTGCAGCAGAGAAAACAAAAAGATAATGGCAGAAAATTTTCCAAAACTGATTAACGATGTCAAAACACAGATACAAGAAACTTATCAACCTCAATCATAGACTAGTGAAATAAAACCATATGTAAAAAAATAATAATAAATTGCTCAAAACCAAAGATAAAGAGAAAATGTTTAAATCAGCCAGAGACGAAAGTGTCTTGTCTTTGGAAAAAAAGAACAAAAAAGGTTAAGGCTGACTTTCAATAGAAACTTTGGAATCTGGAGGAAAATGGAATGAAACCTTAAAATACGCTAAGAAAACTTCTACCCCTAACACAAACCTAGAATTCTAAAATCAGAAAAACATCCTTCAACAACAAAGCTGAAGAGGATCTTTCTGTGACGGCCAAGTTGGAATAAGCCCACTATAGTCTGTATCTTACACTAATTATAATGGGAAACATCAGGCAGAATGTAAAAGGCAGCTATCTGTGGACCTTGAAAAGTACAAAATAGCATGAGTATTAGGGAGGGAAGTCAGAACTTGGAGAAATAATAGTAAGGGAGTGAGTTCCTAGGGTTTTTCCTCTTTTGTCTCCTGGCTTTGACTTGAAGGTAACTCCAGACATGTAGTGTGCAGTGAGAGCAGGGAGAAGAAACTCCAAGAGACACCTCCTCTTTCTGTACAGATTGCAAAGGGGGTCTCCAGAGAGTGTGTGGAGCAATATTCCTTTTTTGGAACTTTACTTCTTTTTTCACTTCTAGTTCTTCCCTGAGTGTGGTCAGAATCAGGAAGCTGTACTAAGGCTGCTGTGGTGGAACCATCAAAAACTCTGAAAGAAAAATCCCAAAAGAACTAGGGAAAAGGAACCCTGTGGCCTAAGGAATATGGGGTATTTCCCTTTATATTTTTGCTCAATTTTCTCTTCCCACTTTGCCTCAAGGGAAGCCCCAGTTGTGCAGAATCACATGACAATACTTTGAGAGAAACCAACCTTTCTGGCCAGAGGAACTGGTAAGAGGGACCTATGGGACCTGGAGAGTGTGGGAAAAATCTCAGAGGAGAGAGTGAGAGAAAGGGATCCCTAATTCTATACATGAACCATCATAACTCTCAGGGTCTTGGGCTCCCCAAGCCGCACGAGGGGGACAGTTTCACACTAGCATATCAAAGCCATTAGGAGCTGAACTATGATACAAATATCACAGTCCTAGTGCCAGACTAGTGGCTGAGAGGCCCAGGCACAGGGCAGGCACGAACAGCATGGCAAAGTCTTTGAAAACTATAATGACGTTAGAACTACGGCGCACAGAAAGCGAGATACAGCTTGCATTCTAAACTTGATGAGATTAGTTCTTGCTAATACAAAAAATTCAACCTTCTACTAGAATTTTAATGGGACCCAGAGCTCACAGTGTAATACAATCATGCACCACATAACAACAGTTCAGTCAAGGAAGGAACATATATAAGTTGGTCATCACGAGATTATAATGGAGCTGAAAATTTCCTATCCCTATATAGTAGCCATTGTAACATTGTAGCATAATGCATTACTCACACGTTTGTGGTGATGCTGGTGCAAACAAATCTCCTGTGCTGCCAGTCACATAAAAGTATAGCAGTAAAATTATGTACAGTACACAATACTCAGTAATGACAACAAATGACTAAGGTACTGGTATATGTATATACTATACTATATACTATATAGACGCCCTCTTTTTTCAACCATTATAAGATCTAGTCTTTTTCTGTTTCGGAGGACTGCACCAGCTAAGTGCATTTTATTGTTATTTTAGAGTGTACTCTTCCTTATAAAAAGAAAATTAACCATAAAACAGCCTCAGGTAGATCCCTAAGGAGGTATTCCTGAAGAAAACATTGTTATCATAGGAAGTGACAGCTCCATGTGTGTTTGTGTTATTGCCCCTAAAAGCCTTCCAATGGGACAAAATGGGAAAGTGCAAGACAATGATATTGATGATCCTGACCCTGTGTAGGCCTGAGCTAACGTGTGTGTTTGAACCTTAACTGTTTAGAAAAAAAAAAGTATAAAAAGTAAAAGGTTTAGAAAAAAGTTTAAACAATAAGGATATAGAGAAAGAAAATACATTTTGTATAACTCTAAGTGTGTTTGTGTTTTAAGCTAAGTGTTATTACATGAGTCAAAAAGTTTATAATAATTCAGAAAGTTTATAAAGTAAAAAGGGTACACTAAACTAAGGTTAATTCATCATTGAAGAAAGACTTTTTTTTCTGTAATTTAGTGTAGGCTGTGTACAGTGTTTACGAAATACTTAATGGTGTACAATAAAGGCCTAGACCTTCATTCACTCACCACTCACTCGCTGATTCACCCAGAGCAACTTCCAGTCCTGCAAGCTCCATTCATGATAAGGGCTCTATACAAGTGTACGAGTTTTTATCTTTGACAATTTCACAACACAATATAAAACAATTTGCTTAGATCCAGATTTGTTTTAGTCAATGTAAAATTCAAGAGAAAACAATTTTGATTAAGCTACTCAAAACCACACTTTCACACTCTTGCCTTTTTCAATGCTTATCTGCAGGGGTGAAATCTGGACCAAACATATCCTTCTGAGCTGCAGGATACAAAAGACTTATTTATTATTTTTAATTCTCTATTTTGCCACTTTCAGTAACTCACTATACCAATGATTCACTTCCCCTCTCTCTTTATTTTCTTCTCAGGGTATTTTGTTTTTCCATGAAATACCTACTTCTTCCTCATTGTCTTGCTTTGTGTCATACACAAGAGGCCTACCACATTCAATTTCCAATCTTTACTAACTTTGATTTTTATAACTTGCCACAAAACATCACTGGTGATGTTCTTCTTGAGGCTTTGCCACCATAAAACTTCTTCACAAAGAGTCCCATGGTTCAAAAGAAGATATTTTTGCTATTTTTCTCTATCCTGCTCATACACATATGCCTCATATAACCTTTTAATCTTGAACTTAGACTAGGTCCTTTAATGAAGCTGCTATGGAGCAGAATCACCATAATTCTTAACAACAATTAATTTTTTCCCTAAAGTCCACATCTTTGAAGGGAATTGGATCTTAAATTTATATTAGTAAAAAGGATCTTCACCTCTCTTAAATTTAAATACTTCATATGTCTTGAAAGATACATTTCTCAGAGTAAATTCAATTTGTATTTCTTATCCTGGATTTCTATCCAGAAGAGCAATCAACAACTTGTATTGCTATTCTTCAGCTCATGATTGAAGAGTAAGATTTTCATAATTGAGGATTTAATAGTAGCGTTTCTTTTAGACTGACACATAACTTAAGCACAGAGTTGCATAAACATGTATATAGAGTTTAATAAATAATTAATGACACAGACTAAAAAGCTTATCCAGCTTCCCAGAAGCCCTCTGTGTGCACCTTCTACCTACCATCTTTCCCTTGGAGGAAAACATTACTCTGATTTTGTGCTAATTATTTACTTTTTAAAAATGTGTGTATGGTCTTAAATTTTATGTAAATAAAATAATTTATTGGATTTGTTTCTTTCCTTTGATAAATATTGCTTTTACGAGATTCACCATTTTTTTTATGTGTAGTTGTGCATACACACGTTAGGATGGCTATTATTCAAAAGGAAAAAAGAGAATATAAGTGTTGTTGTGGATGTGGAGAAATTGGAACGCTTGTGCCTTGCTGGCGGGAATGTAAAATGATGCAGCTGTTGTGGAAAAAGGTAGAGTCATATCTCAAAAACTTTAAACATACAATTACCATATGATGCCATGATTCCACTTCTGGTCATATATCCAAAAAAACTGAAAGCAGAGACTTGAACATACATTAGTATACCCATGTTCATAGCACAAACAGTAACGGTAGCCAAAAGGTGAAACAAACAAACAAACAAATCTCCATCATTGGATGCCTGGAAAAGCAAAATGTGGTATAAACATACAATGGAATATTATTCAGTCTTAAAAAGGAAGGAAATTCTGAAAATATGCTATAACTCAGATGAAATGTAAAGACATTATGTGAAGTGAAATAAGCCAGTCACAAAAAAGGCGGATATTGTATTATTCTACCTTATGAAACCACCTTGAGTGATCAAACAGAGACAGAAAGTAGAATGGTGGTCACTAGTGGCTGGGAGGAGGAGGGAATAAGGAGTTGTTTATGGTTACAGAGTTCCAGTTTGGGATGAGGAAAAGTTCTAGAGATCTGTGGTGGTTATTGTGTACAATAGTGTGAATATATTTAATGCCACTGAACTGTACACTTAAAAAGGTGAAAATGATGAGTTTTAGTTTATTTATATTTTCCCACAATTAAGGAAAGAAGGAAGGAAGAAAGAAAGAAAGAGAGAGAGAAAGAAAGAAGGAAAAGAAAGAAAAGAAAGAAAGAAAGAAAGAAAAGAAAGAAAAAGCTTAATGCTTAGAATTGGTGTAAAGATGTATAAGACTAACAAGTTTAAGCAAAAATGATGTTCAGTGTAAGCCACACTTGGTTCCCAGAGTTTGGGAATTGAAACTGGAGTCCCAAGTACAGATTATATAAGTCATACCCTTAGATAACATTATTTGAGGCCTATGTATGCCATAAAATAGGTCTAAGTGTTTTATATGTATTACATCATGGGTCCTCTCAACAACCTACTTTGTGGTTACTAAAGGATTACATTGCATGTAAATATAAAATACTATATTAATGAAATCTTAGTTAATCTACAAAGTTCCACAAAATAAAAACAACCTAAATTATAATGTTGTCAATAATCATAATTTATGAGCTTGAGCACGGAGTAAATTTAGATTGTGTTTTTACTACCACCAAATGATGCACATCCATTTACCTAGTTCACAGTCTCTATCTCTCCTTTCTCATTTATGTTAATCCAAATAGTGATACACACAGTGTTAAGAGTTAAAGAAAGAGGAAAGAAACACAAAAAGTGGCTCAACAATCAACGACAGGTTTATTTTGGAGAATAAACCTGAGAGGGCTTCTGGCTGATTTCAGTCAGGAGCCCTCTCTCTTACAGACTAAGCGTATTTAAGGGTTTGGGGCGAAAGGCTTGAATGTTTCTGTGTGGAGAAGAAGTTTATTGTGGGGTTGGAATGTCTCTGGTTGGAGGGGAAGCTATCTTGGGGTTGGCATCTCTCCGGTCAGAGGGGAGGTTATCTTGGGGCTGGTATGTCTCTGGTTGGAGAGGGGTTTATCTCAGGGTTGGAATGTTTCTGGTCAGAAGTATCATTTGTGGTTTAAGGTCATGCTGCCATTAGCCATTAGGCTGATGCCCTTTGGGTTGGATTTAGGTGGCTTTTGATCAAGGGCAACTTTAAAATGGTGGTGCTTGTCCAAAATGGCGATGCTCCTGCTCTGTCAATCCAGATCCTATAGTTATAAAAGGATGAGGATGGTGTGTTCTTTCTGGCTAATTCCTGTTGAGGGGGGTGTGGAGAGTTTTCTGGTCTCGGATTGACTGTAGGAGTAATGCCGTCTGTAGATGTTTTTGGGTAGTTGTCTGTGAAATGGCCATGATCCTGTTGGTTAAAAATCTTTGGAAAAGATTAATTAGGCAGGGTAAGAACGTTAGTCCTAGGCATATCATTAGGAGAGGGCCCAGGAATGGGGTGACTCATGCTATGATTTTGTTCCCAAACCAAGAATCTATTTGGTTGTGTTGGTATTCCCTTAGCTTTTTAGCCCTTTCTTTAAGTTTTTCAGCAGCATCTCTTACTAGGCCCGACTGGTTGAGATAGAAACAACTTTCCTCACCCAGTTAGAGGCAGATGCCCTCTCTTTCAACCATTATAAGATCTAGTCTCTGTCTGTTCTGGAGGACTGCACCAGCTAAGCAGTCTAGTTGGTCTTGGACTCTTACAAGGCTTCAGGCTATACCTTCTAGAGATCCCTGTAGTTCTGTTGAAAGAACCTTAAAGTATGTGGCTAATCCACCTGCTCCCTCTGTAAGTCCAGAGGTTATACCCAAGGCAGCCATTAAGGAATGATGTGGATGGCTCTCCTTTTCCTAACATATTGGATGGATGGGATAGACAAAGATTGATTAGGAGGAGCTAGTCCAGTGGAAGGAGAAAGATAAACTAGAGAACACGTTCCGGTCCGGTTGGTGGGGAGACAAAGATATGTGTTGGTGCCACACAAAAAGAACAAGCCTTCATCGTAAATACAGGCAGAGATATGGAAAGAGAATAAGTGTGTTAAAGATTGGATGTTGTTTCTTTCCTGCAGTTCATTATTCCAGATGGACAAGGAGGAGGCCAGGGAGACATCCACTATAGTAGAGATATAGCAAGAGTTGTTTTTTACACGTTTAATGTGATCGGATGTTGCATCATTGATATTGAGCCATGGAAAAAGGTGGGAACCAGGGACAGCACAAGTTAGTTCAGAGGCATTGGTTAAGGGATAGGCTGTAAAACAAGCCAGATGCAGAAACGTTCCATTTGCTTCAGGTGATAACTTGGTAATCAGCTTTGTTAGTCTGATGGTTAGAGGGGTATTTAATAATGATAGTGCGGTTGCATTGGTTAGGTGTGAAGGATCCTACAGGGAAATTTCCTTCAGAAGCTGAAAAGCAAAGTGAGGCTTATTGTAAAAGGGGGGTGTGTTTAGTTATAGGCCCTCCAATGGGGGGGCCTTGGGGCTTGAAGCATTGTAGGGAGTTGTAATAGGTTTGAAATAATTTGTTAGCCTGATTGGCCCTGGAAGTGGGATAATCGCCGACCACAGTCGCAGTGCAGTGCTAATATTATCAATTATTAGTGTCTCTGCAACTTCAGTATCTCTTATTATTCTAATTCTACTAACTATTCTCGAGTTCGCTGTCGCTCTTATTCAAGCTTATGTCTTCACACTATTAGTAAGTCTTTATTTGCATGATAATACATAATGACCCGCCAAACTCATGCCTACCATATAGCTGTACCTAGCCCTTGACCACTAACAGGAGCTCTCTCGGCTCTCCTAATAACATCTGGCCTGGCCATATGATTTCACTTTAATTCTACCACTCTTTTAACTTTAGGCCTACTAACCAACACACTGACTATACATCAGTGATGACGTGATATTGCCCGAGAAAGTATATTCCAAGGCCACCACACAACAATTGTCCTAAAAGACCTCCGATACGGGATGCTTCTATTTATTACCTCAGAAGTATTCTTCTTCGCTGGTTTTTTCCTGGGCATTCTATCACTCCAGTTTAGCACCGACCCAAGAATTAGGAGGACATTGACCCCCAACAGGTATTCTTCCCCTGAACCCTTTAGAAGTATCTCTCCTAAATACGTCTGTATTACTTGCATCACGAGTTTCAATTACTTGAGCCCATCACAGTCTAATAGAAGGTAACCAAAAACAAATAATTCAAGCAGTACTTACCATGATCCTCTTAGGAGTCTATTTCACCCTTCTACAAGTTCAGAATATTTCGAGGCCCCCTTTATTATCTCTGATGGAATCTATGGCTCAACATTCTTTATAGCCACAGGCTTTCATGGACTTCATGTTATTATTGGATCAACAATTCTCACCACCTGCCTTCTCACCAATTAAAATTTCATTTTAGGCCCAGCATGGTGGCTCATCCCTGTAATCCCAGCACTTTGGGAGGCCAAGGTGGGCAGATCACCTGAGGTCGGGAGTTCGAGACCAGCCTGACCAACATGGAGAAACCCCATCTCTACTACAAATACAAAATTAGCCGGGCATGGTGGCACATGCCCTATAATCCCAGCTACTCGGGAAGGCTGAGGCAGGAGAATTGCTTCAAATGATCGTCCCTCTTCATCCTCCCAAAGTGCTGGGATTACAGGTGTGAGCCACCACACCAGCCCAGCTTTGTTAATTTTTCTGTTTGCTGGTTTTCTGTTTCATTGTTGTCTGGTTTCATATTTATTAATTCCTTCTTTCTTTTATTTGTCTTTGCCACATTTAATCATTTCTTTTTTTTAATTTATTTTACTTTAAGTTCTGGGATACATGTGCTGAACGTGCAGGTTTGTTACATAGGTATACATGCACTATGGTGGTTTGCTGCACCTATCAATCCATCATCTGGGTTTTAAGACCTGCATGCATTACGTATTTGTCCAATGCTCACCCTTCTCTTTCCCTCCACTCCCCAACTGGCCCCGGTTTGTGATGTTCCCCTCCTTGTGTGTTCTCATTGTTGAGACATGTGAGACTTGGATATATATTCTCATTGTTCAACTCCCACTTATGAGTGAGAACATGCGGTGTTTGATTTTCTGTTCCTGTGTTAGTTTGCTGAGGATGATGGTTTCCAGCTTCATCCATGTCCCTGCAAAGGACATGAACTCATTCTTTTTTATGGCTGCATAGTATTCCATGGTGAATATGTGCCACTTTTTCTTTATCCAGTCTATCATTGATGGGCATTTGGGTTGGTTCCAAGTCTTTGCTTTTTAATTCCTTCTTTCTACCTTCTATCTTCTTTAGATTTAGTTTGCTTTCCTTTTTCTACCTTCTTAAGGTAGAAGCTCACACCATTGATTTTAAACTTCTCTTCAGTTATGATGTATACATTTAAAGTAACTAATTTCCCTTCAAGCACTCTTTCAGCTTTATCTCATACATTTTGATATAATGAACTTCATGATCATTCACTTAAAATATTCTCTAATTTTCTTTGTAATTTCCTCTTAGACCTATGGCTTATTTGGTAGTATGTTGATTAATTTCTGTATATTTAGGGGATTTCCAGGTTATCAGTTTGGTGCTGCTTTCTAATTTAGTTGAGGTATTTTTATTTTTATCTTTTTTGGTCAGAGAACATATCCTACCCAATTTGAATACTGTTGAATGTCTTGAGACTAAATTTGTGATCCAGTATGTTGTTCATCTTGATGGATATTTCATGTACACCTGAAATAATATGTATTTTGCCATCGCATATTCTAGTCTAATGTCTTATAAATGTCAATTAGGTTGATTTAATTATTAGTGCTATTTCATTGTTTAATATATTTTCCTGATTTTTTGTTCATTTCTTTTACCAATTATTGAGAGAAGCACTTAAAAATCTCTAATTATGATTGCAAATTTATCTATATTTTCATTTCTGTCAATTTTTGTATCATTTATTTTTAAGTCATTATTAGATGCATACATATTTAGAAAAGTTATGTTCTTCTTATGGTTTTTCCATCATTATGACTCAAGTTTTATTTTTATTCCTGGTAAAACATATTTTTAAGGAAGATTATTTTGTTTGTTATTAATATGATCATACTGAATTTATTGTGATTTAGGTATTTGTGGTATGCATTCTTTCTTCTGGTTATTTTTTGCCTATCTGTGTAAAGAGCATGTATCTACCATTCTTTGAACATATTCTTATCTCTGACACCTGACACGTATCCACCATTCTTTTTTTTTTTTTTTTTTTGAGACGGAGTCTCTCTCTGTCGCCCAGGCTGGAGTGCAGTGACGCGATCTCGGCTCACTGCAAGCTCCGCCTCCTGGGTTCACGCCATTCTCCTGCCTCAGCCTCCCTAATAGCTGAGACTACAGGCGCCCGCTACCAAGCCCGGCATTTTTTTTTTTTTTGTATTTTTTAGTAGAGGCAGGGTTTCACCGTGTTAGCCAAGATGGTCTCGATCTCCTGACCTCGTGATCCGCCTGCTTCGGCCTCCCAAAGTGCTGGGATTACAGGCATGAGCCACCGCGCCCGGCCGTATCTACCATTCTTAAATATCCTTACTTTCTATGATCATCTTTTATTTTTTTTCTCAAGCTCTAGAATCTGTCATAGCTCTGGTTTCTTTTAGAAGAGTCTGGTTAAAAAGCTAGATCAAGATCTGTGTGTTAAGTGTGCTCATTGCTATGGGAATGTCAAAAATCTAAGATCCTATTTGTGGACATACACATAAACATCTATACATTTATTTCTATAGCTACTTACTTATATTAAAAGCCATATGTCTACATCTAGCCTTTCTAGAAACAAAAATTATGAAATCTATAAAAATGACTTAAAAATTTGCAATCATTGGAGATCTTTTGAAGCATGCAGAATACATCAAGAGATAAATATTCAGAAAAGGAAAGTAACTAGGTGAGTTCAACGTTTACTGTGAGTTTCCCCTGAGAGTGCTTTTCAGTGTAAAGCAGTAGATGGTAGAACAAAGCTCAAGCAGAAAGATGCAGTCTTACCAGGAAGAGAAGACGGAGGTTGGAGTTTGGTGCCAAAAGAATTAGTTGCTATTGAGGAGAAAAATCCCCAAAAAAGATGAAAACTCAAAGAGGGGCACCTATTCTGCATGCAAATTTCTTTCAAATGCAGAATTTTGGGCTTTCCTCTGTGGTATTCTTATTTAGGATTTTCCACTCAAGTTCTACAAATAGTGCACCACTGCACTCCAGTTTGGGCAACAGAGTAAGACTCTGCCTCAAATAAAATAAAATAAAAATTGTTTTAAAGTTCCACAAATCTTAAAGACCTAAGTTCTGACATCTCTCTACTCAGTTACCATTAGGAGGGAGAAAAATATACTAAGAAAGGCAAGTAAAGAGGAATAAAAGGAAAAGAACAGATGGGCCAAAAACAAAAAGCAGCAAGGTGGTAGACTTAAATCCAGTACTTCAGTAATTACATTAAATGCATATTTCTAAACTGGATAAATAAGCAAGACTTTTGACCATACACTGTCCATAAGAAATGCATTTTAAGTATGAAGACACAGGTTAAAAATATAAGGATGAAAAAATATACACTGGGCAAGAAAGCTGGAGTGGCTACATTAATATCAGACAAAGAAAACTTTACAAATAAGGAATATTACTGGAGATAAATTTTTCATAATGAAAAAGAGTCAATACATCAAAAAGACATATAATCCTAAGTGTGTATGTACCAAACGCTATATACAGATTATTTTCAAATTCATGTAGAAAATACATAAAAATATACCACATATATTGACATCAAAACATTTCAACGAATCTAAAAAGCAGTGATAACATTGGACAAAGTTGCCAAAAACAATCATTTAAAGACTCTGGAAATTGACCAAAGGATACGAACATTGAGAAGCATTTAGTTAAGAGAATCTAAACTGAATCCTAATAAAAACAGCAAAATCAGTATTATTTTGGCCAGAGTATGCTTTCACCAACTTCCTTCACCCCAACTTATGGTGCAGAATTTCTACCTGTGTGGGAGGACAGGCCATGGGATTAGACAGCTCTTCCTAACCTGCCAGAGGGAGCTCACACACATTGTTTGGAAAAGAGCTCACACACATGCACGTGCACACACGTGCATGCGCACACACACACACAACCTCAAAATAATGTCTTGGCGTTTTGTAGAAAACAGCATAGACCTCGGGGCAAATAATTATGGAAGGCTAACATCTCAACTAGCTTGAAGTCATGATGGCAGGCCAGTCAGGAATTTTAACAGGGAGATCCAGAGAATGAGATAGTCAAAAATAGCCTTGCTAAAATCTCATTTATCCCCAGTGGTGTGGAAAGCTGTCTGAATCAGCTTGGTTAAGCCTGCTCAGGAGAGACCTGGCTGAATATAAGGACATGTGAAGGCAGAAAGTAAAAACTGGGGCATACCTGTAAAGTCCCGGAACTTTGAAAGCATTTCCCAAGTCCCACTCACTTCAATGGCAAAGTGTGGAAGCCTTACTGACTCAATGTGTTTAAGCAGAATCTTTCATCAATCATACGCTGACATTAAGCTATGATGACCAGGGGTGATTGTAGGAAATCAGGCTCAATAATGAAAACAAAAATTATTAAACAAACTTAGCAGAGACACCATAGGCTGCATACTAGGGGGAAACAGACTTGGAAGAACTAGCCCAAGCAAGTCACTAACACAAACAACAAACAGCAAGAGCACTTACTCCTAGGGATTGGGGAATCAGCATTCAGTTAATACATTACATTATCTAAAATATCAATATTAAACAAAATTTACAAGACATGCAAAGAAACTGGAAAATTTTACCAACACATAACACATAGGAAAAAAAGAAGCCAACAGAACGTGTCTCTGAGGAGATAGGTTAAAATGATATCATTTTAAATTGCTCTCATTCTTGAGCATAATGAAGAAACACTCTTTAAGGCAGGTGAGAAATAACTAAGCAGTTATCAATTAGAGTGTTCAAGTAGTGGTTCTGAGTCTTAAAAAAAATAGGAGGGTGGGAAAGAAAGTACAAAAGAAATCAGATTCCTGTTTTAACTACCTTGGAACACATAAAATTGTGAAAATATGTTGAGAAAGTTCTATACAGCCATCTCCAACTGCTGTATAATAGGTGTGCCAGAAAAATAGAAAGAATATAGGATACAATAAAAAATCAAAGATTTTTTTTTTCTGAAGGAAAGGAAGACTTTAGTCTCTGGCTAGGTAAGATTCATGCAATTTAAAGGAATCAAGTGGAATCATGAAAATATACAAATAGTTCTGTAGCTGTAGGGGTGAAAATTTTTACTACACAATCAGAAAATAAAATGGTAATAAAAATGATCTAATGGCTTCCAAGAAGGAAATAAACAGTTTACACATAAAAGGACAAGAACCAGACTGGAATCAGATTTCTTATCTGAAATATCAGAAGCCAGAAAACAATGAGAGGGAAAAAAGGATGCCAACTTAACACGTGGGGAAGCAGGGTGTGGGCAGGAAAAGCAGTGTAAGAGAGGAGGTTTGTACAGGGAGATGGAAGAGACAATGGAGAGAAGACAATCTGAGCAGAAGCTGTCAGGAGTAGATAGATACTAGGGAAAGGGAATGCTAACGATGGCGTTATTTTAAAACTAACCTCGTGCGGCATGTTTTAAAATTATCATTCCCACACATTCATTGCATTGTAAAAATTTTGGATTAATATTTTGTTTATCTTTTGGTGTAGAACTGTGCTAAAGGACACGGATTCTACTACTGGAAGAAGTTCAAGGTTCTTATTTTAGGAGGACATGGACAGCTGTAGGGATGTTAACTGGGTCATGTTCACCAGTAGGTGGGGACATTGCACTTTAGAAATTCAAGGGAGCCTGCCGCTTTCCCTTTTTTCCTTGCTCCTTGGCAGGTCTGGATTTGAGAGGTCAGGATTCCTTGAGGGTGGTAACACAGCCACTCTTATTTCCCGTACTCGTCCTTCCATGTGTTCAGAATATGATGCAATCTGAGATGCGGTTTTGGATGTTTGAGAAGCAAAGAAGCATGGCTGGAACAAGAGTTAAAGTCTGCTTTTGTTTGAGAACTGAGGAGCTCAGTCTTTTACATGCTCTCACAGGTAAGAGATTGCCACTATAAAATGACATGCTTAAAACAAACTTCACTGCTGTCATTCTAGTGCAAGCCATTATCCTTTTTCACATTGAACATTCTGCCACCATCTGCAGCATTCTTGATATTTCAGTAAGAATGATATTTTACTTTACAATTACTATTTTAAATTTATCGGGATATCAGTATATAGTTTGAAGATTAAACAATAGAGATGTATTTTAATGAAAACAAGAGCCCTTCACACCATTCCTTTCCTCCACTGACATTATCCCCAGTTCAATGACTTTTAACAGTAATATGCGTATCTTTGTGTATGTGGGGGTATTAATTTAGACATCCATTGACTTCCTCTTATGAAACCAGATAATTTAGACCACCAACAATTCGGTCTCTAACATCTTTCTTGTTATTTTATTATCTTACTATGTTTAGTTCCTCCGTAGGTAATCCCTGCATTTTTTTTTTTTTTTTTTTTTTTTGAGACAGAGTCTCGCTCTGTCCGCCAGGCTGGAGTGCAGTGGCGCGATTGGCTCACTGCAAGTTCCGCCTCCCGGGTTCACGCCATTCTCCTGCCTCAGCCTCCTGAGTAGCTGGGACTACAGGCGCCCACCACCACACCCGGCTAATTTTTTTTGTATTTTTAGTAGAGATGGGGTTTCACCGTGTTAGCCAGGATGGTCTCGATCTCCTGACCTCGTGATCCACCCGCCTTGGCCTCCCAAAGTGCTGGGATTACAGGCGTGAGCCACCGCGCCTGGCCAATCCCTGTATTTTTAAACACAGTACTCTATTATTCTGTCAGTTATATTCAAGATCTCATGAGTTTTCTCCTTGTAGATGAAGATACTGCTAACCCTATTCTTTCCTGCTCTACTTTTTTCCTTATTTCATATCCCAACTTCTGGCATTTATAATTTATCTTTAATATTTTCAAACCCGATAGTATTTATGGTTTGTTTGTAACCAGGTATTTTTTAAACACGTATGTGCTCATTATTGAGAATATATTTCCTTTGTTGGGCATCTTTTAATTTTTATGAAGGTTCTATTTGCAGTTTCTTTTCCCTCATATATGTAGTCTACTTTTTAATCATATCCTCAGATGTTTTGAATATCTCAACAATACTGTAAAATTTATGGGATCATACTTATGTTTATCCACTTCCTGGTGCCCTTAGTTCTCTAGTTTCGATCTAAAAGAAATGATTTCCAGGATTGCTGAGCAGATGTCATCTTGGGATTCTCTTCATTGTTTTCTTCGGTAGAAGATAATGTTTCAGGTACCTGATATCTTCCTCTTACTTGCTTTGACTACCTAATTTTGCTAAGACACACCATCTGTTAATATCCAAAAAAAGATATTCTGGAAGCAAATTTTTCTAATCTTTGCATGTCTGAGAATAATTTTTATTCTAGATTCATGCCTGAATGAAATTTTATGGGTTTATAAGTATGGGTCTAGTCAGGAGAGAGAGGAAATCACACAGTAATGTAAAATAAGAAAGATAAATATAAAGAAATACAAATCTTAACAAGAGATCTGAGTAATGAGAGATTGGCTAGAAAGAAGTAAAGAGAACTCTAAATAATATAGCAGTCGCAGATATAATAGTGCATAATATAATATAATACGAAATGGCTACTTCCCTAGTGTATTAGTCAGGGTTATCTAGAGGGATAGAACTAATAGGATAGATGTATGTATAAAGGGGAGTTTATTAAAGCGTGTTGACTCACATGATCACAAGGTGAAGTCCCACAATAGACCGTCTGCAATCTGAGGAGCAAGGAAGCCAGTCCGAGTCCCAAAACCTCAAAAGTAGGGAAGCTGACAGTGCAGCCTTCAGTCTGTGGTTGAAGGTCCCAGAGCCCCTGGCAAGGGAGAAAAATGAAGGGTGGAAGACCGCTAGTCTAGTCCTTCTACGGTCCTCTGCCTGCTTTTATCCTAGTGGTGCTGGCAGCTGATTAGATGGTGCCCACCCAGACTGAGGGTGGGTCTTGCCTCTCCCAGTCCACTGACTCAAATGTTAATCTCCTTTGGCAACACCCTCACAGACACACCCAGGAACAATACTTTGCATCTTTCAATTCAATCAAGTTGACATTCGATATTAACCCATCACCTAGGTTAAGATAGAGCACCCAAGAAGGAGCCTTCTCCAGTTTTCTTTCCAAGGGTGAGGTCAGACCTTGTTAGGGAGGCACTTCCATGGCTCACTGAATGGCAGAGAGGTAGTTGTTGGACTTCTTCTCCAGCGGTAGTTTGCTGTAATCCACCCTCTGGGACTTGTCAGAAATCCTTCCTCTAGGGTGTTGGGGAAAGCTGTTCCTGTAAGGTTCATGGAAGTGGGGTGGTGGTGGTCACTCTCTGCTGTAAAACTGCTAAAGGGGGTGTGCATGACTGACGAAGCTGCTGGGTGTTGCTGGCTGCCCTACACTGCAAAAGCTGGGTGCTGAGGAAGCCGCAAGAGTCTGATGTTGTAGAAGCCAGGTGAGAACTTGCCAAAATTAATGACAGAAAACGAATCACCGATTACAAATCTCGGAGAATACCAAGCAGGATTAAAAAAACAAAAACAACCTACACTTAAGTATATTATATTTAAACTTTAAAAAGTTGAAATACATAAATACTGTTTAGAAAAGCAAAGAAGGGTGAGAAAAGTACAAGTTATTACATTTTATGTATTTCTTAAAAATGGATATAACAGGTAGATATTTGTTGATATGTATTACAAAAGTTGGACAACATAGTCATGAAATATATTTAGATACTTTAAATACATATATTACACAAGGGAAGAAATAAAGTACTACTCAAATCAATAAGAAAGAGTTAACTAACCTAATAGCAATGTTGGAAAGTAGGTGAACAGGCAATTCACAGAAGAACTCAAATGGAAATTAGCGTATGCAAAGATGGTCAACTTTCTCTACAATATTTGACACAGAAACATTATGTCATTTCAGTTTAAATATAATTACACATTCATAAAAATTGGGGAGCACACCTTTGAAGGGTTACTAATAAATTGTCTAGAAACATTGTTCTAAAAGCTGATGTGGTTTTGGAAGACCAAGTGTGAATATTCAAAGGCACTTTCATTTGTTGAGCAAAACACCAAGTGGAGAAATTGAAGATCCCTGATTGCGAAAGGATCCAAGTGTTAAGAGCAGAACTGAAATCCTGAATAATGGTTCTCTCCATGTAGCAGGCAGAGAATGTGACTAGTGGAAAACAGAGGTTTATGTAAACAAAAGCAGCCTAGATTTGGACATCAAATTCATCAATTAATGTATCCATTCATTTGTCAAATAATTATTTAGCTCCTACTAAGTGCTATGTACTATTCCAGATAAAATAGTCAGCAAGGTAAAAATGTCCCTACCTTTATGAGTTTTAATTCTAGCAGGAAAGAAAAAATAATCACATAATAAACAGATATGCAGTATTAGGTGGTGATTCTTGCTATGAAGATACAAACGAAGAAAGCTGAGTAAGGGGATAGAGAAACAAGGGCTTACCAGTAGTAAATTTCCATGCAAACTGTGGCAGGCTAATTTCAAAATCAGAAATATTTTATTATAGTTTTTCTTGGGTTATTAGTGTCAGACATAAGAAAAGTGCAGTAGATTTACTACCACAGATTTTTGCACTTGTACTTATTTTGAATGAAATGTACTGTCAAAGAACGAAGCAGGTGGACTGGGCTTATATCCTGTCTCCTTGTAGTAGAGAATATTGAGTCTGATGTGCAGACCAGCAGATCCTTTGTGTATCACCTGCACCACTCCCTCATCCCCTCCATAAGCTCACATCAGGAGTAGCTATGTTCATGTACTGTAATGTGAACTCATCCCCTGGCAACACTTTACTGGTGTACAGTAAGCAACTGACTGGTCTAGGAAAAGAAGCCCTAGGGCAAAGGAGAGATGAATTGAGAACATCTTGGCAGGGACCATTTTGTACTATGTGAATCTGAAAGCAGAGATATAGAAAATAATGAAGATGACAGGCAGAGAAAATTAGAGACAAGAAATACACAGAGGATTTCTTGTATAACACACAGTGTACTATCCTTAGATCAATCCTTTTACATATCTTCTTTGGCTTCTGTGAGTTAGCCCTTTGTTATGATAACAAATTTTATCTTTTTGATGAATCTAACTCAGCCACTTGTGTTCCCCATGATGACATGCTCTCACGATGGCTCTGATTTATTTAACATACAGATGAAGATCATGAGTGTGGATTTCCGAAATGCAGTCAGTGGACTCAATTACTGCTGTTGAGTCCATGAGCAGATATGACTAACAAAGATCTGTGCATATGGGGATTGAAGGGTTTTTTTTTGTTTTTGGATAGAGTTGGTGAAGAAATTAAATGAAAGTATACGATATTCCATGGCCAAGAATTTCAAATAATAAAGTGTTTATATGAGATGTTTGGGCTTTAATATGGGAAGTATGTATATGGGATGTGTGGGCTCTAATTTGTTTAAATTGTGTTTATTACTAATATTTGTGGGCACATAGTAAGTGTATATATTTATGAGGTACATGAGATGTTTTGAAAAAAAGGATGCAATGTGAAACCAGTAAATCATGAAGAATGGGCATCCATACCCTCAAGCATTTATCCATTGAGTTGCAAACAATCCAGTTACACTCTTGAAGTTATTTTAAATGTATAGTTACTATTTACTATAGTCGTCCTGTTGTGCTATCGAATAGTAGATCTTGTTCATTCTTTCCAATTTTTTCCCATCAACCATCCCCATATCCCTCCCTCCCTGATCCCCCACTACCTTTCCAACCTCTGGTAATCATCCTTCTACTCTCTATGTTCATGAATCCAATCATTTTAATTTTTAGATCCTACAAATAACTAAGAACATGTGATGTTTGTCTTTGTGCCTAGCTTATTTCACTTATGGAACTGCCATGCCGGTTGCTGCAAATGACTGGATCTCATTCTTTTTTATGGCTGAATAGTACTCCATTATGTATATGTGCCACATTTTCTTTATCCATTCAACTGTTGATGGATACTTTGATATACTGACTTTTTTTTTCTCTTCAGTATATACCCAGCAGTGGGATTGCTGGATCATATGAGAGCTCAATTTTTAGTTTTTTGAAGAACCTCCAAACTGTTCTCCATAGTAGTTGTACTAATTTACATTCCCACCAATAGTGTCCAAGTGTTCTTTATTTCACATCCTTCCCAGCATTTGTTATTGCCTGTCTTTTGGATATCAGCCATTTTTAACTGGAGTGAGATGATACCTCATTGTAGTTTTGATTTGCATTTTTCTGATGATCAATGATGTTGAGCACTTTTTCATATGCCTGTTTGTCATTTGTATGTCTTATTTGTATGTCTTGAGAAACATCTATTCAAATCTTTTGCCCAACTTTTGATTGGATTATTAGTTTTTTCCTATAGAGTTGTTTGAATCCTTATATATTCTGGTTATTCATCCCTTGTCAGATGGGTAGTTTGGAGATATTTTCTTCCATTCTGTGGGTTGTCTCTTCACTTTGTTGATTGTATCTTTTGTGTTCAGAAGCTTTTTAACTTGATGTAATCCCATTTGTCCATTTGTGCTTTGGTTGGTTGTGTTTGTAGGGTATCACTCAGGAAATTTTTGCCTAGACCAATGTCCTGGAGATTTTCCCTAATGTTTTCTTGTAGTAGTTTCACGGTTTGAGGTCTTAGATTTAAGTCCCTAATCCACTTTGATTTGATTTTTGTATATGATGAGAGAAAGGAATCTAGTTTTATTCTTCCGCATATGAATATCCAGTTTTCCCAGCACCACTTATTGCAGAGACTGTCTTTTCCCCAGTGTATGTTTTTGGCACTTTTTTTTTTTCATTTTGAAATTGTCTGTAGTTTCTTTTTATTTTATTTTATTTTATTATTATTATACTTTAAATTTTAGGGTACATGTGCACAATGTGCAGGTTTGTTACATATGTATACATGTGCTATGTTGGTGTGCTGCACCCATTAACTCATCATTTAGCATTAGGTATATCTACTAATGCTATCCCTCCCCGCTCCCTCCACTACACAACAGTCCCCGGAGTGTGATGTTCCCCTTCCTGTGTCCATGTGTTCTCTTTGTTCAATTCCCACCTATGAGTAAGAACATGCAGTGTTTGGTTTTTTGTCCTTGCGATAGTTTGCTGAGAATGATGGTTTCCAGTTTCATCCATGTCCCTACAAAGGACATGAACTCATCATTTTTTATGGCTGTATAGTATTCCATGGTGTATATATGCCACATTTTCTTAATCCAGTCTATCGTTGTTGGACATTTGGCTTGGTTCCAAGTCTTTGCTATTGTGAATAGTGCCACAATAAACATATGTGTGCATGTGTCATTATAGCAGCACAATTTATAATCCTTTGGGTATATGCCCAGTAATGGGATGGCTGGGTCAAATGGTATTTCTAGTTCTAGATCCCTGAGGAATTGCCAGACTGACTTCCACAATGGTTGAACTAGTTTACAGTCCCACCAACAGTGTAAAAGTGTTCCTATTTCTCCACATCCTCTCCAGCACCTGTTGTTTCCTGACTTTTTAATGATCGCCATTCTAACTGGTGTGAGATGGTATCTCATTGTGGTTTTGACTTGCATTTCTCTGATGGCCATTTTTGGCACTTTTGTCAAAAATGAGTTCACTGTAGGTGTGTGGATTTGCTTCTGGGTTCTCTAGTCTGTTCCACTGGTCTATACATCTGTTTTTATGCCAGTACCATGCTGTTTTGGTTACCATAGCTCTGTAGCATAATTTGAAGTCAGTAATGTGATTCTTCTAGTTTTATTCTTTCTGCTTAGGATGGCTTTAGCTATTCTGAGTCTTGTGGTTCCATACAAATTTTAAGATTTTTTTTTCCATTTCCGTGAGAAATGTCATTGGTTGTTTGACAGTGATTGCGTTGAATCTGTAGATTGCTTTGGGTAGTATGGACATTTTAACACTATTGATTCTTCCAAGCCAAGAACATGGAACATGTTTCCTTTTTTTGTCCTCCTCAGTTTCTTTTATTATAGAGATTTTTCACTTCCTTGGTCAAGTTAATTCCTAGGTATTTCATTTTTGTGTGGCTATTTTAAATAGAATTACTTTTTAAATTTCTTTTTCACATTGTTCACTATTGGCATATAGAAATTCTACTGATTTTATATCCTGGAACTTTATTGAATTTATCAGTTCTAATAGTATTCTTGTGGAGTCTTTAAGTTTTTATAAATATAAGATCATATCCTCTGCAAACAAGGATAATTTGACTTCTTCCTTTTAAATTTGGATGCCATTTATATCTTTCTCTTGTCTAATTGCTCTAGCTAGGACTTCCAGTACTATGTTGAATAACAGTGGTGACAGTGGCATCCTTGTCATGTTCCAGATCTTAGAAAAAAGACTTTCAGTTTTTCCCCATTCAGTATGATACTAGCTGTGGGTCTGTCATATATGGCTTTTATTATGTTGAAGTATGTTCTTTATATCCCCAGTTTTTGAGAATTTTTCACATGAAGCGATGTTAAATTTTATCAAATGCTTTTTTCAGCATCAATTAAAATGATCATTTTATTTTTATCTTCATTGTGTTGATGTGATGTCTCACATTAATTTGTGTATGTTGAACCATCCTTGCATCCCAGCAATAAATCCCACTTGATTGTGATGAATGAGCCTTCTGATGTATTGTTTAATTCAGTTTACTAATATTTTGTTGAGGATTTTTGCATCAATATTCATCAGAGATATTGGCCTACAGTGTTTTTTTTTTAATGTGTCTTTGTCTGGTTTTGGTATCAGGGTAATACTGGTCTCATAGAATGAGTTTAGAAGTATTCCCTCATAAAATACTTGTAGAAGTATTCCCTCCTCCTCTATTTTTTGGAATAATTTGAGTAGGATTGGTATTAGTTCTTCTTTGAATGTTTGGTAGAATTCAGCAGTGAAGTCATCAGGTCCTGGAATTTATTTACTGGTAGACTGTTTATTGTGACTTTGATCTTGTTACTTGTTATTGATCTTTTTAGGTTTTGACTTATTTCCTATTTTAATCTTGGTAGGTTGCATGTGTCTAGGAATTTGTCCATTTCTTCTAGATTTTTCAATTTATAGCATATAGTTGCTCATAGCAGCCACTAATGATCCTTTGAATTTCTGCAGTATCAGTTGTAATGTCTCCTTTTCCATTTATGATTTTATTTATCTGTATCTTCTCTCCTTTTTTCTTAGTTCATCTGGCTAAAGTTTTGTCAATTTTGTTTAACTTTTCAAAAAAGCAAATTTTTGTTTCATAGATCTTTTGTATTTTTTTCAGTTTCATTTATTTCCACTCTGATCTTTACTTTTTCTTTTCTTCAACTAATTTTTGCTTTGGTTCCCCTCTTGCTTTTCTAGTTTTTAAGATGCATCATTAGATTGCTAATTTAAAGTTTCTCCTTTTCTGACGTAGGCACTTAATAGCTATAAACTTCCTTCTTATTACTCCTTTTGCTGTATCCCATGGGTTTTGATATGTTGTTTTCATTGTCATTTGTTTCAATAAATGTTTCAATTTCCTTCTTAATTTCTTCATTGACCCACTAGTCATTCAGGAGCATATTGTTTAATTTCCATGTATTTTTATAGTTTCCCAAATTTCTCTTCTTATTGATTTCCAGTTTTATTCCACTGGGTTCAGAGAAGATGCTTGAGCAATTTGAGAGGCCAAGGTGGGAGGATTGCTTGAGCTCAGGAGTATGAAACCAGCCTAGGCAACATAGGGAGACCCGGAAGCAGTTCAAATGGGATTGAAAACCGTGTACCTGTTGCCTGGACTGTAGAGGGCATTGCAAGCCTGGTGGAGGTGAGCAAAGGGAGAGATTAGATAAAGCTGAGTACCCAACTTCCAGAGTTGCATATATCATTGAGACCAATAGTTCCACATACAGATTTCATTTAACACCTGTATTTTTAAAGTCAATCACAATAGACTTGTCAGACTGTCTTAGAATTATAACCAAGAACAGAAGAAAACAAGATCACTTTTATTGTATTTTAGAACCTTGGGTGACAGTTGATATTGGGAGGGCTTCAAAGGTATAAATGTAGATATAAATAAAAACATAAACAGATTTAGAGGTTTTAGATCACAGTGAATGTGCTAATTTGTAACTCCTTTTAAATTTAACATATGGTAAACAACTCTATTTTGTCATTAAATATCTTTCTAAAACATTGTTTTGAAGGACTGTATATAATTGTGTCATAGTTTGTTACCTAATTATTTAAATTTTGAGGCCAGGTGAAGTGGCTCACACCTGTAAACCCAGCACTTTGGGAGGCCGAGGAGGGCAGATCACCTGAGGTCAGGAGTTCGAGACCAGCCTGGCCACATGGTGAAACCCTGTCTCTACTAAAAATACAAAAATTAGCCAAGCGTGGTGGCAGGTGCCTGTAATCCTAGCTACTCGGGAGGCTGAGGAGGGAGAATCGCTTGAACCCAGGAGGTGGAGGTTGCAGTAAGCCGAGATCGAGCCATTGCACTCCAGCCTGGGGGACAAGAGCAAGACTTTGTCTCAAAAAAAAAATTTTTTTTTTTTTGAGTACAGATGGGAATTGACTGAAAGCATTTTTACTGAATTGTTGGTTCTCAACTCCCCTCCTACTCCTACATCTTGGTTCTACTTCCCAACTACAAAATGGAAAGTTTCCTTTTTGGATATATGAGTACACAAAAAGGGAGAATCTTCGCATTATGGTATGTCCAGTCTCTTTTTACATTCCATTTTGTTTTTATTTTATAGAGGTAATATTTTTATAGCCTCATGTAGATTTTTTCATTTTAGTTTGTAAAAAGAACAATGAGAACACTTGGACACAGGAAGGGGAACATCACACACATGCGGGCCTGTTGTGGGGAGGGGGAAGGAGGGAGGGATAGCATTAGGAGATATACTTAATGTAAATGACGAGTTAATGGGTGCAGCACACCAACATGGCACATGTATACATATGTAACAAACCTGCACGTTGTGCACATGTACCCTAGAACTTAAAGTATAATAAAACATATATATTAAAAAAATAAAAAATAAATAAATAAGTCAGCCACTGCACCTGGGCAACTATTCTGCTCAAAAAAAAAAAAAAAAAGTAAGCTTAAAGAAAATTTGCAATAAGAATAGTATTTTGTACTTATATATTTTTTTTTCTGAAATTGCACTCATCAGAACTCTTTATCCTTAAGTACTTCAGTGTGTATTTCCTAAGAAAAGGATACATTCTTGTACATAACCAGAATATAGCTACCAACTTCATTAAATTTAATTTTAATAATCTAAACTGTTTGAATTCTCATTGTCATATGAATTTTGTTTGAAAATACAAGCCCAAAATTACACTCCCATCTCTGAACATGTCATGTTTCTTAAATCATTTATGTCTTTATGCTGCATGGTAAATTTTTGTAATTAAAACACTGTATTTTTTTGTGGAATTTGTTCCTTAAAATTTTATATTTCTACCGGCAGTTTGAATGGTAATTTATCCTACATTCTCTCACCCTTCCCATCTCCCCCTGCTACTATATATTTTATTTGTGCTTCTTAGTAGCTTGGACTGCCAGAGACAAGTGACTCTGCCTCATCATATGCTTCTCATTGGTTGGAGAGATACATATTCATTACTATTAGTTATTTCTTCTAACCAGAGCTTCTGCAAAGCCCCTTTATCATTATCCTTTCTCTTCAATCACAATCTTGCCTAGTAACCTTTTCCATACCCAGATAGTTCCTTTCCTCCTGCAAGAACTAAGCGTATGTAAGTCTTCTCATTTGTTACCTAGTTCACTTTTCTTCACATGTGAGGATCCTGGATACTATTAAGATGCCTTCACTACTGACTGGATCTTGGAAAAATATGCTTTGTTTCCCTACAAAATATATTTTCTTTTAAGCTCTCAGAGTAAATTTTGAAATGAGCTACCCATAGGTTAGTCCTCTGGTATTAACTAGTATCATTATTCTGGCTGTAAAAGATAACTGTTCAAACTATTTACAGGTTAGATTATCCAGGGGATATAGTTTAGAGCACCCATATAATTTCCAATAGATTACTTGACTTAAAAAGAACCTATCAAGTTAATGTTTTGAAGAAATTGATAATTTCTTTTAGAGGTTTCTCTGAAAAAATACAAGCAGGCAGGCAGTCCATATTAACAGGCTGGGTCTAGAGTTATATAGTCTGAGCGAGGACATGGGGTGTTGAGTTGAGCCCAGGGACAGGCCATATGCAGAGAACCAGAACAATGTTTCAAAATCTGCAAATGGCTGAATCTGGGTATTTCCTGTGTGAAGGGGATGCCAGAAATGAGCAACCAAAACCTTAACAGAGACTGAAAACACATCCCAAAGTAGGAGGCAAAATACATCCACCTTCCAGGCAGCATACCCAGGCCTGATACACGTTAGAATGGGTTCTAGACATGTGACAACAGGATAAAAAAGTCAGTAAAATCATGGGAAAGATTAAAGTGAAAAATATTATAATATAAAGTCCACACATCTCATTAATTTTAGTAACTGCAAATAGACTAAACTTGTGACCAGAAGACAGAGACTGACAAATTGAATGCAAAATCATAAATTCAGGTTATACTGTTTACAAGACACATACCTAAAGCATAAAAGTCATTTCAGAGATTAAGTGTAAAACATAGAAAGGACATATTATGCAAAAACTAATTCTAAGAAATGGTGTTTATTTATTAATGTCAAAAACAAATTTTAAGGAAAAAGATATCGTAGGACAGAAAGACTGATATAATGATAAACATTCACCTAGTCAAGGAAAACAAAGGCTGGGCACAGGGGCTCACACCTGTAATCCCAGTACTTTGGGAGGCTGAGGCAGGTGGACCGCTTGAGCTTATGATTTCAAGACCAGTCTGGGCAACATGGCTAAAACCTGCCTCTGCAAAAAACAAAAATTAGCTGGGCATGGTGGTGCGTGTCTGTAATCCCAACTACTTGGAAGGCAGAGGTGGGAGGATGGCTTGAGTCCAGGAGGTGTAGGTTGCAGTGAGCCGAGATTGCACCACTGCACTCCAGCCTGGATGATAGAGCCAGACTTTGTCTAAAAACAGAAAGAAAAGAAAAGAAAAACATAGCAACTATAAATATAGGTGCATCTAATAAAATATCCTCAAAGACATGAATCAAAATTGATATAATATTTAGGTAGAAAGCAATAAATCTACCATTTATAGTATGATATTTTAATATATGTTTCTGGGTTCTTTATAAGTCAAGAAGGCAAAAGTAGGATATAAAAGATCTAAACAACACAATTAGTAAGCTTGACCTAATAGACTTGAATATATTATAAAGTTATTGTCTATGTTCTCATCTATGTGCTAGGTGGTAGATTCACCAGTGCCTATTACATTAATTTTAATTTTAATTTTAATTTTAATTTTTTTTGAAACAGAGTCTTGCTTAATAGCCCAGGCTGGAATGCAGTGGTGCGATCTCAGCTCACTTTAACCTCCACCTCTCAGGTTCAAGCGATTCTCCTGCCTCAGTCTCCTGAGTAGCTGGGACTAAGGTGCATGCCACCACACCCTGGTAATTTTTGTATTTTTTTAGTAGAGACAGGGTTTCACCATGTTGGCCAGGCTGGTCTCAAACTCCTGACTTCAGGTGATTCACCCACCTTGCCTCCCAAAGTGCTGGGATTACAGTTGTGAGCCACCGCGCCCAGCCAGTTTATTATTTTTAATTTGTTTTTTAATGTAATGTAATGTAATTAATGTAATAGGCACTGGTGAATAGGCACTGGTGAATCTACCACCTGGCACATAGATGAGAACATAGACAATAACTTTATCATATATTTGAGTCTATTAGGTTAAGCTTACTAATTGTGTTATTTAGATCTTTTATATCCTACTTTTGCCTTCTTGACTTATAAAGAACCTAGAAACATATATTAAAATATACCATAAATGGTAGATTTTTTGCTTTCTACCTAAATATTATATCAATTTTGATTCATGTCTTTGAGGATATTTTATTAGATGCACCTATATTTATAGTTGCTATGGACCTCAGTCATACGTGGAAATGAATTCTGCCAACAGGCAGTGAGCTTGGAAGAGGACCCCAAACTCAGATGAGAATTACAATGTCTCTGTGACTTGAGTCTTGTGACATCCTAAGCAGAAAGCCCAGTTGAGCTCTGCCTAGACTTCTGACTTAGAAAGCTGATGTAATAAATGGGTTTTGTTCTAAGCTTCTGCATTTGTACTAATTTTCTGTGACAGTGGCTAGAAAACTAATACAATATATTTTGCTCATTTAAGGTTCACGTACTGCACTATAAGCACTTTCTTTTAATATAGCGCAATGCTTAAAATTGATATACATTTCACATATTAACTCTTGATTTTTCATTTAAGTTGTGGTTGTATTTATGATGATTTAAAAATATAGTCTAACAATATTTTTCTATATGGTTTCTTTCTTTTGTTTTATTTAAATAATTCCAACACTTTTTAATAAAATAAATATTAACATGTATCTTTTTCTGTATTTTGAGTTCCTTCTTGATTTACATTTAAACTTTTACTCTAACTCAATATCATCTCTGTATGTGTGTATGTATGAGCTCTTTTTATTTTCCTACTAAATAACCAATAGACCCAACATCATTTTTAGTAAATTTCCCTCATTCCACTGAATAAAAAGTCCGCTTTTATTATGTACTACATTTTAAAAAATTTATCCAACATAAATTCAGGATAACTTGTTCTGTTCTTGAAAGCAGTTCTAATGTGGCATTCTTTAACAAGCAAGAGTAAACTTCCCAGTGCACCATTTAAAACACTCCAAACCATTATTGCAATCTCTTGAAAAACATTGAATTAGAATTGTGTTTCTAATACCAAGGAAAATGATTTAAAATTCTCTTAAAATAGCTTTTTCTTCTAAAAATTTCACCTGAGAATGTCTTCACCCACCAGAGTTTCCTCACCACTACGCTGCTTTCTCTTCCATTCCACATAGGTGCCATGTTGTTCAAGTATATTGCAAAAACTTGCCTCCTAACCCCTTATATCTCACGGACTTCCAGTCCTCATCAGCTACAGTCCTTTACCCCACAAACCTGGATTGACTCCAAAAGAGTGAAATGGGTTCTTCTGTGCATCAAAGAAATGAAGAATATAAACTATAACACTGGAAGCTTCTTCGAAATATGTTTATGTCCCATCCCAAAATTTTCTCAAAAGTTTAGCAACTTCTAGAAATATAATACGGTAGCCCCACCTTATCCATGGTTTCACCTTCCATAGTTTCAGTTATCTGTGGTTAATCACAGTTTGAAAATAGGGGTGTATAGTACAGTAAGACATTTTGAGAAAGAGAGGGGACCCCATTTACTTAAGTTTTATTACCATATATTGTTAAAATTGTTCTATTTTATTATTAGTTTTTGTTTATCTATGACTGTGAATAATTTACAAATTACACTTTATCATAGGTTGTATGTGTATGAAAACATAGTACATACAGGGTTTGGTACAATCCGTGGCTTCAGGCATCTACTGTGGGATCTTGCAGTGTATCCCCCATGAATAAGGGGGGACTACTATAAATACAATTTTGATCTCATTAATCATAACATAAACTTGGATCTGTTTCTGTGCAGTCAATGTTGTTCCACAGTTGACTTTTTTTTTTTTGGTGGCAGTAGAAACATGTTTTAATTGTTTAGCTTTATAATTATTTGTAAGCATCTACTAGAGCAACTCCCCCTCATTTTTATCAATAGCTATTTTTATATTTATTACTCTTGAAAAAAATTAGAAACATTTCGTTAACAAAACTATCTTATTGATATTTAGATTAAAGCATCACAAAGTCTATGTATTTTGTTTGGAAAATTGACACAAATTGTCTTGTTCAAGAATGTGGTACTTTTATTTATCAAACTTTTCTTCAGTAAACTTCTTCTATTCTTTTCTGTGGATTGACTAGTAGACGCTTTGATATTTTCTATGTTTATTGCTCTTTTAAGTGATTTTTTTTTTCTGTAACAGACTTACTGGCTTAGTCTGCCAGAGACAAATGATGCTGCTTCACTTCTTCTCATTGGCTGGCGAGGAAAGTACTTAGTGGTTTAACTCAAGCACAACTTCTGTGAATCTTTTTTTTTTTTTTTTTTTTTTTTAAAGCAGCATCCCGTATTTGGTTACACTCTGGTCTAGTAACCACTTCCTTTGGGCAAGACAACCTTCTCCACCTGCAAGAGCCAGGCATGTGATTAAAAAAATTTCCTTTGTGGTCACTTAGTTATTATTCTTCTTGCTTTGAGTGTTTGGGTTGCTAGTTTCATGTACACACTTTTGACTAAAGCTGTTCTTTACAACTTGTTATAGTAAGTTTTGATTCACAGACTATTTTAGGCTCATCTACAATATAATAATTTCCCACAAATGTAAAGAATATAAGTTTGTACAGTTCTAAATATCAGTAAAACAGCATGGAGCAGAGTGCTCATATTTAACTTCAAAAAAGGCAGTATTTCCATAGGTGCTTTCAGGATAATAAAAATTGATTTGATTGATATAGACTTATGGGACAATATGTGAGAATCAGGCTCTGCTCTAAAGGATAGGAGAAAGGCGGGCAGGGAGTACTTAATATGGTTTGAATTCCAGACACACAACCTAGTTGCCTAATTTGGCCTCATCCACCAGCTTGAATATTTTTGTGAGATTCTGTCTTACATCTCTGGTAATACTAAAACAAAAAATGAGGACCATTTCAAGTAAGTCTAGCTCAGGAGAAACCATTAAAATTGTTATATTCTCTGTTTGATTTTTCCTACAATTATTATTTCTTCTTTTTATGTTAATTAGAATAGGCCAGACTGCTACAATAACTAGACTTGAAAGTGTAGGAAGGCTGAAATACAGTAGAATTTTATAACTCACTAATGTAACAGTAGGAAGATACTGATGATTTGTGAGTAGCTCTTCTCAAGCTGGTGATTCAGGGATCCAAGCTGCCATACTCTAATATGGTGCCTCTCATTTTTTTTCCTGTGAAAATTAACATACTTTAATTTTTCTTCAAATAGGGAGGTCAGGAAGAGTGGCCAATTGTGATCTAGAAGATTAAGGCAAGACGGTTAGTGAAATTTGCAACAGTGTCCACTATGTTGTCATTATGACTGTAACTAATATTCATCTCCCTCTGTCACAAGCCGCTCCTGATTCCCCTCATCTTCTGAATTTAGTATAGTTTGTTTTTCTGTTTGAGTGACAGAGACAACTATTCCAGAAAGGTCTATGCTGTTATTTACCCTGTCCTTGCTGGATTGATTGTTTTAGTGTCTACTGATAGTCATTACCATGCATAAAAGTACTAAAAGATATCGTTGTATTTCCTCTAATTTGTTCCTGAGGCATCTCTCATAAGAATGGCTATCAACTATAGTCCTCCTCTAATGAAGGGAAAAGTAATATGCATGGGCTCAACAACCAGGACTACAGTCAACAGGGATTATCTTCTTAATAGCATTGCTGAGTTCCACCCTGCCAGCAGTAGAGGATAACACTGAACTCACCATATGGCCCCATTGCTTGAGGAGATCAGCCAGCGAGTTGGTGTCAGGTTGACTGTATCAAAATCTTCCACCTTGGAGGGGAAGTGATTTATTCTTTCTGGAATTAGTATACACTTTGGATATGGATTTGCTATTCTCACCTACATTGCCTCCAAAACCATTGCCATTCAAACACTCATGGGATGCTATGTTTAATATTGCTCAAGACTACAAAACCCATTTAGTAACAAGACGTAGCAATGGGATAATGATATATACCCATTACCTAGATGTAATCAGTCCAAAAGAATAATTGAATGGTGCTGGCTGGAAGACACTGCCCTCTAGGATGTTGTCTTTGACTGTTTGTGTTGCTATAACAAAAGACCACACACTGGATAAATTACAAAGACCAGAATTTTATTTTCTCACAGTCCTGGAGGCTGGAAAGTCCAAGATCAAGGTACTGGCATCTAGTAAGGGCCATCTTACAGTGTCTTCACATGGCGGAAAGTGAATCACATCGTGGAAGGTGGAGGGGCAAGGGAGCATTCCCTTCAACCTTGAGTCCTTTTATAAGGGTCCTAATCCCATCTTTGAGGCTCATGTCCTCACAACTTAATCATCTCTTAAAATGATCACACTGGGGACAACAAGGTTAGGTTTTAATATACAAATTTTGGAATTTTGAGTCATGTGGTTTGTTGAATTGTCTTCTTTCTATCTTACCTGACACATTCAAATTTAACTTCTTTCCCAGACAGAGCTGTCCCAGAGAGTGAAATTTTGGCAGGAATAAACTGGACACAGGTCAGACAAGAGCCACAAAAGTGTCTTCCAGTATAAACAAGTTTCCTGTGAGAGGGGCACTTGGTTACAGGTCAGACACTTAGGCATTAGACCATCTTCCAGAATAAAGAAGCATCCCATGAAGATACATTGTAAACTCCACACCCAAATTCCCTAAAGCTCCAGCAGAGCAAAACTAGTTTATAGCTGTTCTCATGAGAGAGTCCTCAAGACCAAATTAGATGAAAATACAGTAGACACTAAAACAATTATACTCCATCAAGGAGAACATAAACAAGAGCATAAACCCTTCTGGGATTGTAGTCTCTATCACCAAACCAGAACAACCACCTAGTTTTTAAACCTGCTGAAGTCTGGTTTCAAATGTACTGCTTTAATTGCATGATGGATTGTGGTTGGTATGTCCAAACTTAAGATTCTATGAATCTTATAACTCTCAGCATCATATGGACAATTTAAGTCACATGGTCACTTAGTGTGTTAAATGCCTATCAGGAAGAAATGCACACTTGGTTGTAGTTTTAGAACACATGAGTTCATGGAAAATTACTGTTAGAGAAGTTTTCCAGTGGTTATAATCTGGAACATGTAATATGAATGAAGTGATCAAGAGTTTGACTTGTGACTTACACTTTAGATCATGATATAATAATTGGTGTAGTCAATACTTTGTATATCCCAGACAGCTTTCTTGAGCTTTAGGGGACTGACTCACAATGGAGCTGAGGCTTCTTCTGTCCCTTGCTACTGATCTGTAAGTAATAAACCTGCTTTACATAACTTGTGTGTGGGCATGTTCTATTTCATCACACTCAGATAATAGGTAACCAGTGCGTGGTGGACCTAAACAGTAGCTCAGGATGCAGTGGAAAGAAGTATCTGGACTTCTTTTCCTAGTGGTTGGCATAGTAGTGATCTTTGTTATTCTCCACACAGTGGGGGTCCTCCTTTGGGATTGGTAATTAGTAAACCTGCTTCATAAACTATGATTAATATACTAAAATCTCTTATGGAAAGATAGACAACATGCTAGATTAGATAGGTAATTTCGGCAGAGATAGAAAATCTGAGAAAGAGTAAAATTGAAATAAAATAAAAATACATTAAAAGAAATAAAAAATACATTTGACAAACTCATCAGCAAACTTGACACGGCCCTGGGAAGAATCAATGAATTTGAAATAGATCGATAAAAATTATTCAGAGTGAAACACAAAGAGAAACAAATAGTAAAAGCAAATTTAAAAAATAGGTCAAGTGTGGCAATCCCAACAGTTTGGGAGGCCAGGGCTGGAGGATTGCTTGAGCCCAGGAGTTTGAGACCAGTCTGGGTAACATGGGGAGACACCATCTTTACAAAAAATACAAAAATTAACTGAGTGTGGTGGTATAGACCTGTAGTCCCAGCTACTCGAGAGGATGAGGCGGGAGGATCACTTAAGCCCAGGAGGTCAAGACTGCAGTGAGCCGTGACTGCACCGCTGCACTCTAGTCTGGGCAACAGAGTGAGACCTTGTTTAAAAATAGATAAATAAATAAGTGTTTAACACTTTTCAGGCAAAAATATAGTACCATTTGATATGGTACTACAGCTCGTGGACGCTCTGTTTTGCTTTTATCCCCCACTCTTCTTTTCTCTTTGTATTTCACTTTGGATAATTTTTATTAGGTACCTTATTGAATTGGTTTTATTTTTAAATAAGCATATTATTTTGGTTGACTTTATTTTTCAATGTTGTATTTTGAAATAATTATAGATTCAGAGGAAGTTACCAAGATAGTACAGAAAGATTCTCTATACCCTTCATCCAGTTTTTCCCAATTGTCACATCTTATATAACTAAAGCACAATATCAAAACCAGGAAATTACCCTGACATATACTGTCAAACGATTTTCAACAAGGGTGCAAAGGCCACTAATTGAGGAAAGGACAGCCTTTTCAACAATGGTGCTGGGAAAACTGAAGTCCACATACAAAAGAATGAAATTGGATTCTTACCTTAGATCATAGACAATATGAACTCAAAATGAATCAGAGACCTAAATGTAAAACTTAAAACTATCAAACTATTAGAAAAAAACATAAAGGAAAATCTTCATGACATTTGATTAGGCCATGATTTCCTGGACATAACACCAAAGACATAGACAAGAAAAGAAAAAAATAGATGAATTGGACTTCATCAAAATTTAAAACTTCTAACTCAGGAAAGGAGAAAAACAAATACCATATGTTCTCACTTACAAGTGGGAGCTAGGCTATGGATACACAAAGGCATGCAGAGTGGTAAAATGGACATCGGAGACTCAGAAGAGGGGAGGATGGGATGAGGGTGAACGATAAAAAACTACATATTGAGTACAGTTTATGCTACTTGGATGACAGGTGCACTAAAATCTCAGGTTTCACAACTATACAATTTATCCATGTAACAAAAAATCATTTGTACCCCAACAACTATTGATATAAAAATATATTAAAAATATTTAAAAATTATTATTATTATCTACTATGTGTTCAACACTATTTTTGGTGCTTTATATTTGCCATTTCATTTAATCCCCAGCATTACTCCATGGAATAGATATTCTCATTTTGCAGTTGAAGGAACTAACACTCAGAGAGATTAACTTGGATTTATGAGCAATGTCTACATTGTAAAGTAGAGGCAAGGAGACCAGTCAGGATGCTTTTGCAGTAATTCACTTGGGTGGAATTGTTGGTCTTTGAAGATAGAAAGTGAATCTCTTGGAAAGATTCTACAATGTTATTGTTTTTGCCCCAAATGGCACATTACAAAAATCAATTAATGTAGTTGAATGGCAACTATATGGACAAACATGTTCCTATTACTCTTCTGTATCATGTCTTCAATTTTCTCTTTAATAAATGTGACATAAAAGCTTTAAAACTTCTGTGCACAAAAGGACAGTGTCAATAGAGTAAACATGGTAATCAACAGAATGAAAGAAGATATTGACAAATAGCATATCTCATAAGAGATCAGTATGCAAAATATGATCGGGCATGGTGCCTCATACCTATAATCCCAGCTACTTGGTAGGCTAAGTCAGGAGCATTACTTAGGCCCAGGAGTTCAAGACCAGCCTAGACAAGTAGGCAAAATAGAAAGACACTGCCTCTTAAAAAAAAAATCCAGGATTTGTAAAGAACTTCTAAAACCCAAAAATAAAAAAACAAGGGAGGGGCCAAGAATGCTGATTAGAAGTAGCTCTGTTCTGTGGCTCCCACTGAGGAGAATGGAAACAGTGAGTAAGCGCTGTACCTTCTGCTGAGGTATCCAGGTTTTCTCATTGGTATTGACTAGGCAGTTGGCACAACCCACGGAGGGTGCAGAAAAGCAGGGTGGAGCAACAGCCCACCCGGAAGTTGTAGGGGTGGGTTGCCCCTCCACACCTGTGGGTGTTTCTCGTAAGGTGGAACGAGAGACTTAGGAAAGAAAAAGACACAGAGACAAAGTATAGAGAAAGAAATAAGGGGACCCGGGGAACCAGCGTTCAGCATATGGAGGATCCCGCCAGCCTCTGAGTTCCCTTAGTATTTATTGATCATTTGTGGGTGTTTCTCGAAGAGGGGGATGTGTCAGGGTCACAAGACAATTGTGGGGAGAGGGTCAGCAGACAAACATGTGAACAAAGGTCTTTGCATCATAGACAATGTAAAGGATTAAGTGCTGTGCTTTTAGATATGCATACACATAAACATCTCAATGCTTTACAAAGCAGTATTGCTGCCCGCAGGTCCCACCTCCAGCCCTAAGGCAGTTTTTCCCTATCTCAGTAGATGGAGCATACAATCGGGTTTTATACAGAGACATTCCATTGCCCAGGGACAGGCAGGAGACAGATGCCTTCCTCTTGTCTCAACTGAAAGAGGCATTCCTTCCTCTTTTACTAATCCTCCTCAGCACAGACCCTTTACGGGTGTCGGGCTGGGGGATGGTCAGGTCTTTCCCTTCCCACGAGGCCATATTTCAGACTCTCACATGGGGAGAAACCTTGGACAATACCTGGCTTTCCTAGGCAGAGGTCCCTGCGGCCTTCCGCAGTTTTTGTGTCCCTGGGTACTTGAGATTAGGGAGTGGTGATGACTCTTAAGGAGCATGCTGCCTTCAAGCATCTGTTTAACAAAGCACATCTTGCACCGCCCTTAATCCATTCAACTCTGAGTTGACACAGCACATGTTTCAGAGAGCACGGGGTTGGGGGTAAGGTTATAGATTAACAGAATCTCAAGGCAGAAGAATTTCTCCTAGTACATAACAAAATGGAGTCTCCTATGTCTACTTCTTTCTACACAGACACAGTAACAATCTGATCTCTCTTGCTTTTCCCCACAGAAGTCACAAGGGGTAAGGGTAACTCCCACCCCCAGCGAAGGGAGGTGGTGAATGATTGTGCTACTCCACCAGGGAAACCATGCTTTTTTCATGGATCTGTACAACCTGATCTGTACTCCTGATCAGGAGATGTCCTTGTGAGCCCATGCCACCAGAGCCTTGGGTCCCAAGCACAGAACTGTGCAGACTCTTAGTGGCTGTTGGGGTTGTGGCCAGTGGCAGCCTGTTGGGGACTGCTTAAAACAACTGAGTTCCTAGGGTGAGGGGTGGCTGCCATCACTGTGGCTCCAGTTGGCCATTTTCCTGTCCCGGTGCTGGGGAGACTGAATGGTTTGGACTGGTAGGAACTCCCCACAGTGCAGCACAGCAGCTGCAGCAGATCGTGGCCAGACTGCTTCTTTAGGTGGGATCTGGATCCATCCCTCTTCACTTGGTGGGGCCTCTCTGCAGGAATTTCAGCAACTCCAGCTAGGGGTTTATGGAGAGAACTCTGTTCATAAACTGTGGAAACTGTGGCTGTCCATCCCCTTGGGGGAGGGGTGGCTACAGTCTCCACAGTTCAGCAAACTTACTCTTTCCTGCCTGTTGGCTCTGAAGAGCCTGGCAGTCCAGAGGAGGGGGATTCCCTGCAGCACAGTGCACCTGCTCCACTAATGTGCATCCAGAGTGCTTCCTTAAGCAGGTCCCTGATCCCATGATCCCATGCCTCCTGACTAGGTGAGACCTCCCAACAGGGGTTGCTGGACAGTTCATACAGGAGAGTTCTGACCAGCATCAGGTCAGTGCCCTGGGATGGAGCTGCCAGAGGAAGGAGCAGGCAGCCATCTTTGCTGTTCTGCAGCCTCCACTGGTAACACCTCCAGGTGCAGGAGGGACCCAGGCGAGTTGGGTCTGGAGTGGACCCCCAGCAAGCCACAGCAGCTCTGCAGAAGAGGGTCCTGACTTTTAAAAGAAAAATAATCAGAAAGCAACAATAATGACGACAACAACAACAACAAATGACCCCACAAAAACCCCAACCAAAGGTCAGCATTTTCAAAGACTGAAGGTAGATAAACCCAGGAAGATGTGAAAAAATCAACAAAAAATGCTGAAAATAAAAAAATCCAGAGTGTCTCTTCTCCTCCAAATGATTGCAACACCTCTCCAGCAATGGCACAGAACTGGGCTGAGTCTGAAATGGATGACTTGACAGAGGTAGGGTTCAGACGGTGGGTAATAACAAACTTCACTGAACAAAGTGAGTATGTTCCAACCCAATGCAAAGAAGCTAAGAACCACGATAAGACATTACAGGAGCTGTTAACCAGTTAACCAGAATAACCAGTTTAGAGAGGAACATAAATAGCTTGATGGAGCTGAAAAACACAACACAAGAACTTTGCAATCCAATCACAAGTATTAGTAGCCAAATAGACCAAGTGGTAGAAAGAATTTCAGAACTTAAAGACTATCTTACCAAAATAAGACAGGCAGACAATATTACAGAAAAAAAGAATGAAAAGGAATGAACAAAACTTCCAAGAACTATGAGATTATGTAAAAAAGACTGAAGCTATGACTGATTGGGTTGCCTGAAAGAGATGGGAAGAATGACCTAAGTTGAGAAACATACTTCAGGATATCAACCAGGAGAACTTCCCTAAACTACCAAGACAGGCCACCATTCAAATTCAGGAAATTCAGAGAACCCCAGTAAGATACTCCATGAGAAGACAAACCCCAAGACACATAATCATATTCTCCAGGGTCAAAATGAAGGAAAAAATGTTAAGGGCAGCCGGAGTGAAAGGCCAGGTCACCTACAAAGGGAAGTCCATAAGACTAACAGCAGACCTCTCAGCAGACACCCTACAAGCCAGAAGAGATTGGGGGCCAATATTCAACATTCTTAAAGAAAATAATTTCCAACCCAGAATTTCTTTTCTGGCCAAACTAAGCTTCATAAGTGAAGGAGAAATAAAATCCTCTCCAGTCAAGCAAATGCTGAGGGAACTCGTCATCACCAGGTCTACCTTGCAAGAGCTCCTGAAGGAAGCACTGGATATGGAAAGGAAAAACCATTACCAGCCACTACAAAAATACACTAAAGTACACAGACCAATGACACTATGAAGCAACTACATAAACAAGTCTGCAAAACAACCAGCCAGCATCATGATGACAGGATCAAATTCACACATAAGAATATTAACCTTAAATATAAATAGGCTAAATGCCCCAATTAAAAGGCACACAATGACAAGCTGGATAAAGAGTCAAGACTCATCAGTGTGTTGTATGCAACAGATCCATCTCATGTGCGAAGACACACATACACTCAAAATAAAGGAATGGAGGAAAATCTACCAAGCAAATGGAAAACAGAAAAAAAAGCAGGGGTTGCAATCCTAGTTTCTGACAAAACAGACTTTAAACCAACAAAGATCAGAAAAGACAAAGAAGAGCATTATATAACAGTAAAGGGTTCAATTCAACGAGAAGAGCTAACTAACCTAAATATACATCCACCCAACACAAGAGTACCTGGATTCATGAAACAAATTCTTAGAGACCTATAAAGACACTTAGACTCTCACACAATAATATTGGGAGACTTTAACACCCCACTGTCAATATTAGACAAATCATTGAGACAGGAAATTAACAAAGATATTCATGACTTGAACTCACCACTGGATCAAGTGGACCTGATAGATATCTACAGAACTCTCCACCCAAAAAAACACAGTATACATTCTTCTTGGTGCCACATGGCACTTATTCTAAAATTGATCACATATTTGGAAGTAAAACACTCCTCAGCAAATGCAAAAGAACTGAAATCATCACAGTCTCTCAGACCAAAGTGAAATCAAATTAGAACTCAGGATTAAGAAACTCACTCAAAACCACACAACTACATGGAAATTGAACAACCTGCTCCTGTAAGACTCCTGGGTAAATAATGAAATTAATGCAGAAATCAGGAAGTTCTTTGAAACCAATGAGAACAAAGAGACAATGTATCAGAATCTCTGGGATACAGCTAAAGCAGTGTTAAGCGGGAAATTTATAGTACTAAATGCACACATCAAAAAGCTAGAAAGATTTCAAGTTGACATCCTAACATCACAACTAGAAGAACTAGAGAACCAAGAAAAAACAAACCCCAAAGCTAGCAGAAGATAAGAAATAACCAAAATCAGACTGGAACTGAAGAAGATAGAGACACCAAAAAACCCTTCAAAAAATCAATGAATCCAGGATCTGGTCTTTTGAAAATATTAATAATATAGACAGACTGCCAGCTAGACTAATAAAGAATAATAGAGAGAAAAATCAAATAGACACAATGAAAAATGATAAAGGGGATATCACCACTGACCCCACGGAAATACAAACAACCATCAGAGAATACTATAAACAACTCTATGCACATTAACTAAAAAATCTAAAAGAAATTCCTGTACACATACACCCTCCCAAGACTGAACCAGGAAGAAGTTGAATCCCTTAATATGCCAATAACAAGTTATGGAATTGTGGCATAATAAAGAGCCTACCAACAAAAATAAAAGCCTGGGACCAGACAGGTTTACAGCTGAATTCCACCAGAGGTACAAAGAAGAACTGGTACCATTTCTTCTGAAGCTATTCCAAGTAATTGAAAAGGAGGACTCCTCTCTAACTCATTTTATGAGGCCAGCGTCATCCTGATACCAAAGCCTGACAGAGATACAACAAAAAAGGAAAACTTCAGGCCAATATCACTGATGGACACTGATTAAAAAATCCTCAATAAAATACTGGCAAGCCGAATCCACCAGCACATCAAAAAGTTTATCCACCACGATCAAGTTGGCATCATCCCCAGGATGCCAGGCTGTTTCAACATATGCAAATCAATAAACATAATTCATTACATAAACAGAATTAAAGACAAAAACCACATGATTATCTCAATAGACACAGAAAAGGCCTTCAATAAAATTAAACATCCCTTCATGTTAAAAACTCTCAATAAACTAGGTATTGAAGGAACATACCTCAAAATAATAAGAATCACTTATGACAAGCCCACAGACAATATCATACTGAATGGGCAAAAGCCAGAAGCATTCCCCTTAAAAACATGCACAAAACAACAATGCCCACTCTCACCACTCCTATTCAACATGGTATTGGAATTTCTGGCCAGGACAATCAGGCAAGAAAAAGAAATAAAGCATATTCGAATAGGAAGAGAAGAAGTCAAATTGTCTTTGTTTGCAGATGACATGATCCTAGATCCTAGAAAATCTCATTGTCTCAGTCCAAAAGCTTCTTAAGCTCATAAGGGACTTCAGCAGTCTCAGGATGTGAAGGGGTGGGTTGCCCCTCCACACCTGTGGGTGTTTCTCGTTAGGTGGAATGAGAGACTTAGAAAAGAAAAAGACACAGAGACAAAGTATAGAGAAAGAAATAAGGGGGCCCAGGGGACCAGCATTCAGCATATGGAGGATCCCGCTAGCCTCTGAGTTCCCTTAGTATTTATTGATCATTTTTGGGTGTTTCTCAGAGAGGGGGATGTGGCAGGGTCATAAGATAATAGTGGAGAGAAGGTCAGCAGATAAACACGTGAACAAAGCTCTCTGCATCATAGACAAGGTAAAGGATTAAGTGCTGTGCTTTAGATATGCATACACATAAACATCTCAATGCCTTACAGAGCAGTATTGTTGCCCACATGTCCCACCTCCAGCCCTAAGGCGGTTTTCCCTTATCTCAGTAGATGGAACATACAATCGGGTTTTATACCGAGACATTCCATTGCCCAGGGACGGACAGGAGAGAGATGCCTTTCTCTTGTCTCAACTGCAAGAGGCATGCCTTCCTCTTATACTAATCCTCCTCAGCACAGACCCTTTACGGGTGTCAGGCTGGGGGACGGTCAGGTCTTTCCCTTCCCACGAGGCCATATTTCAGACTGTCACATGGGGAGAAACCTTGGACAATACCTGGCTTTCCTAGGCAGAGGTCCCTGCGGCCTTCTGTTTGTGTCCCTGGGTACTTGAGATTAGGGAGTGGTGATGACTCTTAAGGAGCATGCTGCCTTCAAGCATCTGTTTAACAAAGCACATCTTGCACCGCCCTTAATCCATTTAACCCCGAGTTGACACAGCACATGTTTCAGAGAGCACAGGGTTGGGGGTAAGGTTATAGATTAACAGCATCCCAAGGCAGAAGAATTTGTCTTAGTACAGAACAAAATGGAGTCTCCTATGTCTACTTCTTTCTACACAGACACAGTAACAATCTGATCTCTCTTTCTTTTCCCCACAAGGATGCAAAATCAATGTGCAGAAATCACAAGCATTCCTATACGTCAACAACAGACAAGCAGAGAGCCAAATCATGAATGAACTCCCATTCACAATTGCTACAAAGAGAATAAATACCTAGGAATACAGCTAACAAGGGAAGGGAAGAACCTCTTCAAAGAGAATTACAAACCACTGCTCAAGGATATCAAAGAGGACACAAACAAATGGACAAACATCCCATGCTCATGAATACAAAAAAATCAATTTCATGAAAATGGCCATACTGCCCAAAGTAATTTGTAGATTCAATGCTATTCCCATCAAACTACCACTGACATTCTTCACAAAATTAGAAAAAAACTATTTAAAAATTCACCTGGAACCAAAAAAAGCCCATATAGCCAAGACAATCATCCTAAGCAAAAAGAACAAAGTTGGAGACATCATGCTACCTGACTTCAAACTATACTACAAGGCTGAAGTAACCAAAACAGCATGGTACTGGTACAAAAACAGACCAATGAAACAGAATACAGAACTCAGAAGTAAGACCACACATCTACAACCATCTGATCTTCAAAAAACCTGATAAAAACAAGCAATGGGGAAAGGATTCCCTATTTAATAAATGGTGCTGAGAGAACCGGCTACCCATATGCATAAAGTTGAAACTGGACCCCTTCCTTACACCTTATACAAAAATTAACTCAAGATGGATTAGAGACTTATATGTAAAACCCAAAACTATAAAAACCCTAGAAGAAAATCTAAGCAACACCATTCAGGACATAGACATGGGCAAAGGCTTCATGACAAAAACATCAAAAGCAATTGCAACAAAAGCAAATACTGACAAATGGGATCTAATTAAACTAAAGAGCTTCTGTACAGCAAAATAAACTATTATTAGAGCGAGCAGACAACCCACAGAATGTCAGAAAAATTTTATAACCTATCCATCTTACAAAGGTCTAATATCCAGTCTACAAGGAACTTAAACAAATTTGCAAGAAAAAAAACATTAAAAAGTGGGCAAAGGACATTAACAGACACTTCTCAAAATAAGACATTTATGTAGCAAACAAACATATGAAAAAAGCTTAACATTGCTGATCATTAGAGAAATGCAAATTAAAATCACAATGAGATGCTATCTCATGCCAGTCAGTATGGCGATTACTAAAAACTCAAGAAACAACAGATGCTATCGAGGCTTCAGAGAAAAAGAAACACTTTTACACTGTTGGCGGGAATGTAAATTAGTTTAACCATTGTGGAAGACAGTGTGGCAATTCTTCCCAGACCTAGAACCAGAAATACCATTTGACCCAACAATTCCATTACTGAGTGTATTAGTTCATTTTCATGCTGCTGATAAAGACATATCCGAAACTGGGAAGAAAAAGAGGTGTAATTGGACTTACAGTTCCACATGACTGGGGAGGCCTCAGAATCGTGGCGGGAGGTGAAAGGCACTTCTTACATGGCAGTGGCAGGAGAATATGAGGAAGAAACAAAAGCAGAAACCCCTGATAAACCCATCGGATCTTGTGAGACTTATCCACTATTGCGAGAATAGCATGGGAAAGACTGGCCCCCATGATTCAATTACCTCCTCCTGAGTCCCTCCCACAACACATGGGATTTCTGGGATATACAATTCAAGTTGAGATTTGGGTGGGGACACAGGCAAACCATATTATTCTTCCCCTGGCCCCTCCAAATCTCACCTCTTCACATTTCAAAACCAATCATGCCTTCCCAACAGTTCCCCAAAGTCTTAACTCATTTCAGCATTAACCCAAAAGTCCGTAGTCCAAAGTCTCATCTGAGACAAGGCAAGTCCCTTCCACTTATGAACCTGTAAAATCAAAAGCAAGCTAGTTACTTTTTAGATACAATGGGGGTACAGGTATTGGGTAAATACAGCCATTCCAAATAGGAGAAATTGGCCAAAACAAAGGGGTTACAGGGCCCATGCAAGTCTGAAATCCAGCGGGACAGTCAAATTTTTTTATTTTATTATTTTATTTATTTTTATTTTTATTTATTTATTTTTTTGAGACGGAGTCTCACTCTGTCATCCAGGCTGGAGTGCAGTGGCGCAATCTCTGCTCACTGCAAGCTCTGCCTCCCGGGTTCACACCATTCTCCTGCTTCAGCCTCCTGAGTAGGTGGGACTACAGGCACCCGCCACCACACCCTGCTAACTTTTTTGTATTTTTAGTAGAGATGGGGATTCACTGTGTTAGCCAGGATGGTCTTGATCTCCAGACCTTGTGATCCACCCGCCTTGGTCTCCCAACGTGCTGGGATTACAAGCACGAGCCACCGCACTCAGCCTCAGTCAAATTTTAAAGCTCCAAAATGATCTCCTTTGACTCCAGGTCTCACATCCAGGTCACACCGATACAAGAGGTAGGTTCCCATGGTCTTGGGCAGCTCTGCCTCTGTGGCTGTGCAGGGTACAGCCTCCCTCCTGACTGCTTTCAAGGGCTGGCTTTGAGTGTCTGTGGCTTTTCCAGGCCCACAGTGCAAGCTGTCAGTGGATCTACCATTCTGGGGTCTCGAGGATGGTGGCCCTCTTCTCACAGCTCCACTAGGCAGTGCCTCAGTAGGGACCCTATTTGGGGGCTAAGACCCCACATTTCCCTTCCACACTGCCCTAGCAGAGGTTCTCCATGAGGTCCCTGCCCCTGAAGCAAACTTTTGCCTGGGCATTTGGGCATTTCCCCACATCTTCTGAAATCTAGGTGGAGGTTTCCAAACCTCAATTCTTGACTTCTGTGCACCCGCAGGCTCAACACCACATGGAAGCTGCCAAGGCTTGGGGCTTCCACCCTCTGAAGCCACAGCCTGAGCTGTACATTGGCCTGTTTCAGCCATGGCTGAAGCAGCTGGAACACAGGGCACCAAGTCCCTAGGCTGCATACAGCACGGTGACCCTAGGCCTGGTCCACAAAACCACTTTTTCCTCCTGGGCCTCTGGTTCTGTGATGGGAGGGGCTGCTGTAAAGGTCTCTGACATGGCCTGGAGACATTTTCCCATGGTCTTGGGGATTAATATTAGGCTCCTTGCTACTTATGCAGATTTCTGCAGCTGGCTTGAATTTTTCCTAAAAAATGGGTTTTTCTTTTCTACTGCATCACCAGACTGCAGTTTTTCTGAACTGTTATGCTCTGTTTCCCTTTTAAAATGGAATGCTTTTAACAGTACCCAAGTCACCTCTTGAATGTTTTGCTGCTTAGAAATTTCTTCTGCCAGATACCCTAAATCATCTCTCTCAAGTTCAAAGTTCCACGAATCTCTAGGGCATGGGCAAAATGCCACCAGTCTCTTTGCCAAAACATAACAAGAGTCACCTTTGCTCCTGTTCCCAACAAGTTTCTCTTCTCCATCTGAGACCACCTTGGCCTGGACCTTATTTTTCATATCACTATCAGCATTTTTATCAAAGCTATTCAACAAATCTCTAGGAGGTTCCAAACTTTCCCACATTTTCCTGTCTTCTTCAGAGCCCTCCAAACTGTTCCAACCTCTGTCTGTTACCCAGTACAAAGTTGCTTCCACATTTTTAGGTATCTTTTCAACAACACCCCAATCCTGGAACAAATTTACTATATGAGTTCTTTTTCACACTGCTGATAAATACATACTGGAGACTGGGAAGAATAAGAGGTTTAATTGGACTTACAGTTCCACATGACTGGGGAGGCCTCAGAATCATGGTGGGAGGTGAAAGGCACTTCTTACATGGCTATGGCAAGAGAAATGGGGAAGAAACAAAAGAAGAAACCCCTAATAAACCCATCAGCTATTGTGAGGCTTATTCACCATTGTGAGAATAGCATGGGAAAGACCAGTCCCCGTGATCGAATTACCTCCCCCTGGGTCCCTCCCACAACACGTGGAAATTCTGGGAGATACAATTCAAGTTGAGATTTGGGTGGGGACACAGCCAAACCATATCATTAAGTATATACCCAAAGGAATATAAATCATTCTATTATAAAGATACATGCATGCGTGTGTTTATTGAAGCACTATTCACAATAACAAAGGCATGGAATCAACCCAAATGTCCATCAGTGATATACCGGATAAAGAAAATATGGTACATACACACCATGGAATACTATGAAGCCATAAAAAATAATGAGATTATGTCCTTTGCAGGGACATGGATGGAGCTGGAAGCCATTGTCCTCAGCAAACTAATGCAGGAACAGAAAACCAAGTACTGCATGTTCTCACTAATAAGTGGGAGCTGAACAATGAGAACACATGGACACAGGGAGGGGAACAACACACACTGGGGCCTATGAGGGGCAGGGGCAGGGAGAGCATCAGGATAAATAGCTCATGCATGCTGGGCTTAATACCTAGGTGATGGGTTGATAGCTGCAGCAAACCGCCATGCCACACGTTTACCCATGTAACAAACCTGCGTGTCCTATACATGTACGCTAGAACATAAAACAAAATAAAATAAAATAAATTCAATTCAAAAATGGGATTTTTTAGATTCCTCATATAAGTAAGATCATGCATTACTTGTCTTTCCGTGTCTGGCTGATTTCACTTAGCTTAATGTCCTCTAGGTCCATGCATGTTGTCATAAATAACAGTGTGAAAGAAAAATAGAATCTTGGGACCCCAAACTCACTATGCCAAGGGAAAGTTAATGTTGAGGACTGAGGCACCAATACTGTCTTCCTTTTGTTCCCAAACAGATAACGGCAATTTCACAACCCCTTGTCATAACCTCGTTTCCTCTACTCCTTCCCTCTTTTCACGTTTCCTTAATTTTATGTAAAATGTAGATTTACTGAGCATAACATAATTTATAATCAACTTTTTCCTCTACTCTCTTTTCACAGGTAAAATGTAGATTTACTGAGGCTAATCAAAGACTCAGGAATGTAACCAATTGTGTCGTGCCCTACTCTTCCTCCTTTTTTTCTCCTTTCACTCCTGCTTGCTCTTTCTCCTTTAAATACTGAAGTTCTCAAAACCCTCTTTGGCAAAACATGGATCACAGATGCTCCTGTGATTTGTGTTTTTCCCACGTGTATTCCTCAACCTTGGCAAAATAAACCTTTAATTGACTGAGACCTACCTCAGTCACTTTCTGACTTACAACAGGATTTCCTTCTTTTTAAAGTCTGAATAGGATTTAATTGTGTATACATACCACATGTTCTTTATCTATTCATCTGCTGAATGACACAGGTTGATTCTATACCTTGACTATTGTGAATAATGCTGCAAGGAACATAGGAGTATAGGTATATTTTCAACATACTAATTTTAAATTCTTTGTCTACATCCTGCAAATGGGGTTACTACATCATATGATAGTTCTGTTTTTAACTTTTTGAGGAATTTCCATATTGTTTTCCATAATGTTTGTACTAATTTACATTCCCACCAACAGCGTACGAATGTTTCCTTTTGTCTACATCCTTAACACTTGTTATCTTTTGTCTTTTTGATAATAGCCATTCTGACAGATGTGAGGTGATATGTCATTGTGGTTAAAATGGAATATCTTAAGTTTTCCTATTTGAGGGTGTAAGAGTATTCTCCCCAGAATATTACTGCTAATGTTGCTGTTTTGCATGAACCATGGCCTTGAGCTGAGTTCTTGGACATACGAGTTTTTGAGTACTTGGATATGGGTTTAAGTACTCAAGAACTATATATACTTTTATGTGGCTGAACATTAGGGCCTCTCTTTACTGGTAAGAACTTACAGAAAAAGGAGACATTATAAAGATCTCCCAGAGAAATATTTAAGTTTTTTCTGGGAATGAAGGAGCATGGTGACTACTAATCTAGAGGCTGGGGGAAGAGCTGTCTCTGGAAATATCCCAGGCATCACTACGGAACCAGAAGTAGAGACAAGCAGAGGTGTGTTGGAAAGAGTGACATGTGTAGGCTAGCTCCCGGTGGTTTAATCACCAGTGGTCCAACTGAGGCGATGCGTGGATGAGGAGATTGACAGGAGGAAGGAACCTGAAAATATAGATCAGGAAACAAAGCTTCATTGTACAGCATACCCACAGCAGGCAGTTTGGTTTTTGTTCCAGTCTTCTATCTTCAAGGGCTATTTTCATAGAGCATGAGGAGCCATGGGACTGGTGAGGTCTGGGCTTCTGTGCCAAGATCACCCACATTCCTCATATCCCCTCAAATGTCCCAAATGTCCTGTATCACCTGATTTTCTATCTTCCTGCTAAAGCTTTTCCCATACTCCTACCCCTTCACTCTCCATCATCCTCCAATTCTTACCCGACTTCCACCCTGGAGTTTCACCATGGCCACTTGCTTGTGGGAGGCACTGTCTGAACACAGCCCCTGAATGCTACTGATTTGGTGCTTTCTTCAGATTCTCTAGACTGAGATTTTAAAGAGATAACTTTGTGCCAAGAGAAAGGACCTAGTTTATATGTGCCACGAAAAATTGTTATATATAACTGGTAACCTAGAAGTTGATATAAAAGAAATATGTAAGTGGCTTCACAAAGATTTTGAAAAATTTAGGGATAATTGCTTGATAAATTTTAATTAAAAGAAAACAATATTCTGGGAGCAGCATTTCTAGTTATATTACCATTGGCATTAAGGAGGCCACAGAACCTTTCAGAATATACAGTGATTCTTGATTCCTGAAGTAAATGCAGGGTAAGGTCTTGGATGGTCCTTCTGGTGACAGGATGGCTCCTATGTTCACATTCACTCCACTGACCAAGCACAGATTCCAAGAGATGTTGACCAGAGAAGATGATTTCTCCCTTGATTTTCACAAAGAAGGAGTCCACGACTTTTTCTTCCAGCCTGAAGGAAGAGAGGATGTCCCCTAAAGACAGTCTCCCTACTGTAACCCTGACCCTCCCTACTAATGGCAGTGACTTTTTAGCCCATTTACCCATATGGAGTAAATGCTTTAATTGTTCTGCCTCCACAGAGGCTGGGCAGGCGATTCAGGTGAGACACTCGGAATAAGGATGCTTGACCTAGTTTCTTTCTTCGCTGGCCTTCTTCTGCCTGAATGCCCTGAATAATGCAGCAGGGATAGGGCCAGGGTAGACAACTGTAGAGAAGGCTGGGTCAGGCAGACACAGCTGGCAGAAGCCCAAAGCAAAACCTTTCCAGTGAGGTTTTAGCCAATCAGAAAAAGGCTCTGAAGTGACAATTGTTGCTAGCTGAAAAGTCTGTGCAAAGAGGCCTGTGAGACTGGGGAATCCCCAGGTCTGATGCAGCCTTTGCCTCAGAATAAACCTGCGGGAAATTTTTCCCTTAAACAGGAAGGATAGGATGCATTAGAGGCCTCTATCCTGAGGGACACTGATGTGGGGGCTGAGGAAGGACATTGAGGGCACCTTCAGGTCTCTCTGCCTATTATTCCTTGTGCCAACTCCATTCCAGGTGTGCGTATGGTTCCTCCTTTATGCGTCCATCACAGCAGTGGAGACCCTCCTTAGACTGGGTTTACCCTGACCCTGAGTACACCACTGCTGTTGGATGCCCAGTGGCAACTTTCCCAGTCTCAGGTGCTCTAGAATTATGCATTGAATAATACAGAATATTGGAGTGGCTCAACGCTTTCATGTGCCACTATTGCAAACCTCTTGCTGTTGCCTCTTGCCTGCTTCTTTTTACCTGGTAAACTTATATTCTGATTTTAGATTGTATTCTCTACTTTAAAAGCAGAACCTAAAATTTCGGGAAGAGAAAGAGAGAAAGGGAGAGAAGAAGAGAGGTGGAGATATTTATTGTCTTGGTTGAGGTCAGAAGTAATGTTTGCCAGTCTGTAGGTGCCAGCCCTACAGGGTCTGTGGGTCTTTCTCCCTGTGTGCGGAGACGAGGGATCGTAGAAATAAAGACACAAGACAAAGAGATAGAAGAAAAGACAGCTGGGCCCGGGGGACCACTACCACCAAGAGGCGGAGACTGTTAGTGGCCCCGAATGCCAGGCTGCGCTATTATATATTGGATACAAGACAAGGGGGCAGGGTAAGGAGTGTGAGCCATCTCCAATGATAGGTAAGGTCACGTGGGTCATGTGTCCACTGGACAGGGGGCCCTTCCCTGTCTAGCAGCCGAGGCGGAGAGAGAGAGGAGACAGCTTACGTTCTTATTTCTGCATTTCAGAGACTTTTAGTACTTTCACTAATTCTGCTACTGCTATCTAGAAGGCAGAGCCAGGTGTACAGGGTGGAACATGAAAGCGGACCAGGAACGTGACCGCTGAAGCACAGCATCACAGGGAGACTGTTAGGCCTCCGGATAACGGCGGGCGGGCCTGACTGATGTCAGGCCCTCCACAAGAGGTGGTGGAGCAGAGGCTTCTCTAACTCCCCCCGGGGAAAGGGAGACTCCCTTTCCCGGTCTGCTAAGTAACGGGTGCTTTTTCTAGGTACTGATGCTACCGCTAGACCAAGGTCCGCTAGGCAACGGGCGTCTTCCCAGGTGCTGGCGTTACCGCTAGACCAAGTAGCCCTCTAGTGGCCCTGTCTGGGCATCACAGAAGGCTCACACTTGTCTTCTGGTCACTTCTCACCATATCCCTTCAGCTCCTATCTCTGTATGGCCTGGTTTTTCCTAGATTATGATTGTAGAGCGAAGATTATTATAATATTGGAATGAAGAGTAATTGCTACAAACTAATGATTAATGATATTCATATATAATCATATATATGATCTATATCTAGTATAACTATTCTTATTTTATATATTTTCTTTATTATACTGGAACAGCTCGTGCCCTCGGTCTGTTGCCTCAGCACCTGGGTGGCTTGCTGCCCACACCAGGCATTGTTCTAATTGCTTTATAACCATTAGTACTGCCCCTAGTCACTGGCAAGAGGAACCTGATTTCGTTTATTTATAAAAGCACATTGATGTGGATATGTCCATAAGGAACTGTTAAATAAATTTTTAAAAATGGAAAAAAAACCACATTGATACCTCTGCCATTTGGGATTTGATATTTAGGGCTGGCACAGTACAATCTGTGACTAAACATTTTCTCCATCATTAATACTATTCAGGACCTAGGAAATGCTTCTCTACAGCTTTTGCTCTCTCTCTTCAAAACTAAACATGACTGTGTCTGAATACTGTAAAGGTTTGTGTACTGTGCCTTTGCTGATATCAGATGCACCCATTTCATGGTTCAGGGACGATTTAAACAGCTGAAGAACTTAAAACAGAAATGTCAACTTAATAAACTTTTCAAATACTTTTACTCGAAGAGCATAAATACAATATATTCTTGCATAATGAAGAATCATTTACCAGCAGAGGTGGGTATCAATTTTTTTTGGCTTGTTTTCTTGTTCCACATATTAATCTGATAGTTACACATAACAGTTGAGGAGCCTTTTGTAATATTAAACAAGTCATATTAATCTTAAATTTGTATATGTGAAGATCTAGCTGTAAAATGCATGAAACATGACCCATATTTTACAAAGAGAATCCTGGGGCAAAAATAAATTCAGTTATTTGTTGACTCTCCTAAAGCACATTAGTGGTGGAACTGCAACTCACCATTATTTCCTTCTAAGAACTTTGCTCTTCTCACCAAAACTTAAGGCTCCTCAGGGTGTGTCTAAGACAACAGCAGTAAAAATGTCTATGACAGCAATTTTCTCTCCCCTGAAATATGATCCCCACTTAATTTGCCCTACTGAAAGAATCCCAAGTATAAAAACAACCAGTTTTTAATCAATATTACAAAGATGTTTACTGTTGAATCGCATTTTTCTTTGGCTTCTTAAAATCCCTTAGGCATTCAATCTTCAGCTCTTCTATAATTGAGAGGAAGTTTTCACCTCAAATGTTCATCCAGTGCAATTTGAAGACGTCACAGTGCCAGGGACTGGATTGAGAACCTTCACAAAAAAAAATGTCTGCCTAGAGACAGATTAGGTCCTTCAGCTCCAGTGCTGATTGGTTCCTTTCCAAAGGACCATCCAATCCTGCCACGCAGGGAAACATCCACAGGTTTTTATTCTTTCTGCCAGGTACATCAGATCCATCAGGTCCAAGCTGTGTTGACTACCACTACTTTTCCCTTCGTCTCAATTATGTCTTGGAAGAAGGCTTTGCGGATCCCTGGAGGCCTTCGGGTAGCAACTGTGACCTTGATGCTGGCGATGCTGAGCACCCCGGTGGCTGAGGGCAGAGACTCTCCCGGTAAGTGCAGGGCCACTGCTCTCCAGAGCCGCCACTCTGGGAACAGGCTCTCCTTGGGCTGGGGTAGGGGGATGGTGATCTCCATGATCTCGGACACAATCTTTCATCAACATTTCCTCTCTTTGGGGAAAGAGAACGATGTTGCATTCCCATTTATCTTTTAGTGATGAGGTGAGCACAGTCGGATCCCCATCCTACAGGCTTAAGCCTGGAAGAGAAGGAGAGAGGAGAGGAAAGAGGAGACAAAGTGTACATTTACTACCAGTGACAGGACAAAGTGAGCATGGGGTTATTTTTGAAGATACGAATTTCTCCAGAGACACAGCAGGATTTGTCATTTAGGCGTGCCCCAAGACTTTGCCTGGACTAAATATTATGGGATCCTGCATTGGGAAATGTAAGGCAGCAATGGTGTCTGTAGTCTCCGTATTTGAGGAAAAGTTGTCTGTATTCCTGACTGACTGGAGCGTTTGTGGAGGCAAAATCTTGGTACTGAAGGAAGCTGACTGGATGACCACAGACAGGGAGTCTTCAGGTTTCACTGATTTATGGGCAAATGGTGACTTGAGTGGGATTCAGAGACCCGAGTTGGTGGACTGAATTTAGCAGAAAGGAGGATGTAAAGAAGGGAAATAACATATATTGTGAAACCACTCATTTCAGACACAGCACAATA